>NT_113891.3:3600000-3900000 GCF_000001405.40 Homo sapiens
GCCATCCCGGCTCACTGCAACCTTTGCGTCCCAGAATCAAGCAATTCTCCTGCCTCTGCCTCCTGAGTAGCTGGGATTACAGGCGCCCACCACGCCCAGCTAATTTTGTATTTTTAGTAGAGACAGGGTTTCTCCGTGTTGGCCAGGCTGGTCTCGAATTCCTGACCTCAGATGATCCACCCTCCTCGGCCTCCCAAAGTGCTGGGATTACAGGCTTGAGCCACCACGCCCAGCTAATTTTGTATTTTTAGTAGAGATGGGGTTTCACCACGTTGGCCAGGCTGGTCTTGAACTCCCGACCTCAGGTGATCCGCCGGCCTTGGCCTCCCAAAGTGCTGGGATTACAGGTGTGAGCCACCTCGCCCGGCCAGTAATGCATTTTTGATGGGGTTTCTACAGAAGTGAGGTCGTATCTTCAGTGTATCACCTCATGAAGTACATTATATCCAGTAAGGTAGTTTTGAGTGTCCTCCCTGCTACCTGTCTCCCCAGTAGGCCTTGGGTTCCTTTGGGACCTTAGCCCACCTTGATTTCTTCCTTTCTTTTTTCCTTTTCTTTTTTCTTTCCTTTTTCCTTTCCTTTCCTTTTTGAGATGGGGTCCCGCTCTGTCACCCAGGCTGAAGTGCAGTGGTGCGATCTCGACTCAATGCAACCTCCACCTCCCGGGTTCAAGTAATTATCCTGCCTCAGCCTCTTGGGTAGCTGGGCTTGCAGGCATCTGCCACCATGCCCAGCTAATTTTTGTATTTTTAGTAGAGATGGGGTTTCACCATTTTGGTCAGGCTGGTCTTGAACTCCTGGCCTCAGGTGATTTGCCCTCCTTGGCCTCCCAAAGTGCTGCAATTACAGGCGTGTGCCACTGCGCCCGGCCAGATTTTCTCCAGCTCTTCTGATAACCTCCCCCCAAATCTCTTTGTAGCTTCTTTGGTTTCTATGATGCAAATGAGACCGTCCTGGAGATGGAGGAGCAACTGGTGAGCCCCCTGGGATTACTTCCCCTTCTAGCCGCTGTCCCACCTTATTCCAGAGCCCTCTCTGTGACTCCTGAGCTGAAGGGTTCACCCTGTGGGGAGGAGGTCCAGGATCCCAGCAGTAACTCACTTTGTCTCTCCTTGTGTCTCTCTTCCATGCTTCCACGCCCCTTCGACCACCTTGAAGGTTTATCTGCGGGATTCTTTTGGGTTGAAGACTCTATTGGCCCGGGGGGCCATAGTGAGGTGTCCAATGGCCGGTATCTCCCACACAGCCTGGCACTCCAACCGTACCCTTTATGAGACCTGCATTGAACCTTGGCTCTCCTGAGGATATATTCAGGGGTCCCCAGGAACTCCTCGGTCCAGAGACCAAGTGGTGGCCTTGGAAAGCAGATGTCAGGCTTTGGTGTGCCTGTGACCACCTCATTGCTCCCATATTATCCCCCATTTTTAGTAGAGACGGGGTTTTAGTAGAGACTTGGCCTCCCAGAACCCCCTTCCTCTGCTCCTCCATGAATGACAATTCCAGGCCTCCCCTACCTCATGTCCTCTCATTTGGGGGATTGCTCCGTGCTGTCCCTTTCTCTCAAGGCCGAAGTTGGGAAGTGAGAAACCATGTTTTTAACTTGTGGCTGCTTTTGCTGCTGCTGCTCCTCCGTATCTGGCTGTATGGGTGGAGAACCCACCCCCTGCCCACCACAGGGGTCTCCTTCCAGGCCACTCAGGACATTTTTAGCTTCTCTCCTCCCCATGTTCCCTTTTTTCTCTAAAGTCCCCTGACATCAGCCCTCCCAACTCCTAAGAGGGACTACCCATGAGAGTGGGGTTCTGAGGCTCCCCTATGGGGACAGTTCCGTTCTTGAAGTGTCAGTGTTGGGGAATATCTGTGGCCTATGAGGCCCATCTCAGGTTTGGGGATCCCCCAGTCCCTATGATCAGTGTTGGAGTACCCCCCTGGGAGAGCCTAGTTTCTTTGAGGCCCCAGGCCCTCTTTTAACTACCTTTGAATAGGTGTTATCCCTGTATTTATGGAAATAAAGTTCCATTTCCTCAGTGTGACTTGGCTCATTTCCAGGTGGAGGGGACCTGGCTCCCCAAGGAGGGTGGGGGCGGAGCCTGAGGCCTGGGTGCCCAGATGCCTGGTCTAGGGTGGGGACCCCCTTGGTGTTTCCGCTCTCTCTCAATGCCCATTCTTTGTGGGTTCCTGGTTCTCTGCGGGTTCTTTCCTGCTGAAGACAATTCTCTTCCTCTCCCAGTCCCCAAGACTGGGGGGTTAAGCTCAGGGCTCCAGTGGTTTGGGCCTCAGCCTCATGGGTGGAATGCGCCTGCCACCCCCAGGCTAGACGAGGGGGCAGAGGGTCAGGGTGGGCATTCGTTGTGCCGCTTTTGAGCTTTGTGGGCCAGAGCTGGGTGTAGGGCTGGACAATGAGCCTCCTCTTCCTTGAAAGAAGGAATTTTGGCTGAGACAATAGGGCCCTGTCTGTTCTGGCATGGGGGGTGGTGGCTGACTCAATTCTGTTCCCCCTAAGCCCTAACAAATGTCATGAAGAGAGGGGGGCAGTTTTCCCCTTGCTGCCCTGGGCTGCCCCCCTGCCCCTTTGTGACGACTTGCCCTTCTAGCTTTCCTCAGCTGATCTTGCTTTTTCTCCCATAACCTGAACTGCTTTGTTCCCTGCAGCTGGTTCTCTCCCTGCCCCCTAACTCTCCCCTAGTCTGTTTTGGGTTCAAGGGGGTACTGGTGGTGTTACAGAGCTCATAGCTTCTGATCTGGGGAGTCCAGAAATAGGGGCCTCAGAGGGTTGGAAAGATACTTCTAGGGAGCCCTTTGCTGGGGTGGGGATGAGGGTAGTGGGACTTGACCCTACTGAGCTGACCCTGCTGGAGCTAAGGAGGAGGCTTGTGGGAGGGGGCAGGAATGGGAGGACTCTCTGGCCCAGCCCCTCCTCTCCTTCTTAGCCTGCCAGGCCCACCCACCAGTCTGAGCTGCTTCTGCTGAGGCTGGTCTGCTTGAAGCCTCCCAGGAGAAAGAAGCCAGGTGGGAATGGAGAGAGAGAGGAAGGCAAGTGGGGAGAGAATTTCAAATGGGGAAAGAGTGGGGTTTACTCAGAGCCTTAGGGTGGGCATGAGTTGCGGGGTGTTTTGTTGGAGCAAGGGATGTGCATTTAGGGCGTTATGTGACGGTGTGGGTATATGAGGGGAGTAGCAGTGTGTGAAAGGTGTGGAGTTTCCAGGTGCTTGGTTTGTGTGTACGGTGTGAAGGTATATAGCTAGGGGTTTTTTTTGTTTGTTTGTTTTGTTTGTTTTTTTGAGACGGAGTCTTGCTCTGTTGCCCAGGCTAGAGTGCAGTGGCATGATCTTGGTTCACTGCAACCTCTGCCTCCAGGGTTCAAGGGATTCTCCTGCCTCAGCTTCCCGAGTAGCTGGGATTACAGGCGTCCACCACTGCGCCTGGCTAATTTTTTGTATTTTTTAGTAGAGATGGGGTTTCACCATCTTGGCCAGGCTGGTCTCGAACTCCTGACCTCATGATCCACCCACCTCAGCCTCCCAAAGTGCTGGGATTACAGGTGTGAGCCACCGCGCCCAACCAGCTAGGGTTTTGAAGGTATGAAGTTATAAGAGGGCATGTTAAAGACAGGAGGGTTGGCCAGGCATGGTGGCTCACACCTGTAATCCCAGCACTTTGGGAGGCCAAGGCGGGCGGATCACCTGAAGTCGGGAGTTCGAGACCAGCCTGACCAACACGGAGAAACCCCGTCTCTACTAAAAATACAAAACAAAATTAGCCGGGCGTGGTGGCAGGCGCCTGTAGTCCCAGCTACTCGGGAGGCTGAGGCAGGAGAATGGCATGAACCCGGGAGGCGGAGCTTGCAGCAAGCCGAGATCGCACCACTGCACTCCAGCCAGGGTGACAGCGAGACTCCGTCTCAAAAAACAACAACAAAAAAAAAACCAAAAAAAAAAAACCCTAGCTATATACCCTCACACCCTACAAAACAAAACAAAACAAAATTAGCCAGGCGTGGTGGCGCATGCCTGTAATCCCAGCTATTTGGGAGGCTGAGGCAGGAGAATCACTTGAACCTGGGGGGCGGAGGTCGTGCGGTGAGGCAAGAACATGCCATTGCATTCCAGCCTGGGTAGTAAGAGCGAAACTCCTTCTCAAAAACAAAAACAAAAAAAAACCCAAAAAAAGACAGGAGGGTCATAAGGGGAGGGTTGACTGTGTGTCCCTCCAGGTTGTGCAGAGGGGATTAGAAGTAAGTAGGTTAGAGGGGAGGTGGAGGGAGTGTGCTGGGGTGTGAGCTTTTATGATGCTGAAAGGATCATGATATGCTAAGGACAGGATAGTGTTGGGTTGTACACACAGGTGTAGGCAATCCTGGTGGCTAGTATGTAAAAGTGAATGTCCTGACTCCCTTAGAGGGTACCTGCAGAGTGCCCTTGGAGGGACTAGTGCTGGAGAAATTAATAGGAGAGGGGACGGGCATCCATTAACCTTTTCTTGCCTGCAGCCTGTAGGGTCCAGCGTCAAAGCGAATCATGGGGTCCAGGGCTGAGCTGTGCACTCTCTTAGGCGGATTCTCCTTCCTCCTGCTACTGATACCAGGCGAGGGGGCCAAGGGTGGATCCCTCAGAGAGAGGTGACAACAGAGGGGGTAGGGCCCGGGGTGAGCTCTTCTCAGGAGCCTTCTGCTGGGGGTGGGGCTTCACAGGAGGCAAAACATAACTGTAAGTTTAGAATGGGGGTGAGAGGCTGTCATCTGGAGGGAGAGCGGGGGGCCTCAGTAGCCTCTTGAGGGAAGTGGGACTCCTGGCTCCCCAGGGCCTGGCCTACTCAATCTCTCCCACCTCATCCTCTGGCATGGACGCAGTCAGGGAGTCTGCTCCAAGCAGACACTGGTGGTCCCGCTCCACTACAACGAGTCCTACAGCCAACCAGTGTACAAGCCCTACCTGACCTTGTGCGCTGGGAGGCGCATCTGCAGCACTTACAGGTGAGGGATGGGGAGATGGGACCCCAAGAACCCCAACTAGGACCCGTACTCAGGGTCCTGAGCCGGGCGCTGTGTTCCAGGACCATGTACCGCGTTATGTGGCGGGAGGTGAAGCGGGAGGTTCAGCAGACCCATGCAGTGTGCTGCCAGGGCTGGAAGAAGCGGCACCCGGGGGCGCTCACCTGTGAAGGTGAGGCTGGGTCTTCCGGGCCTTGCGGGAGGCGCGCCCCACGGAGCTGGGGAGCTGGGTCGTCGGTTCGAGTCTGAACCCCACTTCCTCTGTCCTCAGCCATCTGCGCCAAGCCTTGCCTGAACGGAGGCGTCTGCGTTAGGCCTGACCAGTGCGAGTGCGCCCCCGGCTGGGGAGGGAAGCACTGTCATGTGGGTGAGTCAGCTTGTCCTCCCCACCTACCCAGGTGCTTGCCCCCGCCCCCTCTCTCAGCCCCTTCCTTTTTTCGGTAACTAGACGTGGATGAATGTAGGACCAGCATCACCCTCTGCTCGCACCATTGTTTTAATACGGCAGGCAGCTTCACCTGCGGCTGCCCCCATGACCTAGTGCTAGGCGTGGACGGGCGCACCTGCATGGAGGGGTCCCCAGAGCCCCCAACCAGTGCCAGCATACTCAGCGTGGCCGGTGAGTGGGCAGGAGTACGGGCCACCCGAGGGACTCGGGACGGGCGTCCGGGCTCGGGTAGTGGTCACACTCTTGGTCTCCTTTGTCCCTAGTTCGGGAGGCGGAAAAAGATGAGCGCGCTCTGAAGCAGGAGATTCACGAGCTGCGAGGGCGCCTGGAGCGGCTGGAGCAGGTGAGCCAAGCCTGCTGGGTGGGGCGAGGCCAGACGTCACTGTCAATACCCTGAGGCATCTCTTCCTTTCTAGTGGGCCGGTCAGGCTGGGGCCTGGGTCAGAGCGGTGCTGCCCGTGCCGCCTGAAGAGCTGCAGCCAGAACAGGTGGCTGAGCTGTGGGGCCGGGGTGACCGGATCGAATCTCTCAGCGACCAGGTGCTGCTGCTGGAGGAGAGGCTAGGTGCCTGTGAGTCCTCACACTCCTCCCGCCTTGACTTCTATTCCCCAACTTTCCCCAAGACCCCTCTCCATTCAGGCATTCCCTCTTTCCTCCAAGCCCCTCTCCAACATTCACTATCCTCATGCCTCTCCACTTTACCATCGTTCTCTTCTGAAATCCTGTCCCCAGCCCAACAGTTTCACTTATTGTTTGGTGAGAGTGGCAGTGTAGTCCACTCCAGGCTGACCACAGCCACTGTGTCTGCCATGTCATTAACCAGGCTCCTGTGAGGACAACAGCCTGGGCCTCGGCGTCAATCATCGATAAGAAGCCTCTACAGCACCCCTGCCCCCTAATTTATACAGAAACCGGACCCACTAATCCTCTGGGATTGGCCGACTGTGAGCTGCAGATAAGGCTATCAGCCACCAAAGAGCAATGAACAATGGAAACTTCAGAGAGCTGAAGAAAGGGGGAGGCCTGTGTTCTTGGCCTGCCCCTGAGTCTTCTGGCTGGGGGCAGGTTGCCTGGGCAAGAACTGCTTCTTCAATTCCTTAACAAATGCAACCACCAACACCCAGATCTCTCTCTCTCTTTATTTTCAGTTTTTTTGCTGTTATCCAGATAATTAATAAAAACCAACCACGCAAAACTGGGTCCCACCCTCTCCTTTTGCTCCCAGCCTACCTCCCCAGTTGTGGGAACAGGTCTGGAGTGAGAGGCAGGGAGTGGCTAATGCCACCAGGAAGAAATGAAAACTGGCTCAGAGAGGGGGAAGCCTCAACAGAAAAAGAAATAAATTAAAAGCCCTCCTATCCCCTCCAGCCAGGGTTCGTTCCTTTCCCCAACTCCCCAGGGGGCAGAAGTGAGTGCAGCACCTGATGTCTGCTTCTTCCCCTTGTGTCTGGTGAGATGGTGCAGCAGGGCTGCAGGGGGCTGGGTGGGGTCATGTCCACTGAAGAACTGTACTATGGGGACAGAAAACCAGAAATGTGGAGACTGAACTGGTATCCCAGAGAGTGCACGACCCTGGGCATCTGGGCAAGGGCAGGCATGAGACCTCTGAATTAGAAGGGTCCAGCCCCCACTGACAGGAGGCTACACTGGGAGGGAAGGTGAAGGTGCTGAGGAAAGCTCCCAGGATGAGCCTGGGAGTGCTTCAGGTATCAGCTTCCAGCCAGAGGGCGAGAAGTCCTCCTCACAAATGGATGAGTCCATTGAATCCATGGACTTTGGAGTGGGGGGGATTTGTTCCAAAGAATGGATGAGTCCACTGGCCAATGTGGGGTAGAGGGGTAGAGAAGACCACATAGGAAGAGACTCCACTGGGGATGGAATGTTCCCCTCCCTTGTGTAGGCTGAGTCACTGGAGATGAGGGGGAGGCAACTGTCCCACAGACAAGACAGTAGGAGGTGGGGGTCAAGAGTGGAGACTGCACCGAGGCAAGAGTCCATGGATGGGGCCAAGAGGGGGCAGGAGTGGCGCTGTATCCACATTCACTTCAGAAGTTGAAGATTCCAAAGAGGAGAATAAGTGGGGAGAGGGGAGACAAGGAAGAGGGTTTGGCCCTGCTTCAGGGCCCACTGGGTGGGTAGGTGTGGGGAGGAAGATGGGGACAGATGGGAGGAGAGCTCAGAGCCAGGGTTCACCCACCGCCCCCAGGCTTCTTCAGATAGTCACCACCACCCCGGCCATCAGTGGAGATTTCCCGGAAAACAGTGAGCATGGAGTGCCGGACTCTGTCAGCCAGAGCTGGGACGTCATCTGGTGTCAGCCCTTCCGTGGGCACTGGGGGCAGCACCCGCACCTGACATTGTCCTGGGGCAAGGGGAGCACCATCATGGCCTGTCCACCCAGGTCTTTGCCCACAGGTGGGGCCCAGCTTCCGAGTGATACTCTTCCTCAACCTTTCAGTTCTCTTCCCCCAACCCTGGACAACCATCCCTGGGCTTGCCAGCTGCCACTTCTGAGGCCCTTCTCCTATACAAAGCCTTCTCCAATCCCCAGTTCAGACATCTCCTCAGCACCCCTCCAGCCCCCCTCCTCTGGGTTTGGCATTTACTGCTGAATGAGTGTTATTCATTACAGCTTTGTGCACACAGGCCTTATCTTTCCTGTTAAGATTAGTAACAGCCTCTCTTGGTGGGACCAAGTGCTACCCATCTGGCAGGGTATGGTGGGTGCTTAGTAAAGACTTATTGGCTGATGTGGGGTTAGACTAGATGACTGTGTAGACATCTCATGGCTCTGACACTGAATGATCCCCCTGCCTCACAGGGATGTCCTCCCAGCCTCTCCGGACACACCCTACCCCAGAACTGCTCAAAGCCCTCACCCGAGGTGAAGCGACGCTCCTTCTTGCAGTAGAAGTCTTGGTAGGAGGACATGACTATGGGGACAATGGGAACCTGGGGAAGGGTTAAAGCAGGTCAGTCCACAGCTCTCTTCAGAGACTCCTACAATAAGCCCCTGCCCAGAGATGAGGGAATGGTGGGGGTTGGCAGCTGAGTAGCAGAACGAAGAGCAGTAGTCACCTGGGCCTGCACTGCAAGATGGAAGGCGCCACGTTTGAAGGGCAGCATGGAGCCATTGTGGTTTCTCGTTCCCTCAGGAAACACCCAGACCCTCACCTGGGGGAGAAAGAGGGTCAAAGAAGACAAATACATATGGAGGAGTCAGAATAGGTGTGATGTTATAATGGGACCTTTGAGGCCCACTGGCCCTGCATATCAGTTTATTTACAACTGTTCTACTCTGTATCCCTCCAATCCCCCATTTCCCCAGGATGACTCACGTCCTGGGTGAGCAGGGTCTGGGCGACCTCAGACATGACACTGATGGCATCCCCCGTGCGCTTCCGGTCGATGAAGATGACTCCTGCCAGCCAGCAGGCCAGCCCGGCAGAGCCAGCCCACAGTAGCTCGCGCTTGGCAATGGGCACACAGCGGCCTGGCAGTACCTCCATCATCCCTTGGGCAGGGTGGGAGTGGGTGAGGATCGGGGTGGAGGCAGAGTGTCACAGAAGGCAACCCACCTCACCCAGCTCATCACCCTCTGGTAGGGACTGGAGGTGAAGGAGGAGACTAGGCAGGGAGGGGGGCCCCAAGTGAAGGAAAGGGTGACCAAAAGTATATGTACCCTGCTTATGAGGGCAGTTCTACCCAGGGAATGAAGGCCTGAGTGGGAGGCAAGGGGGCAATGTCCCAGAGGAAGGGGAATTGAGGATCTCTAGGAGAAGATATTCTAGGGAAGGTTTCAGGAGGGGAGGCATGGCTGGGGGAGGTGTGCCCTGTGGTGGGGTCTCACCAAGCAGATCGAGAGAGCTCTGGTGGTTGGAGACAACAACATAGGGCTGCGAGGGAGGGAAGTGGTGAGCCCCTCGCACCTCCACTCGGATCCCGTACAGGTATTTGATGTGGAGCAGCATTAGACGCAAGATCCTGTGGGGTCATGGCAAGGGGTCCCAGTGGGATCCATTGATGTCCATCTGCATGCCTCAGCTCCCCCCACCTTACTGTCTTTCTGACCACCTTTGCAGTCCTCTCCCCATTCCCTGTCTCTGGTCTCTCTCAGTCTTTTCTACACACACCATGCCCCCTTCCCCCAATCCACTACTCACTTTGTACCCTTAGGTTCCCTCATTGCCCAAGACCCCTTGCCCCTCACTTCATGTTCTCGACGTTGCGTCCTCGCACGGCACACACAGGGATGGCGAGCACAGCCAGGAAGAGGATCCAGCCATTGTAGAAGGCCATCTTGAAGAAGTACTTGGCACTGGGGCTGCAGAACCACAGGGTGGGCAGCAGGAAGAGCAGCAGCAGGAAGAGCAGCAGCAGCAGCATCCATGCCCCTGGCCACAAATCCATTCTGGCCACCTGCAGGGGATGGGGCAAGGGACAATCAGCCTGGTTTCTGGAGGAGAGTGGGGTAGGCAAGGCACAGAAGGCAGGGCTGGGGGCTGGTGCTATGAGGACAAGGGCCTGAGACACAAACTGGGGCAGGGGTCTCATTGAAACCTTCCCAGGAAGGCTCTCTAGGATGAGGGTGGTGGAGAAAGAGCTCAGGACTGCTCTCCCACCACTCTTCCCAAAGGCTCCGGATATATTCAGACAAGAGACACAAGACACAGACATCTACAATTCACAGATACCTGATAATAAATGACAACAAGAATAATAGCTAACACTTGTAGCTGGTAAGGGTCTTATAATGGTCTATACTTGTGCTGTCCGAGAAAGTAGCCACCACCTACATGTGGCTACTTGAAATGCAGCTAGTCTGAACTGAGATGTGCTGGAAATGTAAAATACACATCAGATTTCAAAGACTGAATAAAAAACAAAATGTGAGATATCCATTACTAATCTTTTATGCTGACTACATTTTGAAATTATAATCTTGGGCCGGGCGCAGTGGCTCACGCCTGTAATCCCAGCACTTTGGGAAGCCGAGGTGGGCAGATCACGAGGTCAGGAGTTCAGGACCAGCCTGACCAACATGGTGAAACCCCGTCTCTACTAAAAATACAAAAATTAGCCGGGCCTGTTGGCGCATGCCTTTAATCCCAGCTACTCGGGAGGCTGAGGCAGGAGAATCGCTTGAATCCGGGAGGCGGAGGTTGCAGTGAGCCAAGATCACGCCACTGCACTCTAGCCTGGGCAATGGAGTGAGACTCCATTTCCAAAAAAAAAAAAAGAAATTATAATCTTTTGGATGTTATCAGATTCAAGAAAATATATTACTAAAATTAATTTCACTCTTTTTGCCTTGTAAAAATGTGGCTACCATAAAAAAATTACATTGTGGCTTGCATTATATTTCTGTAGAACAGTACTGGTCTATACATTAAGTTAAACTCTTAAAATGATGAATATGATAGTCTAGAAAGTACTATTACTATTTACATTTTATAGGAAATAGGCCCAGGGAGGCTAAATAACTTACCTGAGGTCATACAGCTCCTAAACAGCAGTTTCTAGGTTAAATCTAAGCCGCCTGTGTTCCTAACCACTCCATTACGCTGACACTGGTATGTATTGCATATATATATACGAACACAGCACACAGCATATATGGTGACTGTGACAGAACACTCACAGCCATATACCCAAGGGCCAAATGGCAAGATTAAAAGTTCGTGTCACTAATGCCAACAGACACACAGTCATACAAAGACTAACATGTTCACACATAGACACAAATTTATAATTACACCCAGTGACAGATAAAAGAATGTAAATGCATAACTAGAAAAATCCCTCTCCACCCAGGCAGCTCCCCTATTCCTAGGTAAACTTATGGACATACCTGGAATAGCTACAAAGACCAATCCTACCTCCAGACAGGCAAACGAATCCTACTACCCTTTCCCTTCCTTCTAGTGACACTTTGCGTGGGCAGGTACAGTGTGTGAGGCCTCACCAAGTGAAAAAAGGAGGGAATGGAGTAAAGGTGACCTAACAGCACTTGCCCTGGGAGAGGAAAGGGCTCAAGAGGAAGAGAGGCAGGAACACAGAACCTGTGTTCTAGGTTCTTCCTCCTTCCTCCACTCTGCCCCAGTGTTGGGGGCAGGGTAACAATTCACAAAAAGGGTGTTCTGGCAAATACCTGTCATTCCTACTGAGGCCACAGGCACTGTCTTCCCATGATGGGAAGGGCTATGCTCAAAGGTAAGCCTATTGCCAAGCGAGAAGGTAACAGGCAATAGAGGAAACAGGAGACCCTGCCAGTTGGAATACCGTAGGCTTTCTGAGCTGCTCCATCCCACTGCCCCTACAAGTTCAGAACAGCATCATTTCTCCCCTGAACTATGTGGAGTAGGCTCCCAACTCCCTCCAATCCATCTTCCACGTAGCAACCACAGAGATTTTTCTGTTAGCACAGATTTTTCTGAAACACAGAGCATTTCCCTGTCTTGCCTAAAGGCTCTTCTTGATAAGTTGACTTCTGCTTACATCTTCGACCACATCCTCACAAAACTCTTTGTTCCAGTCAAACTGATTCACTTCAGTTCCTCAGACACCATGATCTTTCATGCTTCCCCACCTTGAACATGCTGTTCCCTTTGGCTGGAATGCCTGTCTCTTCTCCTGCCTCACACAGCTCAGTGTCACCTTTTGGAGGGCTGCCTGAACCCCTCCAGGCCTGTGCTTTCCTTACACTTTTATCTTGATCAGCGGGTCTCGAAGTATAGAAATGCAAATTATTAGACTTCACCCCAGATCTACTGAATCAGAAATTCTGGGCATTAGGTCCAGCAATCTGTTTTTCTTTTTCTCACTCTGTCACTCAGGCTGGTTTTGAACTCCTGGACTCACGCGATCCTCCTGCCTCAGCCTTCCAAACTGTTGGGATTACAGGTGTGAGCCATCGTGGCTGGCTAGCAATCTGTATTTCAACAAGCCCTCTGGTGAGTCTGATGTGCGCCTGAATTTAAGAACCACTGATCTTGACAACACACTATGTGTTGACTGGCGTTTTTGTTTCCCTCCTTAGGCTGTAAGCAGCTTAAGGACAGGGACTCTGTCTTATCTCCAGTGCCAGGACAATAGGAGATGGAGTAGGTGCTCAATAAACACTTGCTGAACAGATTCTAAGGCTGTATACCCACCCATAGAGCCACAGTTAATGACAGAGATGGCGGTTCTGATCACAAATTAGATAGTTATCCTCTTGAGTAGAAGTGACTACTAAAAGAAGTCACTGAGAAAGTAACGAACACACCAAGCCTAATGGTAACCGACTCTGAATAGATACATGCAATACATAGCCATAATGAAGGCAGAGTAACAATAATCAGGAAGAGGTCATCTCACAAGAGAAATGTACCGAATGGGATCAAGATGCCACAGGGAAAGATGCTGCTCTCATCAAATGTGTGCCAACAGTGCAAAGAATGGAGGATAATGTCCATAAATAAATACCAACAATGGGGTTCACAGCAGGATTGACCCTGTGACATGCATTGAGCTCATGGACACAGACTGTACACAGCCACTGGAAAGATAATGTTTGTGTAGAGAGGTATGGGCCAGGGAGGTCACCAAGGTAAGGCATGCAGGGATGGTTCTTTGCAGACCTGGAGACCCAGTTACCTTCTTCTCTTAACACTTGATATTAAGTGACCCTCTTTGGAGAACAAAAGTCCAAGGATTTAGAAATGCAATGGAGGGCCAAATTTAATGAGCATACGGCTCACAAAATATACTGATGACAAATTTATAACACACATTCTATGGTCCTGTTACATCAGTGTATCATGCAAAGGCGCATACACATGTGTTCTGTGAACTGTGACTGGGAAAACACAGCAAACAGGCCAATTCAGTCAGACATCAGAGTGTGGGGTATTCAGCCAAGCCATGGGATCCCACACATGAAGACTACTGCAAATGGTAGGACCATGGACATGTCAGCCAAAGCAAAATAAGGTATATAACCTTCACATGCTGAAATAAACATGCCAAAACATAAAATGTGCAAGTAACATGAAATTATAGAACAGGTGCAATATATGAAAACTCACACACATGCGGTACTTAAAACATGTCAAAACTGGATGTGAGACATGGACACAAGAATGAAGAATGGGCAATTCTGATAGAAAATAACACACCATTTCTACACAGCCTATGGATAGCATTGGGACAACCTAGTTGCACACAAGCCATTAAACATGTCAAAGGCACACAGACTCAATGTAGAAAACATGGCTCCCATAAGGCATTTGTGTGTCAGTAAGGGTCTAGCAGTGTGGAAGGCCACTGAGAAACAAGAGGTCCTGTGCCTAGATGGAAACAGAGGCACCTAAGGGTATTCCTAAGAGGCAAATTCTGCTGGCCTTCTCCCCTCATGACCCTTCAAGAGTCATGTGGGGTCAAAGGGCAAGAAAAGGAATTGGGGAAGGTGTAGGGAATTCCCTCTCCAGGATTCCCTGTGCACGCTCCCAGTCCCAAATTCACAAGGGTTTCCATTTCTCCTCCCTCCCAGGTCTCTTCCATCCTTCCTCCCTCTCAGGTCCCCTCTCCTATCCCCAGCAACCCTCTTCCCAGTCGGCCCCTCTCCTTTCCCCAGCAACCCTCTCCCCCAGTCGGCCCTCCCAGACCCAATCTCTCCCCTTCCCCTCATCCTAGTCGCTTTCAGCACCCTCTTCCCTCCTCCTCCCATCCCTTTCCCGCCCACACCTCAGAGGGGTAGGGGGCCTGGGGGGCTGGCCCCCTCCCCAGCCAGGCTGCGGCAGCGGTGGTGGCGGATGGCTGTGTCTCTGTCTCTGTCGGGGTGTCGGTGCCAAGGGGGCGACGGGATTTGGGGGTGTCCTAGCCCCGGCCGATGGAGGGGAGGTGGGAGTGGGAGGTTGGGCCCATAGCGGTAGGAATGGTGGGGGGCTGTCCCCCCAGCACCCTCCCTCCCTCCCTTTCTGCTGTCTCTCTGAGGGCTGGGGCTGCTGCCGCCGCTATTCCCCCGCCACCCCTCCCCAACGCCTGCTGGTTTCCGGGGCCGGCCAGGAAGTGGAGGGCGGTGATGGGCAGCCTGTTTTGCCAATCGTCTCCCAGAAACTCTGGCATCTCCTCCCCACATCTACCAGTGTCCTCTTGCGAGCCCCGCCCCAGGGCTCTCCCTCGGTCTTTGCCCCCATCTCTGGCTCCAGCTGCATCTTTTTTTTCTCTAACTCCCTTTCAGCTCTGGATCCCCTGGTGCTGTATTCCTCCTTCCGCACATTCCTTCCTTTATTCTCCATCAGCTCTCTTTTAACTGCCACTTTTACTTGGTCTCTTTTTTTCTCAACTCCGGTTATCTGCTGCTTATTCCCCCCAACTATTCTTAAGGACCCCTTTTCCCGTACCCATTCAATTCTAAACATTTATCAAGCATCTACCTACCATATGACAAGCATTAAGTTCACCTCTCTTCTTTTTCTCTCCAGGACTCCATCTCACTCCATCTCACTCTCCAGTCCTCTGGTCTGGTTTCCTTTGCCCTTTGTCCCTCACTATCTCCCAGCAGTCCAGCTCCCCCCTCCACCTGCCTTCTCTGGCCTTTAAAGAGAAGAGATCTCTTTGGCCTTATCCCTGACCCTTTCCTTTTCCATGCTCTTTTACCTCTGTACCTTTTCTTTCCTACTTCCTTCGTATCAGTCTCCTTACTTGCCCAAGCTGAGACAACCCCTTCTCACAACATACAATATGGGTACATCTTTTCTTCCAATGGAAATTTGGCTTCAGGGGTGCTTTCTAGAAAAATAAAAAGTGAGGAAGAATGCCGATTCCTCTGGAATGCGCGTGCCTCCTTAATTTGGTAGCCATGTATCTAGTTTTCCACCCCCTCTTCTCTTCCTCCACTCCCATTATCCCTTTACTAGGATCATTCCATCACTTCACTCTCCTTCATTTCCACCTTTCCCTCTCAATATCTTCCTTCCTAAACCTCAAGCTTCCTGAATCCTCATCTGCCCCAGTCCTTCTTTACGCAACTGCTAACTTCTCATCTTTCCTTACTCTTGAGTCACATGGGATCTTTTATCAAGGTCCCCCCTCTAGCCACACCTTTACCCTGCATTAGTTTACATGCCCTCGGGAAGAGGATTGGTAGTGGGAGGACTGTTACCTAATTCTGCTCCTTTAGTCACAGTGAGGGTCAGTGATTGTAGGAAAAGCCCAAACTCCCCGGGGTCCAACCTGGGAAGAAGACCCTATTTCTGATGGGCAAATTATAAAGAGGAAAGGGCGGGTCTAGCCTCCGCGGGTCTCCTTAAAAGGGGCGGGCTTTGTCCCTTTTGCACCACTCACAAAGGGGTTGAGTCCAGAGCTTTCCTGCTCTGAAGGTTTAAAACGGAGTTGAAGTCAATCCTGTTCTACTCTGTGTACAACATTAAGAAAGGGGTGGGCCTTTAGTTCAGTTTTGCTCTGTAAATCACCTAATATGGGGAGGGCTGAGTCGTCCAGCCGAATGAGTTGGGTTAACACCAGCGCCGCAGATCGATGTTCCCACTATCCAAACGTCGGGCTAATCCCAGTTCTGCTCCCTTAACTAAAAGGGAGGGGCAGACCCAAGTTCTGCTCTCTACGTCACCAAAGGAGGTTGGAGCCATTTTGAACCCTGCGACCCTAGTGTTTTCCCTCTTTTCCTAGCTCTTCGCCGTCTTTCCCGATGTCGGCCAATCAGGGGAAAAGGAAAAGGCCCAATCAGCAGAAAGTCCACAGCTGAAGGACCCGGATGAAGCGAGCCTAGGACTTTGAAGTGCAAGCCTCGCCAATTGTAGAGCAGTCACCATGGCGACAAGATAGGGGTGAAGAGGTGGAACAAGAGAAGGTTAAACCCTCACAGGATTGGCCCACCCCCGTCCCGCCGCGTGCTGCGCAGGCGCGTTTTACCTAACCACCATTTTCCGTCAAGTTTTAGCCAATGAGTTGATTTGGAGCCATACGCTCCAAAGTCCAATAGCAATCCGGACATTCTCTAAAAGAGGAAGCGAAGGAAAGAAAGGGGCTTATAGTGGGCGAGGTCTATAGGTAGTCCCGAGCAAATTGCTTATGGCTTTGGTTATGACTGACAACTACTCAGACGAATAAAGCCCTCCTTGGCCAGGGGACAGGGTGTAGCGAGTTATTACCAATCCCTTGGCATTGCACATTGACTTAGACCGTATCAGCCAATAGCCATTGTGCGAAGGCAGGACTGCACTAACCTTTTCCCGCCCCTACCCTTTGGGCCAATCCTTTCTTTTGAATTCTTTGTGACTGGCAGGCATTCAGACCAATAGTGATTAGGAAACCTTGAAGCCTGCCCAACGATCGTGGGCAGGAGGTGGTTTCTGGTTTGTTGGGGCGTGTGTATGTGTATTTGGGGGGACTGAAGGGTACGTGGGGCGAAACAAAACCGGCCATGGCAGCAGCGGAGGAGGAGGACGGGGGCCCCGAAGGGCCAAATCGCGAGCGGGGCGGGGCGGGCGCGACCTTCGAATGTAATATATGTTTGGAGACTGCTCGGGAAGCTGTGGTCAGTGTGTGTGGCCACCTGTACTGGTGAGAATCGAGGAGGGGGGCGGGAGGTGGTGGGTCTCGCTTATATACTGGAGAGGCTAGGAGAGAATAATCATACAGTCATACAGATAATCGGAGGGCACGTTCCCATAGGTGAAGCCCGACAGGAGACATAAGACTTTGCTGGTATGTGTGGGTGGGAGTATAACGGTCGAGATCTGTGGAAAGAAAGGTCTTAGGAACCAGGAGCTGAGGCATGTGATGTGCTGAGAAGAGAAGGTGGGGCGGGGAGTGGCAGGACAATGTGAGACCCGAGCCACCTTACCCCAGAGAAGTGAGGGGTCTTAGCTGTGCAGGTGGAAACAAGTGAGACACAAAGGTTAAGGGAGGCACGCATCAGTTGAGTCGGGGAGAACCAGGAAATATGGATCACATTCAGATGAGATCTGGGAGGGGGCTGGTATAAGGGCACTGTGGAGAGGCAGACTTGAAAGGTTAAAGGGTCATAAAGATAGGGACATTATTGAGCTTGAAAGTGAGTAATGGGGGAATGTGCTAGTAAAGGGGTTTGGTTTGGAGTGATGGGGTTGGGGTTGAAAAGAGGAGACCCGGAAAGAGGTGGCTGAAGGAAATTAGAAATTAACTTGAAAGGCAGAAAAGAGAGGGCACGAAAATTTGTATGTGTTTGTTGGGGAGAGGAGAAAGGAGAGGGTTGAGTGTGTTGAGGATGGACAGAGCTTTAGGTGTTGGAAGATCAGACAAGCAGGAAGGCTAACTAAGTTGGCTGGCATGGTAGAGGTTGCAGAAAATCTGAAAAGCAACAGCAGGTTGCTTGGGAAGAGGGGTTAGATGGGATTCTGCGAAGTCTAGGGTCTGTGTCTCTCTTTTCTGTAGCTAGTTTGACCTTTTTTTTTTTTTCTCCCCCATCCAGTTGGCCATGTCTTCATCAGGTGCGTACTCAGGAGATGAAGAGGGAAATGGGGAGGTCTGAGGAGCTGTAAGACCCTCTTGTATACTGGAAACCACCTTTTTTCTCCCCAGTGGCTGGAGACACGGCCAGAACGGCAAGAGTGTCCAGTATGTAAAGCTGGGATCAGCAGAGAGAAGGTTGTCCCGCTTTATGGGCGAGGGAGCCAGAAGCCCCAGGATCCCAGGTGAGAGACTGGAGGTGTTGCTTAGGGAAGATTGAAGGCTTCTGCCCTTGGAAAACGGTGTGGAAGATGGGAGGAGAAAAATCCCTGTTAACTTTCTCTCTCCACTTCCTCAGATTAAAAACTCCACCCCGCCCCCAGGGCCAGAGACCAGCTCCAGAGAGCAGAGGGGTGAGTCTTCTTGTCCAGTTGTGTCCCTTCCTTGACAGATTTGCCGGCTTCCCGTCTGACTTTTTCTGCCTCCCTAGGGATTCCAGCCATTTGGTGATACCGGGGGCTTCCACTTCTCATTTGGTGTTGGTGCTTTTCCCTTTGGCTTTTTCACCACCGTCTTCAATGCCCATGAGCCTTTCCGCCGGGGTACAGGTAAGAGTCACACTCAGCTCCCATCAGGGAGCCCTGTGAATCCCCTCAGGCCCCCTCCCAGCCTAGGAGCATATGCTTCCACAGCTTTCCTCTCTCCCACAGGTGTGGATCTGGGACAGGGTCACCCGGCCTCCAGCTGGCAGGATTCCCTCTTCCTGTTTCTCGCCATCTTCTTCTTTTTTTGGCTGCTCAGTATTTGAGCTATGTCTGCTTCCTGCCCACCTCCAGCCAGAGAAGAATCAGTATTGAGGGTCCCTGCTGACCCTTCCGTACTCCTGGACCCCCTTGACCCCTCTATTTCTGTTGGCTAAGGCCAGCCCTGGACATTGTCCAGGAAGGCCTGGGGAGGAGGAGTGAAGTCTGTGCATAGATGGGAGAGCCTTCTGCTCAGAGGCTCACTCAGTAACGTTGTTTAATTCTCTGCCCTGGGGAAGGAGGATGGATTGAGAGAATGTCTTTCTCCTCTCCTAAGTCTTTGCTTTCCCTGATTTCTTGATTTCATCTTCAAAGGTGGGCAAAGTTCCCTCTGACTCTTCCCCCACTCCCCATCTTACTGATTTAATTTAATTTTTCACTCCCCAGAGTCTAATATGGATTCTGACTCTTAAGTGCTTCCGCCCCCTCACTACCTCCTTTAATACAAATTCAATAAAAAAGGTGAAATATATTGATGGGATCTCTTCCCAAGTTCGCCCCCACCCCCGACAGAAGCATCTTCTCCCCAACTTGAGTAGATGTTTGGTATAGTATGGTGAAGTATGGGGGTGAGTCCCTTTCCTTCAGGGCCCTCAAGGGTATAGGGGTGAGGTTGTGTCTCATACACACACACAGACACACAAGAGCAAGATGTGTCAGGTGTTTAATCATCATTGTGGGGGGCTCTGGTTGTAGAAGAAAGCTTGGCAAGGTGGGGTTATACAGGAGAGAGATTATACAGGAGAGAGTTGGTCTGAGGCCAGAACAGTTCAAGGGAAAAAGAAAAGGGAGCTGATGGATGGGATCTGTCTGTGGGCCCCTCAAGGCCCTCCAGTACTACTCTCGCCTGCCTCAGGTTCCTCCGACTGATTCAGTTCTGCACGCTCCTCCTCTTCCTCCTGGTTTTCTGGGGCCTTCCTGAGGAGAAAGATTGGGGGGAATGCGGCACGTTGTCGTTCCACCCCCCGACCCCTCTTCGCTTGCTGCCTGGAAGCCCTAGGTCTGAGGGGTCTGGCTTTCTCCACTCACCTCTCCTCTCCTCGGCGTTGCCGCCTTTGCCACAAGATGACCCCAATGAGCAGGGCGGCTGTCCCCAGGCCTCCCAGGATCCCCAGGGCCAGGGCTAGAGTTCCCAGCCCTGATCCTCCCACAGAGCCTGTACGGAGACAGGGAAAATTGAGAGCACAGCCACCACCACTCACCATTCCTTTCTTGTTGACCATCCCCCCAGTCACATGTGTTGGGGGCTATCTTCTGCTTCCCTGACTTTATCAAACCCCTCACCTGCAGTTGGCCCCTCCTCGCCTGGTTCTGGAAGACAAAGTTGGATCCAGTCAGAAAGGAAGACTTCGGGTTGAGAGAGGGTTATTTAGTGGGAGCCCCAGTGGAGTCTTTCCCTTTCTTTTTTTTTTTGAGATGGAGTTTCACTTTTGTTGCCGAGGCTGGCATGCAATGGTGCGATCTTGGCTCATCGCAATCTATGCCTCCTGGGTTCAAGCAATTCTCCTGCCTCAGCCTCTCAAGTAGCTGGCCTCCCAGGTAGCTGGGATTACAGGCATGTGCCACCATGCCTGGCTAATTTTGTATTTTTAGTAGAAATGGGGTTTCTCCATGTTGGTCAGGCTGGTCTCGAACTCCCTACCTCAGGTGATCTGCCCGCCTCAGCCTCCCAAAGTGTTGGGATTACAGGCGTGAGCCACCGCGCCCAGCCGTCTGTCCCTTTTTTTAGCTCAGAGGGAAGAAGGGAGAGGCTTGGCTGCTCTCTTGGCAGAATTTGGGTGGGGCAGGGGAGGCTTGGGTGTGGGTGCATGGAGGGAGAGGTGGGGTGGCTGTTAGGGATAAGGCCAGAATGGGGCAGGAAATTAGAGCCTGTGCTGTCCTGCACCCTAGTCCCAGGGTCTGTAGGGCTTGGGGAGAGGTCTCACCGATGATGCTGATGCTGACAGCACGGCTTTCCTGGGGCCCGTGGCTGGAATGGGTGGCCACACAGCTGTAGGTTCCCTGGTCCTGAGGCCCTATCTCAGGGAGGATCAGCACAGGGCTGGGGGGAAGGGGCAAGGGCACACCCTGGTGGGGGAAGGGGAGAGGAGACTATTTCAAAACCCTTGTCTTTTTGTCTCCATATCTTCAGATACCCTCTCTTCCTCCTCAGCTCCTAGCCTGCCTTTCCCTCGTTAGCCCTCTGCCCTCCCTGTTGCTAGTTATGGTTCACCCTACCTCCCAGCCCCTCTCTCCAGGTCACTCACATCCTTCATCCAGTGGATTTGAGGAGAGGGCTGGGCAGGGACTTCACAGGTCAGGGTTACGGTTCCACCAGGAGCTACTGCTCCACCTTCTGGCTCCACCACCAATTGGACCTCCTCCAGAGGCACAGGCTCTGGGAGTTGGAAGGGTTTTGAGGTGGAGAGTTACACTTGTGAGTGATCCCAGTGGCCATGGGCTTGACTCCCTCTTTCCCTAAGGGTCAGACTTCCAGAACGTGCTCACGTGAGCTTGGGGCCCTCCCCACCTATGCTCACCCCAGACACGGGGCTGGATGGGGGCTGTGCGCAAGGCCCGGTGTCGGGGAAGGCCTGGGCTGAAGCTACAGGAGAAGGTGGGACGGGGATCTCCTCCCCGGGCTGGGGTCACCATTAGCTCCGACTGCAGTGTGAAGAGCCCTGTCTCAGGGTGTCTCCTGGTCTGTTCCTTCACAGATACTCCTATGATGGGAGGATAAGACAAATTATCCCAGGGTGGGTGTGGGAGTGAGATCAGGGAGAAGGCAGCTTGGGGGGCACCTTAGGACTCACCCTTCTCATTAGGCACCAGGGGCTTCCCATCCAAGTGCCAGCTAAGAGTCCCTGCAGGGTAGCTTCCCTCTGACACACATGTCCCCACCTGGGGAAAGAGTGGTGACCTCAGAATCCTTTGAAAATGAGAGATGCCACACACCCACACCCACACACACTCGCCTCCTGTTCACAGGGCCGTTTTCTACTTCTCCTGCTTTCTTCCACTACCTTATTGGGAACACCAGCCGTGAGTTCAGAGGCAGAATCTACAATTTCTGGCTTCCCAGGAATCTCTGAAGGAGGAAAAATCCAGTCAGAGGCTGTAATTGTGAAGGTTCTCAAACTCTGTGTGTGGAAATGAGGCCAGTGGAAGTCAGAGGCCCTCATGGGCCAAGGCTGGGGTTGAAGGCTTTTTCTTAGGTAAGAGGGAGGCCTTGGAGAAGACCCTGGAATTCTTACGGTAGACACGGACTCGGTAGTTGGACTTGGTCTCCTTTCCATTCCTGTTCATTGCCTGGCACCGGAAAATCCCCTCATCCTGGATCCCGACAGCCGGAAGGAAGAGGGAGCCGTTGGGAAGGACACGAGCCACACTGTCCCAGGGGCCTCCTCCCTGGGGAGACAGGACCTTCCAAGCTTCTGTCCGGCCTGTGTTCTAGAAGCAGAGAAGCAGGGCCTAAACAGTGCAAGGCCTTTGGGAAAGGACTGTGAGGCAGAGTGACGGGGATCCAAATCATTGCTGGTCTCCCTGGAAGTTGGGAGGCTGCAACAGGAGCCCCGCTTACCAGTTTCCATTCCAGCCGCTGGGGTGGTTTCTTGGGGGCCCCCTTACACTTCAGCACCAGTGGCTCGCCAATCCGGGCTGTGATGTTTTGAGCACCTACTACTGCCCCTGGGAGATAGCACCATGGTAGAGGGGTAGGAAGGGAATGAGGGCTAACAAAATTTGGACAGGGTGGGTGAGGGACCTTGAAAGGCACTTCCTCGGGTTCTGGGAAAAGTTCTAGGACGACTGGGGTGTGGGGTTAAAGTGCTTTCTGCAGGGAGGGTCAGTGGGGTTGGGGGAGTGGCTCACCCCACAGACTGAGGACCAGCACCCAGGCTCCAACTGCTGTTCCGGCTGCCATCCTGCTTCCTTCCAGGGTCCTGGCTCTGTCTGCCCCTCTCCCTGCTGTGGCCTCCGCCCTAGGTGGGGCCTGCACCCTCTCTCCAGCCCCCATCTTTCAGTCGTCTTGTCACAGGGAATGCTAGGAATTCATGCCTTTGGGACAAGAGTCCTTCAGGTACTAGAGAAATAATTATCACCCCACCCCTGGGTACTACCAGCCTCTGGGTACAGTCACTTCCCTGGGGGATGGGGAGTGTACCCTCTAGGGTCTCATTCCCTCAGAGCCCCCGATCCTATTTATTCCATCAGTCCATCAGGGCTGCCTGGTGACCCACTGGAGCCCCATCTTGATTGCGCAAAGTTGCATCAATAGGGTTCAGGCCAGACTGTTGTCTGCAAGGGTGCAATTGGGCCTGCATCATGAAGGCAAGGCTGGGGAACAGGAGAGAAACCTGTTTGGAGCTTCGTGAAAGAAAATCATTTTTTTTCTGGGGTTTCTCATGTTTTTTGAAAAAAATTCTCAACTAAACCCAGGGAAAAAAGAAATTTCTTTATTTAAAACTGCATTTTGTTTTTTTTCTGTGAAACTACACAAGTTTACAAGTGAGGAGAGAACTGCCCCCGGCCCATGCCTCCCACCCCCCCACCCATCACACTTCCAACCTGTCCCCAGTCCTGCCCGGATCTTTAATGGGAGGGGTTCCCCACTCTGACAGTCTTGTAAAATCCTGAGAATGTCTGAGGGGATCAGATGGTAGCTAGTTCAGGGCTGAGGATGGGACAGTGTTGATGTTACTTTTCCCCCACATCTGGCTTTTTG
Organism: Homo sapiens; assembly: GCF_000001405.40. Lineage (NCBI taxonomy): Eukaryota > Metazoa > Chordata > Mammalia > Primates > Hominidae > Homo > Homo sapiens. The sequence goes on from NT_113891.3 coordinate 3,623,376, forward strand.
CAACCTCCTCCCTCTCCCTACCCCTTGATTTTGGTGTGACAAAAAGATACCTCATTTATGGGGAAATTGAGGAAGATACATATACAAGCACCCCAACCCATATTTAACATATTTGGCAATAACTCCCTTCCCATTCTTCCCCCTCCAATTTTCAAATAGTAGTTTTTTAAAAAATTAAAGACATGTCACTCACAGGGGAAGATGGCATCTTCAATTTCCTCAAAATTACTGAGTCCAGCCCTGCCCAAGGGTTGTGGGAAGAAGGGGGATGAGAGGCCAGCAGGGCAAGCCCTTCACTGCCTCCACATCAAATGCGGCAGAAACCTGCCTGCATGAACAAAGAACACCTAAGGGATTTTAGGGGGCAAAGCTTGGTGCCCTGTAAAATTTACTTCCTGATGGACAGGCCTGGAGCCAGGGGGGCCTCTTTACCAGTTCTGTTTGTCCCCCTTTCTCTTACCAGAACCCCTTTGGCTATCACCCCTAATATGGGAAAGTAAGAAATAAAAAAAAAAGACAAGAAATCAACATATTTATAAAAAAAAAAACAAGCTACTTCCCCAAACTAAATTAAAAATTAAGAACCACCACCACCACCACCAACAACAACAACAAAAACAACAACAACAACAAAAAAAACAGATGGATCCCAGGGTTTCTTTTTCTTTCTTTAAAAAAAAAAAAGTTCAACCCCAAAGCCCAGTCAATAATTCCCTAAAGTAGCAGAAACTCCCTCCGAGGTAGATATCTGAGTCAGACACTCTCGTCCACCGAGCGATTCTATTGGTTTAAGATGAGCTGCGTATGAGGTAAGTAAGCCGTCCGGAGGGGCGGGGGTGGGGATGCATGGGGGCGTGGCCCATGTCCTCTGTCCAGAAGTCATGTCCCCATTTTTGGCATCTCTGATTGGGCAGGGCTGGCGTCTCCACAGATTCCAGAGCATACAAGTGGGGTGGGGAAGGGAAAGTGGGGGAGCCCAGGAGAGAAACAGAATAGTTGCAAGTGGGAGTATGTGTGTGTGAGGTGTGGGAGAGGGAGAGAGAAAGACAGAGGAGAAAAAGGGGTCTGAGAAATAGGTTTCTCGGTATGTGTATGTTTCTGTGTAAGAAAGAAAGCGAGAGAGGAAAAAGATGGAAAAAAGGGAGAGACAGACCCCACACTCCCCTTAGAGGCCCCATTCTTCCTGCCATGTAATTAGCACCCCCAGCACAGAGAGTCTCGTTAGGGAGGGGATGACCCCATTGGCCCTTCTCTGTCTTGTGCTTCTCCTGTATTGGGGTTTGTCCTCTGGAAGCCTGCGTCCTCTTCAAGTCGCCTTGTGAGAGCCCCCACCCCTGTGACCCTGAGGGGCAAGATCAGTTGGAGGTATCAGAGTGAACACTCCCTGGTCCCTCCGTTGGGGATGTCACTGAAGAGGGGGTCACAGCCTCTTGCCAGCTGCCATTTGCCTGAAAGGAGAGACAGAGTACAGAAAACAGAGAGAGCCCTGGGAACCCTGTGTGGGCACAACATTACTAGGGAAAATGCCCCTCTGTCCTGTGAGAACTGGACAGAGAGGAGCTTCAGGATCCACTCACCCTCATTTCCCGTGGGCTGTACATCTGGCCTCCCCCGAGGTTATCCCCATAGCCCCCTGGCCCCATCGAGTGTCGGAGTGATTCCACCTGCAGGCAGCAGAGGAAGGTATGACAGTGAAGAGAAGCCTCAGAGGAAAGAGGTCTTGTATCCTAAAGTAGAGGAAATGGAGTTGGGGAAAGCCCTATTCGAGAGGAGATGGGCATCTGACCTGGGAAGCAGAATAGGAATCTCCGTTGAGCCCAGGCATCCCCAGAAACATGTCTCCAGATCCTGAGAGATTGAAAGAGCCGCCAGAGCCTTGTGGGGGCAGAGAGGGAAGAGTGTAATAGAGCCCGTGATGGTAGAGGATGAACCACAACTCTCAACTCTTGTGGGGACATGCTACTATACTCCAATTATCCACAAAATAACATTCCAACACACAGAAAGAGCAGGCTGTTCCTTGGCCACCCGTGGGAAGAAAGGCAGAACTAAGATCACTGGAATGGCCTCTGTCCCCTGACATCTCCAGCCTATCTCAGCTCGGTCCCTCTCACCCCAAAAGGCCCCCTCTCTGCTATGATCCTGCCTAGATAGGAAGTGGGAACAAAAGCAGGAAGTGTGCAAAACAGTCAGCTGGGGTGACAGTGGGATCCACCTGCAGAGGAAGGGGGTGTCGGGGAGCTGGTGCGGCTGTGGCCCCCCTGGGTGACTGACACGGCGGTCTTGACAGCATAGATGTTTGCCTCCTCTTGGAACTTTCCGATGTTTTTCTTATAGCGAATCCTCTTGTTGCCAAACCAGTTGGAGACCTGTGGGGCAGAAAGGAGGGTCAGGTAGAAACATTTGCCTCTGAAGTCCTTCACTGAATAAGATGTGAGTGACAGCATTTTTTTTTTTTTTGCTTCCTGGTCTCACTATGCTGTTGCCCAGGCTGGTCTCCAATTCAAGTGATCCTCCCACTTCAGCCTCCCTAGTAGCTGGGATTACAGGAACACACCACTGCACCTAGCTGAGATGCGTGCACTTTGCCTGACAACTCCTCCCGCAACCTCCATAATACCTGAGACACGGTGATGCCACACTTCTTGGCAAGCTCCTCCTTGGCCTCCTCACTAGGATATGGGTTACTCAGGTGGGAGTAGAAATACTCATTTAGGACCTCAGTGGCCTGTTTGCTGAAGTTACGGCGCTTTCGTCTACAGAGGAGGGAGAAGAGCGGTGAGGAGGATGTTGATGTCCTGGCAGGGCTGTCACATGGCATGACCCCAGAGTCACCATTGTCATGGAGTACCATGTTGTGCAGCATGGCAGCTCAGGGTCTTGGAGAGGAATGGGAAGGAGCCCAGTGCTGGGGGCCAGCCTGGGGTCCCTGGGCCCACCTGGCATCCAGGAAACGGGAGCGCAGGATCATCACAGCCTCGCAGGTGCTCTGCTTCAGCTGCATCTGGATGGCGCTGAACTTTCGATGGATGATGCTCACCATGCGTTCCATCTCTTTGGGGGCCACGGGCCTGGTGCGGCTCTGCTCCCTCAGCAGGTTCATGACATGGGTCGTGAACTCATTACATGCCTGTAGTGGGGGCCAGTGGGCTGGTGAGGAGGAGCCCTTTGACCATGGGATTCCCCTGCAAGAGCCCTTCCCTCCACCCACCCAAGCCTCCTCTCCTTACCTGCTCATACTTCTCCAGCTCCGAGTGGTATATGTGACGGATCTGGGCAAGTTTGCTGCGATAGTCCGAGTGTTCGATGGAGTTGTCAGGGGACACACCACCACCAGAGGCTGCAGCGGCTGCAGCTGCTGCTGCTGAGCCGCCCCCTTTCTCGGGCCCAGCCACACCCTCTGCCAGAAGCATGTTGTCCAAGCGCATCAGCTGTGGGTCCACCGGCTCCTCCTCCTGGGAGCTCCGAATGCTGAGGCCTAGCATGCAGGCGAGTGGACTTAGGGACCCAGAGACCCCAATACCCAGTGCTCAGTCCTCCTGGTGCTTCCTGGAGAGCCAAGTTCCCAGGCTTTGGTTCCTTCCCCAGTCCCCCTGACTCCTTACTTTCCTCAGGGCCCCAAGTTGTCACACTCTAGCCCTATAATGAACAGGGTTCTGTTCCCAGAGTTGAGCAATCCGGGGGGGGCCCACATACCAGTTTTCTCCTTGATTTCACACAGGACGCTAAAGAGAGCAGGCTTCATTCGGTGGCAGTTTAGGGCGTGTTTCCTTGGGAGGAGTGGGAGTGGGGAAAGAGAAAAGTTGAGGAGCTAGAGAAACAGAGCAGGGGGCCTGAGAACAAGGAGGGAGGAGGGTCAGTCTGCGGAGGGAGGAAGCGGATTGGGGGTGGAATGAGTTGGGGGTGGAATGAGGAGTTCTTGGGAAAAGATCAGCTCCCAGAGCATGGGGAAGCTCCTCAGCTTCAGGGAGACACAGGGAAGATGCAGGCAGCAGGTTAAAGGCTGCGGGCTTTGGGAGATGGTCTAGAAAGGTAGGAGGAGGAATCTGGGAGTGGATGGAGAAAGGAAAGTGACTTGGTAGGTTTCAGAGGGAGAGAGACAGAAGCTGGGGTTGAGAAGAGTCAGAGTTTGAGGTGGCAGAGTGGGGCTGGGGGTGCCGAGCTAACTGGGGAGATCAGTGTAGGGTGTGTGAAGGGGTCCTGGGGCTGAGCAGGTGGGAGGCTTTGATGCACCTAGTGTCTGGCTGAGCAGTGGAGAGGAGCTTTAGGGGCTCTGGAGAGGGTGTGGAGGTCTCCACATCTGGAGAGAATGAGGGGGCTGGGTGGAGAGTTAGGGGAGAAGATAACGTAGCCCAAGAACAGTTTCTTAGTCTGGGAGCCAGAGGGGGCTCCCGGGGATGGGGCTGTTCCAGGAGACTGCAGGGGTCGGCAAAAGGTTAGGAGTGGGGAGCCGGGCCACCGGGGGTTCCCTCTGTGAAGGTTTCAGGGCCTGGGGGTGAAGGGAGGTTTGAGAGGGATCACTTTTCTATGGGCTCCCAGGAATAAGGAGAGAAGAGAGCTGTTGGATCCTGGAGAGGGCCCTGGAGTTGGGGGGGGCTCCCAGAAGATTCAGAACATGTGAACGGGGTTTGCTGGGTCTGTGTGGGGTCCCGGAGTGGGGGCACTCACTTGGCCTGGGCCTCGTCCAGGCTCTGGTCGGTGATGGTCATTATCTGCTGCAGAATGTCCCCGATGTCTTGCTTCCCTCGGCCTCCCGGGACCCCCCCGCTACCCCCACCGGGGTCTCCGCCACCGGGAGGCTCGCCAGGGCCCCCAGGCTCCCCACTCACCAATCCCAGGCCCCCCCGGCCCCCGCCTGGAGGGGGCGGCCCCAGTAGCCGTTCGTCCATAGCTGGGGGGGGGCCCTGAGGCCCCCTCCCTGCTCCGCCCCTCCCCCCGCCTGGTTACTTCTCCCCCCAAACTCGCTGGGGCCGCTGCTCCCTCCGCCCCAACCCCCGCCCGTCTGCCCCCGGCTCCCGGCTCCCCCGGGGGTTCACCCCGGCACTGAAGGGAGACCTGGGATACCGGCTGGGCCCCCCACAGGAGACCCCGGCCCCCGGCGGCGGAGAAAATGGAGCCGGAGAGAGAGAGGAGGCCCAAGCGGGGGTGTGTGTGAGAGAGAGGGAGGAGGGAGGAGGGAGAAGGGGGGGGAGCGAGGGAGGGAGGCTGGGGGAGGGGAGCCGGAGAGGAAGAGGAGGGGAGAAGAGAGGAGGAACAGGGAGGAGCTGGGGGCGGAGAGAGAGACACAGAAACAGAGGAACTGAGACCTAGTGGAGGAGGGGAGAGGGAAGAGGGGATGAGGGGAGGAGACGGGCCATCTGAAAGATATGGGAAAGCCCCCTGGCTGGACTTCCGCGGCCTAGGAGTGGGGCTGTGTTGGCGGCTGGGGGCGTCTGTCACCTGGGTCCTGAATCAGGGATCTAAGCGATGTGGACTCAGGCCGCTGGAATGCCTGGGTTCACCGGCAGCTCAGTTCGTATTTCTTGTTCTAATGACTCCCCTCCCTGTTCTACTTAATTAAAACCGAAGAGGGGGGCTGGGGGAGATAATTAGGGAGGTCTCCAGCCGCTGCTTAATGAGCCAGTAATTAACCAGCCGGGGAGGGGAGCTGGCCTCTGGCCAGACTGGGGAGAGAAAAGGCCTCTGGCCTCACCTTCCTACCTTTCACCCCGCCTGGGCCCCCCAGATACCAGTCTGCAGTCCAGAGGGGAATTATATTTATTCACACAACCAAAACATCAGACAGACTCAGCAGCAGTGGGGAGGGAGGGTGGGCAGGGCTGAAGGTCCATTCACAGCCCGTAAACCCCTCAGTCTCAGGGATCGGGGGTGCTGGTAGTGGGACTGGGAGAATAGTCTTAATCTCTCAGGTGCCCACCCACCTTCCCTTCTTACTGGGAGGAAGGGTAGAGCTGTCTCTCAGGTTATAACCTCTCAGGTGGAGGCCTGAGCCCTCAGACCCTACTGCCTAGTAGCTTGACAACTGGTGGTGTCCCCACAAGTTAGGGAAAAGACTCCCAGCCACTCCTTGAGATGGGTGCCTGGGATCCCCCTTACTGCCTCAAGCTCCCATGGACCTGTGGGCGGGGAGTTAAATCCCTGTTCCATCTCGCCTGTTCCCAGAGTTTGAGGACTTTCACCCTGTCCAGTTCCCAGGGAAGGTGATGTGGGAGATGAATATTGAGATTTGTGCCGTGTCTTTCAGTCTCTGGTACCCCTGCCAAGCAAGAGTTGAGGGCATGCAATGGGCTGCCCAGCTTTGAGACCAGTGGCAAGGAAGGGCTGGTTGGGGCTCAAGTCTCAGCAGGTGTGTGTGGGGGGCCGGGACCTTTGCTCCTCCATTCGACCCCCACCCTGAACTCTCAGCAGCAACTCCAGGAGCTCTTGCCCCCCTGGAGGGAGGGGAGGCTCTGACCGCTGGGCTTCCATCCGCTGGCACTGGAGGAGTGGAGGGAGAGGGAGAGCTTTGGTGAGGGTCTGAGAGGAGGAGGTTCTTGAGAGGATCAAGGGTTGGTATGGGGAGGCATATAGGAAACCTGTGAAGGCGATGGGGTGCCTAGGGAGAAACAGGAGTAGAGCCCCAAAGAGAACAGGGGCCAAGAGACCAGGAGGCCTGGGTTTGCCTCCTGGGGGGATGTCTTACCTGGTGACTGAGGATAGTGCTGTAAAGCTGTTCTCTGTCCTCGAGAGGACGGAGTGGGGCAGGGGCTAGGCTTGAGGGGTTTTGGGGGGTGTAGAAGGTGGCCCTCTGCTCCTCCAGGCGGCGGGACTGGGCTTCAGCCACCAGGTCCAGAAGGAGTTCAGTCTGCAGGGAGAGCAGGGAGGCCGAGCGGGGTCCCAGGGCTGGGGAGAGGGGTGTGGAGGGCTCAGAGACCCAGAGAGGTTGGCAGACAGGAGCCGTGGGGGAGTGTGGACAGGGTGACGTGATTAGGGACTTTGGATCAGAGGAGAGGGGGTGCAATGGGGAATCCCAAGGGGAGTCTGGAGGAGGTGGGGAGAGGGCCCACAATGGAGTGGGCCTTGGTAATGGGGTCAGGATGTGGGCACTAGGGTCGGGGCTCTCCCTGGGTGGGTAGGGGTACCTGTGTGGCGGGTCCCTGGAGGAGGAGGGGACGGAGGAGCAGATCGCCAAGGCCGAGTGGTGGAGTTTGGAGGGGGCCAGCCTTCCTCATCCTGAGGGGGGCCCTGATGCCAAAATATGTCCATTCTAGTCAAGCAGTGGTGGTTGAAGCGGGAGGAGTGGACAGGGGGCTAGGCCAGTGGCCCGTTTCCTCTCTGTGTGTCTCTGTTCCTGCCTCAGTTTGCCCAAGCCTTTCAAGGCCCCTGTGTCCCTACATTTCTGCCCCAGGTCCTCTCACCTCCCTTCTTTCCCAGTGTCAGCCTCCCCAACCCCGTGCCCAGCTCACCTGCTCACCATCCTCTTCTTCCTGGGGTCTCTCAGCCTCCATCCCCTAGAGGGGAGAAACTGGTGGGGGAGGGGTGGCTGGGATTTGGGAGGAGGGCTGGAACCTTGGGTTCCTGAGGGGAGTGGGGGCTGGAAGGGGTGGGGGTGAGCTGGGGGCTGGATGCCTGGGTACTGAGCAGGAAGCTGGGTTCCTGGTCAGCCCCCCCACGGGCCCCGCCCATCCCTGTCAACTTCCTCCATTCTCTTCCCACCCAAACAGCTTGTTCAGTCTCTCTCGCCCCAGGGCAGCACTGAGACTGGGAAAAACTCCTCCAGCTGCAGGAGTGGAGGGGGCTCATGGTGGGGAAGGACTCCTGGCGGTCTCATCTCCAGAGCCTCAGTAGTCCCCTAATCCCTGGCTCTGCTCCCTCCACCCCACCTCCTCTTCTGCTCTTTCTGTCAACACAGGAACTAGCTACACAGGAAGTGGTTTCACTCCTCAGAATCCCCCTCCCCCCAGCCAGGTCCCTTCCCTCCCTAAGATAGACCCTGGTGTAGGATTTGGCCCTCCCGATCTTCCCTCTTACTTACCGGGACTGGGAGGGGCATGGTTCCAGTGGGAAGTGGAGGATTCAGATCCAGGGATGTGGAGCTCTCAAATATATACATAAAACCCTAGCACCGGGTCCAACACATAGTAAGTATTCAATATATATGTATTGAATAATCATCCCTGACCTCTAGGTATTTAAAATCTATTCAGGAGATGGCCGGCTGCGGTGGCTCACACCTGTAATCCTAGCACTTTGGGAGGCTGAGGCGGGTGGATTGCCTGAGCTCAGGAGTTGGAGACCAGCCTGGGGAACATGGTGAAACCCCATCTTTACTAAAATACAAAAAATTAGCTGGGCGTGGCCACATGCGCCTGTAATCCCAGCTACTCAGGAGGTTGAGGCAGGAGAATTGCTTGAACCCGGGAGGCGGAGGTTGCGGTGAACTGAGATTGTGCCACTGCGCTCCAGCCTAGGTGACAGAGCGAGACTCCGTCTCCAAAATAAAATAAAATAAAAAATACACTCTATTCAGGAGACAAGATGTGTACCAAATAGAGTACGGGAAGGGTTCATTTTGGAAACTTACAGTTTAGTGCAGACAAGGGGCAGGGGAAAGTTTATTTTGGGCATAAGAGATATAGATATGGAAAAATGAGAGGCTGAGGTAGGAAGATTGCTTGAGCCCAGGAGGTTGTGGCTGCAGTGAGCCATTTGTGCCACTGCACTCCAGGCTGGGCAACAGAGCAATACCCTGTTTCAGAAAAAGAAAGAAATGAAATGAAATTGAAAAGGGAGAGGACTACCTCTCTGGCTTGGTCTTTGATCAATGCTAATCAGGCTGGTTGGCATCAAGGAAGGAGCAGGGCAGACAACCATTTGGTACCTCTAAATGGCAACCTGTCATGTTAGGGAGTTTATAGCTGAGTGATTTGGAATGTGAAATGTGATGAAGAGATCTGGTCCTGCCGCTTATTCCTTGCAATCTTGGGCAGATCTCTGTGCCTCAATTTCTGAGTGAAATAGGGTTTTAATAGCACCTACTTCATAGGGTTGATGTATTAATAATGTAATAAAGCACTTGATGCATAGTGAATACTTAATAAACTGTAGATATTATTGGCTTTCAAAATGCCTCATGACTCCATGTTTCAAACCTAGCAACATATTGCTGCAAGGTGGACAAAGTTTCAAGATACTCTCTCCATCTACTTGACTTGTGGCCTTAGGAATCTCCTAAGTGGCCATAAGTAAAAGCCCTAGGATGAGGGACAAAGTGTGTGCATCATCTAGTGCAGTGGTCTCCTACCTTTTTGGCACCAGGGAAGAGTTTCGTGGAAGACAATTATTCCATGGTCGGTGGCGACGGAGGGCTGGTTTCAGGATGAAACTGTTCCACCCCAGATCATTAGGCATTAGATTCCCGTAAGAAGCGAGAAACTTAGATCCCTTGCATGCACAGTTCACAATAGGGTTCGAGTTCCTATGAGAATTTAATGCTTATGCTGATCTGACAGGAGGTGGAGCTTGGGCAGTAATGCTTGCTCACCTCCTGCTGTGTGGCCCAGTTCCTAAGAGGCCATGGACCAGTACCAGTCTGTGGCCCAAGGGTTGGGGACCCCTGACCTAGTGTGTGCGGTTTCTCCCTTGGCTACTAGATTCTTGCTTTCAGATAATACCCTAAATTATCATAGGGCCCCTAAATATACTTATTCTTGCTTTTAAACTATACTTACATCCTCCATCCAATCCAAATGCTGAGCCAAAAGCACAAAATGCTGACATTATGCAGTCACTCCCATCTTTTTTCCCATTCTTCTCCCCAATTCCTCCAAAAAAAGGTAACACTTCAAATCAGCTTTATTATGGGTGACAGATTTAGGGTTCTTAAATAGCGATAGCAGTGGCTAGAAGAAGCGCTTCATCCCCACAGTGGAGTTCTTTGTTGTGAGGGGAGGGAATGCAAGGAGTCATCAGCGGGGGTGGCCCTTGGCCACTTTTCAGCACCTACACAGTGCCTGGCACATAGTAGGTGCCCAATAAATATTTGTCAGCCATTTGTGGGCAGTGGGGACAATGGATCATAGGGGCACCCTTTGGAAACCATATATAGGAAAGAACATCTTACATCCCATATGCCTGCAATTCTTGGTTCCAACTTAGGGGTATTTCCACTCCACTCTGCCCTCCTGTGGCCTGTCTTATTTTCTGGAGGAGGACTGGGCCTGCCTCATCCTAGCATCTTAAACCCTCTTTCCAGAGCTGCAGCTTCTCCACGTGGAAGATGTCTGCTCTGGTGGGCATACATTCATTTTAGGAGAGAAACTAAACTCACAACCCTTCATTTTGGGGGATCCATCTTAAAACCAGGAAGGCCTTCCAGCCTGCCTTTTAATGGGTAATCATTTTTGGAATTCCTCCCTACCATGTATTCTTCTATTTTTTACCCTCTCCTCCTTGGTTTATGGGCATTTCTTGGAGGGCTGGGGGACCACAGTCAAGTTGAGGTGATCCCCGCTCCGGGGACGGAGTAAGGCAAGGAGGCGGGATCGGAATGTTGGAGGCAGAACCGCAAGCTCCCAGGGCCACCCAATCACAGGGCCAGTCATCCGTTGAGACCCTGCCTCCGCGCCCGGCAGCCACTCCGTATCTTCCTCGCATTATCGCAGGGTTGGGCCGAGGCCCGCGCATGCCTGCAGAAAACCTACGGCCGCGAGGGGTCGGGCCTCCTCCTGCTCCTACTCCCGAGAGGCTCCGGCAATGAGAATAGGCCCCGCCCCCCCGCGCAGCCAAGTCTACGGACCAAGTCCGAGCCTGCAGACAAGCTCCGCCCCCACGAGGGCCTGCTCCGGCTGACAGCGTCCGGCAGCGCGGCAGAGCCCCGCCCCCATGCGGGGGCACGCTTACTGACACCGTCCGTGCGCGCGGGAAGGGCCCAGCCTCGCGGCCCGGCGTGGCTTTGTGACGGGCCTCTGGTGGCCCAGCCCCTTCCAGCAGCGTCAGCAGATCCCAGTGGTTACGTTGGTGAGCGACGTCCGCCGGCGCTAGCCCAGCCTGGTCCCGCAGCTCTCGGGCTGCCCCCAGCCCCAGCAGTAGCTGGGCTACTTCCACCGCTCCTTCCCGCGCCGCCAGGAATAGCGGCGTCTGCTCCTGTACAGAAGAGCCAGGGCCGATATCAGGGAAGGCCACGCCCACAGGACTGGGCCTTTCTGCCTTCACTTGCGCGACCACTGGCCCCTATCCCTTCAGGCTTTGCGGGTTACCGCACTTTCCATCTCTCGTGCGCCTGACTGTTTTGTGGGAAGCCCTCTGTCCCATCTAACCCTGTTGTCCTGGGCATCTTTATCGGCTCCGGCCTGGAGAAGCGAGCGGGCGGCTCGGGCGTTGTTCACGGCAGCAGCCCAGTGCAGCGCAGTTTTCCCTAGGGGACGACGTGGGAGGTTGTTACCCCAGTTGGGGGCCAGACGCCTGGGTTCCGGTTTCCCACGGGTTCTGGCCTTGGGGGAAGGGCTATTCGGGCCGGCTGGTCCCTCAAAGGCGGGAAGCGTTGCCCAGGAGACCACCGGCCTGCAGGAAGTGTTGCCCTGGTGACGTCACCAGTGCGCGGGAGGGACAATGGGGCATTGTTCTGGGGTCGGTGAGACCGGGAGACAGTCTCCCCCCACGAGATTCCCCCCCCTTTCCACAGACACTGTGTTCCATGCCAGTTCCCCAGTAAGCTGGAGCGGAGGGCCAGTGTGGTGTTGAGGGTGGGAGTTGGGGGGGGAAACTCACGCGGCCCGTACTTCCACCGCATCTCAGATTGACCGCCGTAACAGCAGGATGAGAGGGAATGCCCCTCTGCTGCACCTATATTTTGCACGCTATCTCCCACCCCATCTGCTCAACTTCTCTATAGCATACATCACCCCTTCCTCTACATACCCCATTTATCTCTGGCCCCCACGTCTGCTTGGGCTGCAATCAGTTCTTCAACCAGGTCTTCCACCGCCAGCCTGGCAGCCAGCATCAAGGGTGTGGTCCCGTCCTCTGTGCGAGCGTCCACTGCAGTTTGTCTGCTACGGAGCAGAAGCTGGGGAGACAGAGGGCCAGTGACCCCTGGGGTACCTTGGACTGCCAACTCGAGTTCCTTACACTATTAACCCCACTCGCAATCCATATTCAGCCATCCTCCGCAGTTTCCCTGTCAGGTTCCCAATCACACCAATTTCCTCCTTGTCAAACTCTAGGGGATGCTTCTGTCCAGCTTTACTTGTAAGCTCGCCCCATTCCCTGTAGGGACCTCAGTGTGTGCTAACCTGGCAGACCTCCCGAGCATCAGCAGCCACAGCAGCATGAAGGGGTGTGCGCCCTGCCCGGTCTGGCTGGTTGGGGTTGGCTCCAGCCTCAAGGAGGCGGCGGGCAGCGGTTGGCCGGGAGAATCGGGCAGCCAGGTGCAGGGGGGTCTCCCCAGTGCCCACGGTGTGAGCCTGGGGACAGGCCCCTCCATCCAGCAGAGGTTCCCAGGGCTCAGGACATCCCAACCATGCCCCTTGGAAGGTCCCGGACTGTACTTCCCCACAGCAAACTGCTGACATCAGGGGTGTCACCCCATCTGTTGGTAAGACAGAGTAATGGGTCAATCTAAAGGACACAACAAGGGGGAAGGGACAACATGTAAGCTCAGGGAGAATCAAAACCTGAGGTGTTGGGAAGCTAAGTTCTGGCTCTGTGTGGCTTTAGCCAAGTGACTTTTCTGCTTTTCTCTGACTTCAGTTTCTTCCTCTGTAAAAGGAACCTGCAGCTTAATTCTCTGACATTCCAGGGCAGTGGTTTTCTCTTTTTTTTTTTTTTTTTTTCTGAGACGGAGTCTCGCCCTGTCACCCAGGCTGGAGTGCAGTGGCGCGATCTCGGCTCACTGCAAGCTCCTCCTCCCAGGTTCACGCCATTCTCCTGCCTTAGCCTCCAGAGCAGCTGGGACTACAGGCTCCCGCCACCACGCCCGGCTAATTTTTTGTATTTTTAGTAGAGACGGGGTTTCACTGTGTTAGCCAGGATGGTCTCGATCTCCTGACCTTGTGATCCACCCGCCTTGGCCTCCCAAAGTGCTGGGATTACAGGCGTGAGCCACCACGCCCGGCCTAGCAGTGGTTTTCTCAAACGAGTCTGGATCAGATTCACCTGAAGGGCTTGTTAAAACAGATTGCCTAACATTTTAAATTCCTGAGTCAGTAGCTCTGTAGTGGAGCCCAATAATTTGCATTTCTGACAAATTCCCAGGTGATGCTGATTTTGCTGTCTGAGGACCACACTTTGAGAATCATTGTTCTAAGGCACTCAGTCTAAAATTATTTCCTCTAGTTCTGATATTAAAGGACTCTCTGATTCTAATAGGGTCAAAGGACTTTTTTTTTTTTTCTTGGTCTGGGTTGACTCACATACCAGGTCCACGGGTGTCCAGGTCAGGGGCTTCCATCTCAGATTCCTGGGGAGGAGTTAGCATGGCTGCCTGAGGGAGCGCCCCACAGCCACCACTCAGAGACCAGAGCTGGCACGTGGAGGGTGGGCCTGTTTCTTCAGCCTTTGGGTAACAGCAAGGATCAGTGAAGGTTGATTTGCCCTTTCATCCCTTCCATCACCTCCAGACCATTCTTGCCCCAGCCCTTTCACCTGGCCCACCTCCTCTCCCTCCTCAGGGCCTGAGCACATCACAACTCCATCCTCATCAACTTCTGCCTTTGGCTTCAGTGCCCTGGAAAGGAATGGGTGGGTAGAGGTTACACGGAATTATGACCATCAGGGTCTCCAAAATTTCCAGCAGGCTTCCCACCCCTCTCTCCTTCCCCTATCTTTGACTTCTGCAATAGTATTTCTTATCTTTTCTGATTGTAAATATCGCCATAGGAGAGACTCCCCTTCCTGAGCCTGGGTTTCTCCTCATTCTCACTTGAGACCAATGCTGTCCTCGCCTAGTGGGGGCCGGCGTCGGTGGGGAGCTGACTGAGTCCGAGGCCGTCGAGTGAAACCAGGGGGCAGCCAGAGAGCTCCATGCTCTCGGCGTCGACGCCGGATGAGCTGGAGGACGAGAAGAGCCCCTAGGGCCAGGAGAATCACCCCGGCCACTGGGGAGCACAGCACAGGCCAGGGAAGCTGGTTGGCAGGGGGTGCTGGTGGGAGAGACAGAGTCACAAAGAGAGGCCACTCCTGGTGAGACTGATTACTATTGGGAGACCTTTGGACAAGTTTAGTAGCCTGTCTTTGCCTCGGTTTCCTTATCTGCAAAATGGGGATGATAATATAGATTGAGGTTGGGCACAGTGGCTCATGCCTGTAATCCCAGCACTTTGGGAAGCTGAGGCAGGTGGATCATATGAGGCCAGGAGTTCGAGACCAGCCTGGCCAACATGGCAAAACCCCCTCTCTACTAAAAATATAAAAATTAGTGGCTGGGTGTAGTGGCTTACTCCTATAATCTCAGCACTTTGGGAGGCTGAGGCGGGTGGATCATGAGGTCAGGAGATCGAGACCATCCTGGCTAACATGGTGAAACCCTGTCTCTACTAAAAATACAAAAAATTAGCCAGGTGTGGTGGCGGGCACCTGTAGTCCCAGCTACTTGGGAGGCTGAGGCAGGAGAATGGCGTGAACTTGGGAGGTGGAGCTTGCAGTGAGCCGAGATCGCGCCACTGCACTCCGGCCTGGGCGACAAGGCAAGACTCTGTCTCAAACAAAACAAAACAAAACAAAACAAAAACAAAAAAAATTATCAGGGCATGGTGGCATGCCATTGTAATTCCAGCTACTCAGTAGTCTGAAGCAAGAGAATTGCTTAAACCCAGGAGGCAGAGGTTGCAGTGAGCTGAGATGGCGTCACTGTACTCCAGTGTGGCTGACAGAGTAAGACTGTCTCAGAAAACAAACACACAAAAAAAGGCTGAGTATCCATAACCCCAATCCCAAATCTGAAATGTTCCAAAGTCTGAAACTTTTAGAGTACCAACATAACGCTCAAAGGAAATGCTCATTGTAGCATTTGGATGTTGTATTAGGGATGCTGAACCAGTAAGTATAATGCAAATATTCCAAAATAAATCCGAAATCTGAAACACTTTTGTTCCCAAGCATTTCAGATAAGGGATACTCAACCAGCAGTACGTGCCTCATGGGGTTGTGGGGGAGGATTAAATGAGGTAACAATGTAAAATGCTTAGAGTAAGGCACAAAGTACGATATAGCAGTTATTTTTCTTTTTTTTTTTTTGAGATGGAGTCTCCCTCTGTCGCCCAGGCTGGAGTGCAGTGGCGCGATCTCGGCTCACTGCAAGCTCCACCTCCCAGGTTCACGCCATTCTCCTGCCTCAGCCTCCTGAGTAGCTGAGACTACAAGCACCCGCCACCACAGCCGGCTAATTTTTTTATTTTTAGTAGAGACAGGGTTTCACCGCATTAGCCAGGATGGTCTCAATCTCCTGACCTCGTGATCCACCTGCCTTGGTCTCCCAACGTGCTGGGATTATAGGCATGAGCCACTGCGCCCAGCCTATTATTCTTTCATGTACTATGAATTGTCTGATACAAAGACTATTAGGTATTCTCAGTCTGGTAGAGAAGATAAACCATCCCTTTGTTGGAGGGCTATGACAGAGGTTAGGATAATGTGCTTAGGGAAATAAGGAAGGAGACTGTAGAACAAATGGGCCAGTGGGAGATTCAGTTAGAGAAAGCGGGGTTAGGGAAAGTAAGTCCCCACAAAGAACATTTTCAGTCTCAGCTGTCCTGTTTGATTCAGCCTCCATTGCCTGTTGCTAGCATGAGAGCTGGCCTGGGAACAGAGGTCAGAGAAAGTGGCAAGGGGTCACCTACCGGTCCCTGCATGAGGGTGGACAGCCAGCAGTGGTCCAGGCAGCAGGGGCTCCAGGGCTCCCACTGCAGCCATCGCAGCAAGGAAGCGGAGTAGAAGCCCAGGGTCCCAGGGACAGCGGGATGCCGGGTGGTCAGGGCCACAGCGGGACAAATCCACACCCATTACCACCACAAACCTGTAGAGGAGGCACCTCAGAGACCTCTGTATTGGTCCCTGGCTCCCTTTCCTCCCTCTGCCCTCTTAAAAAAACTGGTGTCTGGCCCTTCCCTCCACCTAGCTTCTTACCCAGCACTGAGGGAGTCGGTCTCCTTGCCCAGGGGCTGCGTTTGAGGGGCTGCTCTCTCCTGATAGGTGGGGTCCCGAGTTCCTCCTAGCTTTTCTTCAGCCCGGGCCCCAGGATAGGGGTACACCATGTCCCTGCCATCACGATCCTTCCTTACCCAGAGTCCTACCCTCAGAGTCAGGGACAGCACCCGGGCCAGGGCAAACAGCTGCTGGTCTAGGGCTGGGGGGCTCAGTACCACCAGCAGGGCCAGGGAGGGCCCCCACTCTGGGTCCCCATCTTCAGGCCTGCAGTCACCTCCATCCCAGCCACACTCTGCAGTGTTGCAGCCTTTCTCACAGTGCCCGTTGTGGAAGTGATCATGGCAGTACTGGTCATAGGCTGGACTGTGGGGTAAGGAGAGGGGGACTCAGGACCTCCCTAAAACCTGACTCTTTTCTTCACCCTAGAAAGAATTCCCCATATTTTGTGCCCTCTAGGGCTTTGGTTGCTAAGTGGGGGCAGCTGTGGAGCAATGAGCTTAGTCAAGTCCTGGATGGTAGTCCAGACACCCCAATGTCTGCTAACACCCCTGTCTCCCTAGACTGTCCCCTCTCTGTACCCTCCCAAGCTCTCCTCTGTTTCTAAAGGAGAGTCCCAGGCCCTTTTCCCTCTGTGAGGTGCTGACTGCTAGGGGAAATACTCCATGGCAGCAAGGCTTAGGGAAGGAGGCTTGAGACCTGAGTTCCTACAACTCTTAGAGAGGAGCCCAAAGGCCACGCCCCACATTAAATACTGATGCCACCCCATTACCCTAGGTTGGAGTCCAGAGTCTTCGACCCCTGTTTAGTGATGGTTATTAGGGTGGAAACTCCCTGGAGCCCAAGGCTGTGGCCACACTGTAACTCAGAGCCATCTACGTCCTTCCTCCTCCTCTCACCCACCCCTCTCCTTCCCTGGCTCCAGTGGATTTCAGGCTCACGTGCAGGCTGGAGGGGTCTCACAGTCGTAGCCATCAAACAGACACTCTTCAGAGTCACACTGTGGGTGGCACTGCCCGTCCCGGAAGAGAAGCCAGCACCGAGAGTGGGAGGGGCAGCCCTTCCAGGGGTCTGGGACTCCCAGAGAGCAGTCCCCTCCATCCCAGTTTCCTCCCGGGCCACTGCAGCCAGCATCGCAGGCCCCATCTCCACTTCTGCCCTCACACCCCTTGGCTCCGGGTTTCTGACACCGGGGCCCTGGAGAGCTGTGAGGGCAGGAGCATCGAAAGCCTGGGCCCCCCAAGCCCGTGGTCTCTGAGCAGCTGCCATTGTATAGGCATGGGGAGGGAGGGCCACAGCCTTTAGGAGCTGGTGGGGTCAGGCAGTCAGGACCCCCATAGCCACTGAGGCAGGCACAGCGTGGTGGGAAGCCTGGCTTAGGGGAGGGCAGACACAGGCCTCCGTGGTGGCAGTGATGGAAGCCGCAGGAAGGGGCCCTGTGGCTGCAGGTGGGGCCTTCAAAACCCTGTGGAGGGGAGGGGAGATATTGGAGATGCAACTTGCATTATTCTTCCCGCTCTCTATCAAGCAAACTCTTGGGTTAAGACGGTGCAAGGGTCCTAGATTCTCATATCTAAAAGGCGCCTCAGAGAGCATCAAGTTAATCATTTTGTGGATGTTGAAACCATGTCCTGTGGTAATTTCACACAATGACATATTACATTCTGTTGAAAATGGATGAAGCACAGCTGTGTGCAACAACCTGATGGACTGTGGCATTACAGTGCAAGTCCTAGAAGACTAAACAGTTAATAGAATGCTATTATATTATTATTATTATTATTTTTGAGACAGAGTTTCGCTCTTGTTGTCCAGGCTGGAGTGCAATGGTGCAATCTCAGCTCATTGCAACCTCTGCCTCCCGGGTTCAAGCAATTCTCCTGCCTCAGCCTTCCCAATAGCTGGGATTACAGCCATGCACCACCACGCCCAGCTAATTTGTATTTTTAGTAGAGACAGGGTTTCTCCATGTTTGTCAGGCTGGTCTCGAATGCCCGACCTCAGGTGATCCGCCTGCCTCGGCCTCCCAAAGTGCTGGGATTACAGGCGTGAGCCACTGTGCCCGGCCGGCTGTTATATTATTATCTTACTCCTTAGAAATAGGATCATATGTCTTCCTCTTCCTCTGGAGAGGGAACAGGATACAGGAGGAGGACTTAAGTGGATGTAAGTTATTATTAATATTGAAATTCTTGGGTTAGGTTCATGGGTGTTACATTGTTAAGAATAATAAAATAAAAGAAGACCAGGCATAAACCAATGTCAGTGTATCAGGAACCAAAGCTTAAGATTAGTCTAATTCCATGCATCTGAGGTCCATAAATACATATACAAACACACACAGAGTTAAAATAACCTATCTGAGGCCACCCACCACGCAGCTTGAGCTTGGGGAGCTCCTGACCTTCCCTTAGGCAACGCCTGTGATTTTTGAAAATTCCATTCATGCTATCAACTGATCCTGCCTTGCCTTTGACTGCTTCTGAGAGACACTTCCCACTGTGAGCTTGGCATGGCTTTTTCCAATAATTTCCACATCAGTGCTCACCCACAGTCCCTTCTGGGATTCCAACTGAGGTATTCTTGCCTTGTCAGCATAGGGGGCAACAGAGAAGGCAGATTTGTGGTCACTTGCCTTGGGGCAGTGGCAGATGAAACCCAGGGGTGATCCTGCTGTGGCCTCACAGGTCCCTCCATGAAAGCAGGGTTGGCTGTGGCAGGGGTCTATCTCCACCTCACACCACTGGCCTGTAATTATGGGGGAGATTAGACGTCACACACTGCATCAGTCACTGCCTCCATCCTAGCTCATTCCTGGATGTTGGCCCAGTGCTAGATGTGCAGGTGAAGGGATCCTGGGGCATCTTTTCTGGGCGGGGGTGGGCGTGGAGGCAGGGGATGGACCAGGTGACGGCTGCCGCATGGGTGGAGACTATCTGGCTCTCCATGGTCTGCTTGGCTGTGCTCCAGACACACTTGTGCCCCTTGTCTTGGGGCCTCACCTGTGTGTCCAGGCAGACACTGGCAGTAGAAGGCATTGGCCAGAGAGTGGCAGGCTGCAGTGCCTGTGGGGTGGCAGGGCTGGTCCAGACACTCGTCCACGTCTCCCTCACAGCGTAGCCCCACAAAGCCTGGAGGGCAGGCACAGTGGAAGCCTCCAGGTTTGGGAGTACAGGTTCCATGGTTGTGACAGGGTTGGGACTGACAAGCATCGAGTTCCTTTGAGCAGTTCTGTCCATCGTAGCCTGGGGCACACTGCAGACAAAGAGGATTAGACAGGGAACCAGTGGATGAGCCCAACCCAGCACTACAAGGGACCCAGCTCAAGATAGTCTGTCCAGTCCCCCACCTTCCAGCTCAACAGCATCACTCAACTCACCATCCATCATGGCCATGTGTCACAATCCTTCTATCTCAACTCCCCATGAGACACAATTGTTGGCGACACACAACTCAAACTTCCCCAGTCCCAAACAATCTCTATGACACACTGCCACCAAACACAGCACCATTTTTGGTAAAACCTTCCTCCCCTGCTAAATACCTACCAGGCTCTCTCATACTTTATTAATTCATAAGCATCTATTGAGTGCCTACTTTGTGTCA
The DNA here is from genome assembly GCF_000001405.40 of Homo sapiens. Classification (NCBI taxonomy): domain Eukaryota; kingdom Metazoa; phylum Chordata; class Mammalia; order Primates; family Hominidae; genus Homo; species Homo sapiens. Next base: position 3,643,101 of record NT_113891.3, read on the forward strand.
GGCACCGTTTTAGGCACTAGGAATACAAAGAAAGTTAGAACCCATTCCTATTTCCTGGAAGCTCTCAGTCAACCAGAGGAAAGAAATGACTAGCATTTATTGCATGATTTATATACATAACCTAAAAATCCCCCTAATGACATTTTATTTGGGTTATCTCATTCGATTTTTACTTTGCACGTAAGGAAGCTGAGTCTCTGAAAGGTTAGTGACTTGTGCAAGTCAAATAGCTATAGGTGGCAGAGCTGGGAATCAATGAAGGTCTGTGACTCCAAACCAATGCTCTTAACCATTTTCTGCTTCTTCATGCCACTCAGCTAGTGAGAGAAGGGTCATTGGCAAGATCTGTACCACGTGCTGGCTTCTTGCAAGAGGAAAGAGAGTGTGCAAGAGTACAGTACCAGGAAGGCAGGCTTCAAAGAGAGAAAAGGGAATTCACAGAGAATCCAAGGAGTGGTCAGAGAGCTGGAAGGAATAGGTGATGGGGGTGTTTTGGAGGAGGGAGCTTCATAAAAGAAGAAGTAAATAGCCGGGTGCGGTGGCTCACGCCTGTAATCCCAGCACTTTGGTAGGCTGAGGTGGGCAGATCACGAGGTCAGGAGTTCGAGACCAGCCTGGCCAATATGGTGAAACTCCATCTCTACTATAAATACAAAAATTAGCCGGGCATGGTGGCATGTCCCTGTAGTCCCAGCTACTCAGGAGGCTGAGGCAGGAGAATCGCTTGAACCCGGGAGGCAGAGGTTGCAGTGAACCGAGATCGCGCCACTGTACTCTAGCCGGGGCAACAGAGTGAGATGCTGTCTCAAAAAAAAAAAAAAAAAAAAAAAAAAAGAATAAGTAAAGCTGAGTAATGGGTGCCCAGAGGTTTACTACTGATCAGTATACTGCTTTTGTTTATGTTTGAAAATGTTCATAATAAAAGGTTAAAAAATAAAATAAAAAAGTGAAAAAAGAGGGTAGGTTAGGGTATCTGTCTTGAGCCTTCTATCAAAAGTTGTGGTTCTGGCCGGGCACGGTGGCTCACGCCTGTAATCCCAGCAGTTTGGGAGGTCAAGGCGGGTGGATCACTTGAGGTCAGGATTTTGAGACCAGCCTGGCCAACATGGTGAAACCCCATCTCTACTAAAAATACACACATACACAAAATTAGCTAGGTGTGGTGGCAGGCACCTGTAATCCCAGCTACTGGGGAGGCTGAGGCAGGTGAATTGCTTGAGCCCGGGAGGTAGAGGTTGCAGTGAGCTGAGATTGCACCACTACATTCCAGCCTGAGTGACAGAGCAAGACTCTGTCTCAAAAAAAAAAAGCTGTGGTTCTATATCTCAAAATAATAAAAGCCATATATGACAAACCCACAGCTAACATCATATTGAATGGGGAAAAGTTGAAAGCCTTTCCTCTAAGATCTGGAACAAGACAAGGATGCTCACTTTCACTATTTTTATTCAAGGTAATACTGGAAGTCCTGGCCAGAGCAATTAGGCAGGAGAAAGAAATAAAGGGCATCCAAATTGCAAAAGAAGAACTCAAATTATCCATGTTCACAGATGACATAATCCTATATTTAGAAAAACCTAAAGAAAACACTGGTTATAAACAAATTCAGTAAAGCTGTAGGATACAAAATCAATGTAGAAAAAGTAGTAGCATTTCTATACGCTAACAGCAAACAATCAGAAAAAGAAATCAAGAAAGCAATCCCATTTATAATAGTTACAAAAAATAAAAACAAATGAATAAATTTAACCAAAGAAGTGAAAGAGTACTGCAATGACAGCTATAAAACATTGATGAAATAAATTGAAGAGGACACAAAAAAATGGAAAGATATCCTGTGTTCATGGATTGGAAGAATGAATACTGCTAAAATGTCTGTGCTTACCAAAGTGATCTACAGAGTCATGCAACCCCTATGAAAATACCAATAATATTCTTTACAGAAATAGAAAAAACAACCCTAAAATTTATCTGAACTGTAAAAGACCCAAATAGCCAAAGCAGTCCTGAGCAAAAAGAACAAAGCTAGAGGTACCACACTACCTAACTTAAAAATATACTATAAAGCTATAGTAACCAAAACAGCATGGTGCTGGCATAAAAAACAGACACATAGACCAATGGAATGTAATAGAGAGCCCAGAAAAACAAGTCCAAACATTTAACAGCCAACTTACTTTCTTTTTTCTTTTCTTTCCTTTTTTTTTTTTTGAGATGGAGTCTTGCTCTGTTGCCAGGCTGGAGTGCAATGGCACGATCTGGCTCACTGCAACCTCCACCTCCTGGGTTCAAGCGATTCTCCTGCCTCAGCCTCCTGAGTAGCTGGGATTACAGGTGCGCACCACCATGCCTGGCTAATTTTTGTATTTTTAGTAGAGACGGGGGTTTCACTATGTTGGTCAGGCTGGTCTCGAACTCCTGACCTTGTGATCTGCCCGCCTCGGTCTCCCAAAATGCTGGGATTACAGGCATGAGCCACCACTCCCGGCCAGCCAACTTACTTTCAACAAAGGCACCAAGTACACACACTGGGGAAAGGACACTCTCTTCAATAAATTGTGCTGGGAAAACTGGATATCCATATGCAGAAGAAACTAAACCTAGGCCGGGCGGGGTGGCTCACGCCTGTAATCCCAGCACTTTGGGAGGCGGAGGTGGGTGGATCACCTGAGGTCAGGAGTTTGAAACCAGCCTGACCAATATGGTGAAACCCCATCTCTACTAAAATTACAAAAATTAGCCGGGCGTAGTGGTGTGCACCTGTAGTTCCAGCTACTCAGGAGGCTGAGGCAGGAGAATCAGTTGAACTTGGGAGATGGAGGTTGCAGTGAGCTGAGATCATACCACTGCACTCCAGACTGGGCAACAGGGCAACAGAGCAAGACTCTATCCCCCCCCCAAAAAAAAAGAAAAAAAGAAACTAAATCTCTATCTGTCATCATATACAAAATAGATTAAAGCCTTACATGTACAGCTGGAAACTTGAAGCCACTAAAAAAAAAATTCAGCCGGGCACGGTGGGTCACACCTGTAATCCTCAAACACAAGGTCAGGAGTTTGAGACCAGCCTGGCCAACATGGTGAAACCCCGTCTCTACTAAAAATACAAAAAAATAGCTGGGCGTGGTGGTGGGCACCTGTAAATTCCAGCTATTTGGGAGGCTAAGGCAGGAGAATCGCTTGAACCCAGGAGGCAAAGGTTGCAGTGAGTCAAATTTGCGCCACTGCACTCCAGCCCAGGCGACGGTGCAAGACTCCTTCTCAAAAAAAAAAAAAAATCATTTGGGAAATGCTTCAAGACATTGGTCTGGGCAAAAGTTTTTTGGGTAAGACCTCAACAGCCAGGCAACAAAGGCAACAACAGACAAATGTGATTACATCAAGCTAAAAAGTGTCTGTGCAGCAAAGGAAACAATTAATGGAGTGAAGAGGCAACCTACAGAATAGAAGAAAATATTTGCAAACTGTCTGACAAGGGATTAATAATCAGAACGTATAAGGAACTCAACAGCAAACACCACCACTACCACCACCGACAAATAATGTGGTTTAAAAAATGAGCAAATTATCTGAACAGACATTTCTCAAAAGAAGACATACAAATGGCCAACAGGTATATGGATGCAAATCAGGGAAATGTAAATCAAAACCACAATGAGATATCATCTCACACCAGTTAAAGTGCCTATTATTGAAAACACAAGGGCCAAGTGTGGTGGCCCATGCCTGTAATCCCAGCACTTTCAGAGGTTGAGGCGGGAAGATCATTTGAGGTCAGGAGTTCGAGACCATCCTGGCCAACATGGTGAAACCCCATCTCTACTAAAAATACAAAAAATTAGCCAAGCATGGTGGTCCACGCCTGTGATCCCAGTTACTTGGGAGGCTGAAGTACAAGAATCGCTTGAATCTGGGAGGCAGAGGTTGCAGTGAGCTGAGATCAAGTCACTGTGATCCAGCCTGGGCAACACAGCAAGACTCTGTCTCAAAAAAGGAAAAAAAATGCAAAAAATAGCAGATGCTGGCAAGGATGCAGAGAAAGGGGAACCCTCATACACTGTTGGTGGGAATGTAAACTAACACAGCCAGTATGGAGAAAAGTATGGAAGTTTCTCAAAAATTAAAAATAGATCTACCATGTGATCAATCTACTGTTCATTACATATCCAAAGGAAATCAGTATCTTGAAGAGATATCTGCATCCCCATATTTATTGCAGCACTGTTCACAATAGCTAACATATGGAATTAACTGAAGTTCCATCAACAAATGAATGGAAAAAAGAAACTGTGTCATATAGACACAATGGAATATTATTCAGCCAGAAAAAGAATGAAATCCTATCATTTTCAGCAACATGGATGAAACTGAAGGACATTATGTTAAGTGAAATAAGCCAGGCACGGAAAGACAAATATTGCATGTCTCTCACCTTCACCTTTGTGCCACTGCCTTAGTTAGTCCTGACCTTTCTTGCATTCCAGGTAGATACTTGCATCAGCCTCCTATTGCATGTGTAATATTGCTCCTCACTCATATGTGGGAGCTAAAAAAGTTAGTCTCATGGAAGTAGGGTAGAATGATGGTTACCAGAGGTTAGAAAGGGTGGCAGGGAGGGGGAGATGAAGAGAGGTTGGTTAATGGATACAAAATTATGGTCATATAGAAGGAATAAGTTCTAGTGTTAGATAGCAGAGAAGGATGGTGATAGTTAACAATTTGTATTTCAAAATAACTAGAAGAGAAGATTTGAAATGTTCTCAACACAAAGAAATGATGTTTGAGATGATAGATATCCCAATTACCCTGATTTGATCATGATACATTGTATGCATGTATCAAAATATCACATGTGTCCAGGTGCGGTGGCTCATACCTGTAATCTTATCACTTTGGCAGGCTGAGCGGGTGGATCACTTTAGGTCAGGAGTTCTGAGACCAGCCTGCCCAACATGGTGAAACCCCATCTCTACTAAAAATACAAAAATTAGCCAGGCGTGGTGGCGCGTTCCTGTAATCCCAGCTACTCGGGAGGCTGAGACATGAGAACTGCTTGAACCTGGGAGGCGGGGGTTTCAGTGAGCCAAGATTATGCCACTGCCCTTCAGCCTGGGGGATAGAGCGACTCTGTCTCCAAAAACGAGAGAGAAAAAAAAAAGAAACCAAAAAACTCACATGTACCCCATAGATACGTATGACTACCGTTTGTCAATAACAAAAGAAAATAAAATGGCAACCACACACACAAAAAAGTTGTGGTTCTGAGCATATGAATCAGGCTGCTTAGACTTGAATGCCAGCTTTGCCTCTCCTGGCTTAGTGACCTGGACCACAAAGAAGAGGCCCTAATCCAGCCTGGGGAGAAGTTAGGGACATCTTCCTGAAGAAGATGCCTCCTGAACACCAGCCTGTGGAAGAGGGGTTGGGAAGGCCATTCCAGGTAGTGTCAATAGCAGGGATAAAGGCTGAGAGGCAAGAATCAGTATGGGGTACGTGGCAAAGTCAGCAGCAGTTTCATGTTGCTGGAGCAGAGAGTAGAAGGGTGGGATGGGGAGAGCTGAGGCCTGAGAGGCAGGCAGGGCTGGGTCATGCAGGCCTTGGACTTTATTCAGAATGAGGCGGGCAGCCTCCGAAGGTTCAGCAGGGGAGAGACAGGTCAACTGGACATTTTCAGTAGAGTACCCTGGCCACGGGGTAAAGGCTGAACCTATAGAAGGACAAGTGTGGAGGCAGAGACTGTAGTTAGGAGGCTGATGCAAGTATCTATCTGGAACGCAACAAAGGTCAGGACTCAGGCAGTGGGACAAAGGGTGAAGGTGAAAGCACAGACTTGAGAAAACTTCAGGAGATAAAGTGGCATGACTTTGTGGTTAGTTGGGTGTGTGGGGTTAAAAAAAATAAAAGGAGGTGAAATGGATACATTGGGTCTTCCCTCAGTCACTACTGTCTCTCCCATCCAGCCCACCCTTGTCTTTCCTCCCCCTTCTCCTGCAGACCCTCTCACCTGGCAGAGATACCCACTGGGCTGGGCCATGCAGGTGGCCCCGTTCTGGCAAGGCCTGGACTCACATGGGTTCACGTGATCCTGGCACAGGCTGCCTTGGAATCCAGGGGGGCAGTGGCAGAAATAGGAGGGGCCGCTGTCGACACAGAGGCCTCCATTGTGGCAAAGGGAAGAGACGTCTATGCCTGGGGAGAGAGACAAACAGGGATATACAAAGATAAGTGGGGGGCCGGGCGCCATGGCTCACGCCTGTAATCCCAGCACTTTGGGAGGCCGAGGCAGGTGGATCACCAGGTTAGGAGTGTGAGACCAGCCTGGCAAACATGGGGAAACCCCGTCTCTACTAAAAATACAAAAAATTGGTCGGGCGTTGTGGCAGGCACCTGTAATCCCAGCTACTTGGGAGGCTGAGGCAGGAGAATCACTTGAACCTGGGCAGCGCAGGTTGTAGTGAGCCAAAATCGTGCCATTGCACTCCAGCCTGGGCTATAGGGCAAGACTCCATCTCAAACAAACAAACAAACAAACAAACAAACAGAAACGGTAAATGGGGATGTGGCCGGGCGTGGTGGCTCACACCTGTAATTCCAGCACTTTGGGAGGCTGAGACGGGTGGATCACTGAGGTTAGGAGTTCGAGACCAGTCTGGCCAACATAATGAAACCCCATCTCTACTAAAAATACAAAAAAAAAAAAATTAGCTGGGCATGGTGGCACACGAATCCCAGCTACTTGGGAAGCTGAGGCAGGAGAATCACTTGAACCTAGGAGGTGAAGGTTGCAGTGAGCCGAGATCGTGCCACTGCACTCCACCCTGGGTGACAGACTGGGACTCCATCTCAAAAATAAATAAATAAATAAATAAATAAATAAATAAATAAATAAGGTATGTGAGGAGGAGAAAGGGTGTATTCAGGGCCCAATCTCTGGGTGTAGAGGCCTTTACCTTGGGGACCACTAACATTCCTGGGTGGAGACTGGTCTGGGCCCAAGGAGTTAATAACTCCTGGCACTGAAGAAATTAGACCATCGAGTTTTACCTCTCTCCTCACCCTTTCTGCCAGAATATTGGAGACATACCCCTAAAGCTTATCATAATGTTAAAGCAACTGTTTTCTTGGCTTAAAGCAAGGCTTGAGCAAGAAATAATTCAAGGTATGCCTCAAGTGAGGACAAGTGGCTTAAGTCTGTCCCCTGAGTTCTGCATTCCTTTAATGTTCTCTCCCTGTGATTCCCATCAGCTATCCCTTAACTCCATCATAATCTCTTTCCCGAGCTCTTCTCATATCAAACCTTATTTTAGTGTTCTTTTACAAAGAGGGTGGCGTGACATCGAAGTGAGTGGGGTGGGGTGAAATGCGTTGAGTGTAGCTGGATTAAGTGTGGTCCACTCTGCCTGGGTTATGATGATCAGGACAGAGTTGAGTTGCTCCACGTTGAGTCATGTCCCTCATGGTTGGGTTAAACTGGAATCCTGTGGAATGGGCTGGTTGGTGTTGCTTGAATTGCGTTAAATGAGGTAACAGGAATTGTGTTAGGCTTCTCTGATTGCACAATTCAACACCTCTGCAATCAAGAACTGATTTGTCTGTGTGGTTTTGATTCTCAGGTGGTTGTTTTGGCCAAAAGCTGTGTGGAAGCCCACAGGAACGGGGCAGGTGAGAACACCCATATTTTCTTCATTTGCTCTCCAGTCAGTGCCGGCGTTGGTTACCTTGGCTCAGTGCAGCCTTCTGGCAGGAGGACAGTGGAAGGTTGCAGAGAGGCCCGGTCCATCCCTGGAGGCACAAGCAGTGGAAGGAGGGCCCAGTCTGGAGGCAGTGGGAATTGCGTGGGCAGGGCTTCTGGGCACATAAGTCCATCAGAGTCTGAGGGGTGGGAGGGAGCGTGAGGCAGGACATAGCATCAGATTCTCAGCCCAGAGATGGTCCTCTGCCCACTCCAGCTCCTCGAAATCCCTTACTTCAAAAACCTTCTCCTGAATGGCCTGGGACCAGGTGACCCTCCCTGGTTTCCCTCCCAGCCACTTCCCTCCTCAGCACGCCTGACTTCAATGGCCCTCACCTGGCAGCTGCCTCCGGTGTAGCCAGTGGGGCAGAGGCAGCGGGGACCCTGAGGGCTGTCCTGGCAGGTTGCCCTATTCCTACAGGGGCTGAACAAGACAGAGACAGGGCATGATAGGAAGAAGTTCGGGCAACAAGGGGAAGGTAGTGTGTGATATTGTCGGGAGGCAACCACAGGGAGGTGGCAAGCCAGGAGGGAAGGCGGAACGAGGTGTGGGGTGGGAGGCAGCCTGGAACCCAGGGGGAGATGAGAGGAGGGGTGGGAAGGCTGAGGGGTTTTCTCCCTTCTAGGGGTCTTTGGGCCCTGCTCACCTGTCTGCACAGCTGGGGCGGAGCTTTCCCTCACAGCGCGGGCCCTGGAAGCCCATGGCACAGAGGCAGGAGAAGGTGCCAGGCCTGTTCACACAGGTACCCCCATTGAAGCACGGGGCTGGAGAGAGGAGGCTGTGAGGGTTTGGGTTCCTTGCCTGTAACCTGGCCTGTGACCTCAGTCACACTGTACATAGGACATACACCCCCCACCCCCATCAAAACGACAGCTCACTGCCATCCAATTAATTTTTATTTATATGATATTTTATTGTTTTTAGATAGGGTCTTGCTCTGTTACCCAGGCAGTGGTGCCATCAGAGCTCACTGCAGTCTTAACCTTCTGGGCTCAAGTCATCCTCCCACCTTAGCCTCCCAAGTATTTGAGACTACAGGCCTTAGCCACTGTGTGCCCAGCTAATTTAGAGATGGAGTTTCATTATGTTTCCCAGGCTGGTCTGTTCAATTAAATTTTAAAAAATATGACACAAGCATACCCTCCTTAGTTCTTCCATTCTCCTGTGGACCCCAGCCCCATGACACAGTGGGCACTCACCAGACACACAGTAGTCAGTGCTGGTTTGGCACTGGGGCCCTGTGTGGCTTGGAGGGCAGGTGCAGTAGTAGCCTCCAGGGCTAGGGTTGCAGGAGCCGCCATTGAGACATGGCCCTGAGTGACAAGCTGTCATCTCCTCACTACAGGTGGGTCCTGAAGGAAACAGGTGGGGGCTGAGAAAGGGTGTCCTCCTTCCCTCCCTCCGCTCTCCTTCTCTTTCCTCTTCCTTCCCTTCCTCATCCCCAACCCTATTATTCTTTCCCATCAACCTCCGTTCTCACCACCTCCCACACATCACCCGTGTCCCCTGCAGTCCAGTTCTCCTTAGTGGTGACTGAGACTCAGGGCCCGTGGTCGCCTGCCTTACCCTTGACATAGGGGGTGACCAGCACAGGGTGTATATGGTTTAGGGAGGGTCTCACCTGTGTAGCCTGTAGGGCAGGTGCAGTTGTAGCCAGAGGGCTGGGGGTAGCAGGTCCCCCCATGGGCACAGGGTGCAGAGATGCAGCCCCCTAGCTCTGCCTCACACTCTGGCCCCGTCCAACCCACGTCACACACACATGAGGATCTGGTTGTAAAGAGAAAGGGGAGGGTTTTTCTCTTCTCCTACTGCTTATGTTCCCCTCCCTGCTGCCTGGACCCCTATGACTTCCTCTTCTTTTGGCCCTGAGATTCTGGCCTCTTTCTTCAGTGACTTTGCTCTCAGCACCGCCCCCATCCTCCCCAACACCTGCTCATTTTCTCCAACTAGATATATGCATCTATATATCTAGTTGGAGATATATATATATATATATACACACACATATATATTCTTTCTGTAACTTACTTATTTTCTGTCTTTCTTTAGAATGAAAGCTCTACGAGAGCAGTTGCTTTATCTCTTTTGCTTTGTGTTTCCCCCAGGGCCTGGAACAGTAGCCACACAAAGTAGGTGCTCAGCAGATTTTTTTTTTTTTGAGACGGAGTCTTGCTCTGTCACCCAGGCTGGAGTGCAGTGGCATGATCTTGGCTGACTGCAACCTCCGCCTCTTGGGTTCAAGTGATCCTTCCGCTTCAGCCTCCCAAGTAGCTGGGATTACAGGTGCGCCACCATGCCCAGCTAATTTTTGCATTTTTAGTAGCTACAGGGTTTCACCATGTTGGCCAGGCTGATGTTGAACTGCTGATCTCAGGTGATCCGCCCACCTCGGCCTCCCAAAGTGCTGGGATTACCGGCATGAGACCGTAATCAGCACTGCGCCTGGCCTCAGCAGATATTTTTCTAATGAATGATTAATTCGCCCTGGGATTTAGTGCTCTTCTTTCTGCTCTGACCCCCTGGTCCTCTGTTTCCACCAGTTTTTGTGGACTCTCTTCTCCTTGGATAACACTTACCAGTTGAGCCCTCCCACTGCCTTGCCCTAAGAACTTTGCCATCTCCTTCCTTTTCCCCATTGGTCATTTCTCACAGACCTACATCTCACTGGCTGTCTTCTCCTGTCCTAGCGAAGGGAGCCCAAAGGAGGGGGCAGATGGGGAGGGTCTGGAAGATGTTACCTCTGGCAGTGCCCGTGGTGGCAGGTGCAGTTGTCCTCAGGTGGGGCACAGCCAGGGCTTCCATCAGGACAGAGGCAGTTGGCCTTGTCTTTCTGGTCCTTACATATCTGCTTGGGCTGGCACAGGTTGGGAGCACACAGGGGAACCTCACAGAGCTGGCCTGGGGTGGGAAAATGGGTCAAAAAGAAAACAGCTCCTCCACATCCTTCATTGGGCCAAAGCCACATCCTTCATTGGGCCAAAGCCACTTCTTATGCTTGCCTTACTCACTCCCTATGAACCCATGAACCTGTCCTTCAATGGGTCCCTATTGCCTTTAAGATATTGTTTAACTTTCTCAGAATGATATGCAGAGTCCTGCAGGACATGACATTTGTACAACAGCTGTGTTTCTCATCTTTGCCTTGCTGTACCCTTAACTCTGACTTTCTTACAGTTCCTTAAATGGGGTGGGCTTTTCTTCCATCTGTGTCTTTGCACATGCAGTTATCTCCAGCTAAAACACACTATCTGGCACTCTATTTAGACAGACTCCTGACCATCCATCTTTCTATCTTTCTCTCTTTCCTCATTTCCTCCTTTCCTTCCTTTCCTTCCCTTCTCTCCTTCCTTCCTTCTTTCCTTCCTTCCTTCCTTCTTTTTTTTTTGAGATGGAATCTTGCTCTGTCACCCAGGCTGGAGTGCAGTGGAGTGATCTCAGCTCACTGCAACCACTGCTTCCCAGGTTCAAGCGATTCTCTTGCCTCAGCCTCCCCAATAGCTGGGATTGCAGGCGCCCGCCACCACGCCTGGCTAATTTTTGTATTTTTTTTTTTTTTTGAGGTGGAGTCTTACTCTGCCACCCAGGCTGGAGTGCAGTGGCGTGATCTCAGCTCACTGCAAGCTCCGCCTCCCGGGTTCACGCCATTCTCCTGCCTCAGCCTCTGGAGTAGCTGGGACTATAGGCGCCCGCCACCACGCCCAGTTATTTTTTTGTATTTTTAGTTGAGATGGGGTTTCACCGTGTTAGCCAGGATAGTGTCGATCTCCTGACCTCATGATCCACCCGCCTCGGCCTCCCAAATTGTAATTTTTGTATTTTTAATAGAGACAAGGTTTCACCATGTTGGCCAGGCTGATCTCGAACTCCTAATCTCGGGTGATCCACCCGCCTCGGCTTCCCGAAGTGCTGGGACTATAGGCGTGAGCCACCACGCCCAGCCTCTGCTTATCTTTCAAAACTCATCTCAGCCATCACCTCCTCCATTTTTAGTCTGGGTTGGCTGGTCCTCTGTGCTCTTGTAATATCCTGCACGTTTTTCTCTCAGAGCACCTCTGTGGGCTATGATCAACAGGAGACTTGTTGGTCTCTCTGTATTAGACTTAAAGTCACATGAAGATGGCAACTGTCTTACTCAGATTTGCCTCCGTATCTGGCATAGTAGGCAGTTGGTAAGTGCTTGCTAAATAAGCAAGTGAATGCCTTTTCTTTGAGCCCCGTCCTCTGCTCCCAAGCCGCAATCACACCATTTACACTGGGCCCATGTGGGCCCTACGGTAACCCCTGCCCTTGTCCCCATGGTTGTACAATTGTGCAGGTTTTACACTAAATAACTTTAAAGGATACCATTCTCATTCTATTCTCACATCCCAACCATCAAACACCCACCAATGAACTCTGCCCCAACCCAAATGGAATAAAATATTCTGCCAGTTCTTTCCAATGCCTCCCCTGTGAACCTGTGAAACCAGAGGGGCAGAGGCAAAAGAAGGCTCCTGGAAGATCAAGGCAGCTGGCTCCAACGGGACATGGGTCACTCAGGCACTCATCCACCTCTGTTTGACAGCGTGGCCCTTCAAAGCCTGTGGCACAGCAGGAAGGTCAGGGACCTGCACGGATGTCTGCCTCCTGCTCCCGCTGTCCCCCACAGTGTGTGCCCCAGTTTACCTGGGAGACACTTGCAGTGGAAGGCTCCAGGCTGGTCCTGGCACTGCCCACCATTGGCACAGGGAGAGCTTCTGCACTCATCGATATCCTCCTCACATCGGGTGCCGGAGAATCCTGGTGGGGCGGAAGTGGGTGGGGAGAGGAGGCCAAGGTCATCGAGGGAGGCACAGCATGGCGCCTTCCCTTGCCAGGAAAGGTGAACTTGCAGAGCTTCCCAGAGAAGACACCTGGGGCAGGTGAGCGTGGGGTGACAGGAGATGATGCAGAAAAGGTGAAGCTCAGCCACCTGCCAGCTGTGTGACTTTGGGCAAGCTGGTCAACCCTCTAGGCCCCAGTTTCCTGTTCTGTGTAAAAGGGGAATAATAATGGAACCTACCTCATGGTACTGTTAAAAAGATTAAATGACATAACGCCTGAAAAGTACTCAGCCAAATGGCTAGCCTGGAGTAAGTGGTGAATAAGTGTAGTTATTATAATAGCAGGGGACAGAGGAGTGTCCGGTGAGGCTGGAGAAGAAAGGCTTGGGGCAGCTTTTGCTGGGTTTATGATGAGAGTGCCAAGACCAGCCTGGGACCTCAACATGCATACACAGAGGCTGTGCAGGAGGACTGGAAAGGAGGGATCTTTGGGTGATTTGGTAGGACAGAGATGAGAATGGGCAAGTAAGCAAGGGAAGATTTGGGGATGTAAGAGTAGAGATTTTGGGGAGCAAAGACAGATTTGGAGGACTCCTTGGCTTGGCTAGAGAGAGCTTCAAGTGGCCTTGGGTGATTGCTGAGCCTGAACTCTGCAGGTTCAGAGGCCTGGGGTCTGAGGGTGGCCAGAGAGGCATCTGTACTCACCAGGCAGGCAGATGCACTGGAAGCCGTTGAGCAGGTCATGGCAATCCGCGTGGTTCAGGCAGGGAGCTGAGGCACACTCGTTGGTCTCCACCTCACAGAGCTGCCCTTCTAAGCCTGGGGACATGGGGACCATGAGGGCTGTGGCTCAGCCGTCTGCCTGGGAGACCTGTGTTCTAGAATCGGCCCTGCTCCTGACTTGCCCCACTCAGGCGGTCCTCCCCCGAGGTGCTGTCTGCATGGGGTTGAATAAGATGAACCCTGAGGCCCTGCTGCTTCACAGTGTGTGGCCCTGCTCCTTGAGGTGTGAAAGGCCAGGGAACAGGGTGCTTGCTGGGGACCTGCGGGAGGACTACAAGGCTTTCTGGTGGCCATTACTGTGTATACAGAGGGCGGGGCTCACCAGGGCAGGCTGATCAGCCTGGAGGACCTCAAGGTACAAATAGGAACAAATTGGCTTGGAGAATGAGTCCCGCTTCTTGTTCTCCCTGGGCGGGCCTCCATGCTAGGGAGAACAGAGATCCCAAAGTGGAGGAATTTGAAGTGCATCTGGGAAGCTTGTTGCTCCTATATTTGTCCCGTTGCTTTGGGTTCATCCTGGTCTCCACTGTTTCATCCTGAATTGAGGTGGGATCAACCTCTGGACCTTGGCTTCCTTTCTTTTCTTGCCTGAGGAGTCTGCTTCTGAAGCTCCTTGATATCTACAATGTTGTCCCTTGGGTTACCGAACCGTTTTCTCTTATTTCTCTATGATTGTCTGTTGGGTGACCTGAGCCAGTATCTTTGGGTGCCGCTCAGTTTAGAAAGTCAATATGGGGTAGTGGTTATAATTGTTGAAGCCCTTGGTTTGAATCTCAGCTCTGCCACTTGCTAGCTGGGTGACCTTGGACAAGTCACTTAAACTCTCTGTGCCTCAGTTTCTTCAGTTATAAAATGGGCAGTGCTGACCTCATAGAGTTATTGTAATAAGTAGATGAGACAATGCCTGTAAGATGCTCAGACAGTACCTGGCATAAAGTTGGCGATTATTTTTCTGATTTCATTCAACTCCTTGATGTTGGCTCTGTTGCTGTCTCCCTGGGGCGACTTTTCCCCCTTAAAACTAGCCTGGAGGTGGGTGCTGTCTTGCAGCAATTTTTTTCTTGTTGTACCAAATTTTCCTGTTGTATCACAGGGCTTTTGGGATTTTAAGGGATTACCTTGAATCTCTACATGGGAGAGTTTCTATAATCAGAGGGAGCATTCTGGGTTGGCCTGAGCAAAGGCTGCAGCACAGAAAGTTTATGAACTGCTCTTCTACCCTCTCTTGCTGGGCTGCTGTGTACAGTGGACCAGGTTGTGCAGCCTCTATGATGACTATGAAATGAATGGCAGCTTCCCCCCAAGTTGAGGAATGCATAACCTCACTACCATCTGTGGTAACCCCTCTCCCAGGGGTCTTGGGTGTCCCTGAGTTTTCGTCTGGGGGTAGAGAGAGAAGCATCTGTGGTAACTTACGCCAATTGGCCTGAAGCTGTCCTTACTCTGGAGGGGGCATTCCTAGTGGGTTCAGGACTAGTTCCCTGTTTTCCCCACCCAAGGCCCCATCCAGCTGATACCTGGCGGGCAGAGGCAGTGGAAGGTGGCAAGTAGGTCCAGACAGGTGCTTCCTGGGTGGCAGGGCTGGGAGAGGCACTCATTGTGATCAGCCTCACAACGGGAGCCTGTGTAGCCAGGTGGACAGAGGCAGTTGAAGGAGCCAGGAGTGTTGAGGCAGGAACCGCCATGTTCACAGGGACTTGGGCCTTGCTGGGCTGGGAGGAGAGAAGAGCTGGGAGTCCACAGGGGTCAGGGCGGGAAGGGCAAGGAGGTGAGACTGTCAGGGAAGGTGTGGGGGCCTGCGTGTGGCAGACGAGACCAAATTGGGGAAGGGGCTTGTGTCTTTAAGATGGAAAGGAAATAAGGGACCAATTTCATGGGGACTGAGGGGCTGAACATTGGAGAGAGGGTCATGTAGGCAAGAGATGCCAAATCTGGGCAAATTCAAGGAAAAAGATGTTTGGTTTTTTAATTGGAAAAGCAATCTGCCCTTTTCTGTCTTCAGTGCAGAGGCCTGTCTGAGGCTCAGAGAGGCTCTGAAGTGGGAGTGGCCTCACCCATCAGACACTCGTCCAGGTCCTGGTGGCAGGTGGGCCCCGAATAGCCAGGCTGACACAGGCAGAGTGTGGAGCCTGTGAGGGGGTTGGTGCTGCATTGGGCATCCCCATGGCACGGCTGGCTCAGACACATGTCTTCCAAGTGGCACAGGAGTCCTGGAGGGGTAAGAGGGGGTGAGGCTCTCAAAGGCCACTTGAAGCTCCTAGCAGTCCTCCTGGTGCTTCTCTCACCCTCCTTCTCTACCTCCCACCTCCTGATACCCTCTACCCCCATACCTGTGCGTCCAGGTGGGCAGAGGCAGGAGAAAGAGCCCACCCGGTCAATGCAGGTGGATCCCGGGGCACAGGTGGCAGCAATACAGTCATCCAGGTTCTCCTCACAGCTTGTGCCGCCCCAGCCACTCACACACACGCAGTGAAAGCTACCAGCAGAGTTCTGGCAGGTGCCCCCGTTTCTGCAGTGAGGGGGACCCTGGGCCTCACACTCATCCACATCTTCGGAGCAGTCCCAGCCTGCAGGGGGTTGGGGAGGGGACGAGGGCTAAGGCTGGGAGCCCTATGAGTAGGGGAGGCCAGGGGCCAACTCTCTGGGCCATGGGTGTCATGGATGTGGCTTAAACAACTCACCTGTCCAGGTTTCTGGGCAGAGGCAGGTGTAGGTGTCCAGCCCATCCTGGCAAGTGCCCCCATTCTGACACTGGTGGCTGACACAGTTGTCTGGATTCACCTCACAGTCTGGGCCTATGAAACCTGACAGGGTCATGGATCAGCTGTGGGAGGAGGCTCCAACGGAGACATCCTGCCCTGCCCAGAGAGAGGGGCGGCCGGAGAGCCCCTGTGAGGACACACCTGGGGGACAGAGGCAGAGGTGAAAGGTGGAGTCTTTCTCTGGCATCAGCTGGCAGGTGCCCCCATTCGAACAGCCCCTAGGAGGGCAGGGTCCTGCCCGCAGCTCACAACGTGGACCCTCCTGCCCCACAGGGCAGAGGCACTGGAAGGAGCCCAGGGTGTTATGGCAGGAGGTGCCTTTGGGGCAGGGTCCTGGGTCCTGGAAGCACTCGTTGACATCACGTTCACAGGCATGGCCCTCGAAGCCCGGTGGGCAGTGGCACTGGATCTGGGGGTATGTGGCCAGACACACCCCTCCATTAACACATGGGTTGGCTGAACAGAAGTCCCGAAGCTGGCACTGCTCACCTGAGGCAGAGGACAGAGGGAGCCGTTTCTAGCATTGTACGAATTCTAGCCCATCTGAGGTTACCCAGTGCTCACTCTGGATTATCTCTGGGTCTCATTTTCATATTTCCTTCCCTTTATTACCATACTTTCTTTGCTCTGTTCCATCACCCCTGCTCTGAGCGATGTCATGGCTTGGGAGGGTTTATCTGGAGTGACCATATCTTCTAAAGTGATGATGAGAGTATTGCAAATTGGCCTTGCCTGAGAAAATCTGGGACGTGGGTGATCTTGGGGGAGGTGAAAAGCACCCCACGTCTGCAGGCAGGAGACTCAGGTGGCACCATGCTGTGCCACAACTGGTTGTATACCCTTGGGTGAGCCACTTTGCCTTTCTGATCCTCATTTCCTAATCTTTAAGTGGGTTTAGGCACCTGGAGACTCACTTCACAGTCCATGTGCACCAGTGGTAATGGCGGCAGCAGTGGAGGTGCCAGGTGCTGAGCTGAGCAAGCATCTCCTGAGCATCGGCCCCTTCTGTCCTCTCAGCAACCTTATGAAGTGTGACCATTACTCTCCCTGTTTGTCAGCTGACAACTGAACACCAGAAAGCTAAAATATCTTATATGAGGTCATGTAGCTGATCAGTGGCAGAGCTAGCATTTGGATCCAGGGGCTGGTGCAGAGCCCCTAGAATGAAGCACTAAGCTTGCCCCAGGGTTACACCCCTCCTCCTGGGGCGGCCCCCAATCCACTCTCGGGGTCACATCCTTCCCTTCCCGGTGCCCCTCCCACCACTGCAGTCTTCCCAGGTGATATAATGGCTCCCTCCACTCAGAGTGGGAGCCATTCAGATGCTCAGAATGCAAAAGTCTGGAGGACCCCTGGTATGCAGAGCAATGACCCTCTAGCTGCTAGGCAATGGGGAGATTAAAGGGGCTAGGACAGGCATCAGGATGGTGCACAAAGGGGGCTCATGGCACCCTTAATTTGGAAATATTTTAACATTTTAGCAATCAGTACAACCATGCTGGTGAATGTTGGTTGTGGGTAAGTGGATTGCCAAGAATTGGCATGTTGATTCTCATGGCTTCTGTCTTCAAAGGGCTTGCAGTTTCTCAGGCTCCAGTTCCATCTTCCCCACCCACAGCCTAGCCCATTGCTCCTGCCTGTCCCCTCCTGGCTGCCCCCAGCAGCGCTTACCTGTCCATCCAGGCATGCAGGAGCACTGTGGGCGGCCCGAGGCCTGGATGTGGCAGCGGCCCCTTTTGGAACAGAAGGAGGGAGGACAAGGGTCTTCAAGCTGGGCCTGGCATCTCTC
This sequence comes from Homo sapiens, assembly GCF_000001405.40. Lineage (NCBI taxonomy): Eukaryota > Metazoa > Chordata > Mammalia > Primates > Hominidae > Homo > Homo sapiens. Next base: position 3,660,970 of record NT_113891.3, read on the forward strand.
GCCAGTGAAGCCAGGGAGGCAAGTGCACAAGAAGCTGGGTGTCAATGGAGAGGGAGAGCTGGGGAGCCCTAGGGGAGCGGGAAGCAGGGCTTGGCAGCTGCCTCCATTTTGGCAGAGCTGGGCGTTCTGGCAGGGGTCAGGAAACTGGCACGTCTCACCCAGGAAGCCAGGGGCACACCTGGGCAGGGGAGGAGAGGAAAACTCACATCACTGGTCCCTCTTCCTATTCTTGCCCACTCCCTCCTCTGCCTTCATTTGTTTCCCTTCATCTCCTTCACTTCCTCTCTTTCTTCTTTGGTCTCACTTCCTCACCTCTCCCCCCCTGCTCTCCCTCCCCCTTTCTCTCCAGTCTCCCACTCCTGCAAGGCACACTCACTGGCAGGTCCCTTGTCCCAGAGACAGGCTCAGGCAGGTGCCTCCATTGGCACAGGGTTCTGGGAAACTCCCACACAGCAGCCCTGAGGGTGGAGAGGCAGGCGCAATGGAAGCCCTGGGTGCTGTGCCTCCACCTTTCCTCTTCTAGGTGCTCCTGAGAGACCTGCCCACAGCAGCTCCCACAGGTACTCTAAACCACCTCTTCTTCACATCTGTCCCCACTCTCCACATGGTACCCAGCCCCAGCCCCAGTGCCCTCCATCCCAGTTACTAATCCCTACCCCCCTTTCCTGTTTATTCTCTGGCCTCCCAAGTCCAGCCTCGGACTCCATCTCTCGGAAGCAAGACAACAGGGGTCAGAAGAGGGGCGGAGGTGGCTCCCGGGAGGTGAATGGCTGAGACTTCGAAGAGATTTCCTCCCGGAAAGGCCGAGCATTGAGCCATCCGGGGGGTGGGGACAGCTGGACTAAGAAAGGGCTTAGTAGGCCTGACCTTTCATGTCCCCATCTCCTGCTTCCCTCTCATCTCCTCCCCAAGCAGGTGGTCAGTGTGTTCCCTCTTCCCCTCTTCCCTATGGCTGCAAGAGTCCTCCAGTGCCAGTGCTGACGAGGTTCTTCCTGGAGGTGGGCACCCTCTCACCCATCCCCCAGCAGTCACCACCCCTGGCACCAGGCCCGAAGCAGCTCCATGGGCAGAGCCGTCTTTCCCTGGAGGCCGTCTCTATTTGGGCAGTGAGAATCTCCTCCATCCAGCATCCCTCACACGGCCTGGGGCTTGGCCCTCTTCCCCCACCCCACTGATCATCCTCCTAAGGGAGCTGGGTCCCCTCACCTCACCCATGCCATGCCTCACCTCTGGGTCTGACCACTGAGACACATAGCAGCAGCAGCAGCAGCAGCAGCAGCAGCAGCAGCAGTGAAGGGGGCTGCATTCCACAGCCCCTTCTCCAAGCCCCGGTCCCTGTCCCTCTTCAGGCAGGGACCCTCAGAGCTCTCACTGGGGCAGGAGCCACCTCCTCTGCTCCCACTGCCCCTCTTCTTCCTCCTCGGCCTGCTGCAAGCCTCACGTCTGAGCTGTTTCCTGAGTCACACAATGTCCTGGACACCCTAGTAATGGGGGGCGGAGGAAGAGTGGAGGAACACTAGGGGGGATGAAGGAGGGGCCTTCTGTCCCTGACAACCCCTGGGGAAGTAGGGGGAAGTAGGACGGTGTGCCTGGAGGGCAGGTGATAGGAGGGGAGAAGGAATCTCGGAACCCCCTGGGCAGTCCCAGCCCTGCTGTTTGTTGATCTGGTCTCTCCTTTCTAGGGATGAGAATTGCAAGGTGGCTGCCCTGTGCCCCAGGAGGGGCAGGACCTGGAAACAGGTATTGGGTGGTTACAGAGTTCTGTATTCCTCCTCCCAGGAGAGGATGCTTAATTTGCCAGGTTATTACAGATGCTTCTCAGAGAACCTGCAACTTGTCATAATTTGAAACCACTCACCTTGGCTAAAGGAACCCAGGGGCTTCTGGGCCTTATCTTGGCTCTTGCCAGGACTTATTTTTCTCCTTCTGGCGAATGGGCAAGATGCTGGCCGGTTTTGGGGAAATCTTGGTCTTCCTGTTGTAGGGGAATGTTAAGACTGTCATTATCAGTGATAAATGAACATAGTCTACCCTAAATTTTGCAGTCTGAATTGTCTGTAACAAACACTGAATTTGGGTAGTTTTCACTTCCTCCATCTCTGCCTCCCTCCGCTGTCAAGGTCCTTGGGATGCAGGGAATGCCAGTCAGAATGCAAAATTGGAGTCAATAAAATCACAAAAGAGAATTCTTTGCCTCAGAATGCTCATCCTACCTTCTTGAGTCAACCCAGGACAACTTTGGGGTCAACCACACACTGAGTTCCTTTAGTAGCACAGGGAACTGAGAGTCCAGGGTGGCAGAAGGTGTCAGTGGCAGCTGTGCTCTCCCTGGTGTTGAGGCACTCATGGCTGCTGCTGGTGCACCTGAGAGCCTTCCCCTACCGGGGAATATACTTCACCAGCACCACTTTCTTCCTTTTTTTAGCTTTTTATTTTAAAATACTTTTAATCTCATGGGAAAGGGGCAAAAATACTAAAAAGAATTCCAGGATACCCTTCACTCAGATTCATCCACTAATATCATTTGACCACATTTACTTTATCATTATTTCTCTATAAATACACATTTGTATTTTTTTCTGAACCATTTGAGAGTAAGTTGCATACAAGATACCCTTTACCCTTAAATCCATCAGTGCAAATTTTCTAAGAACAAAACATTCTTTTACATAATATAGTACAATTATCCAAATCAGGAAACTTAGACCGATGTAATACTATGATCTAATTGACAGTCCAAATTCAGGTCCTGCCAATTGCCCCATAATGTCCTTCATGACAATTTTTTCCTTTGGTCTAGGATCTCATTTGGCATCCTGTATTGCATTTAGCTGTCGAGTCTTTTTAGTTTCCTTTAATATGAGTACAGTACCTTAAATGTACTTTGCCTTTCATTATATTGACTTTTTTTTTTTTTTTTGAGACAGTCCAGGCTGGATTGCAGTGGCACGACCTTGGCTCACTGCAACCTCCACCGCCTGGGTTCAAGCAATTCTCGTGCCTCAGCCTCCTGAGTAGCTGGGATTACAGGCGCCCACCACCACGCCTGGCTGACTTTTTGTATTTTAGTAGAGACAGGGTTTCACCATGGTGCCCAGGCTGGTCTCAAACTCCTGAGCTTAGGCAATCCACCCATCTTGGCCTCCCAAAGTGCTGGGATTACAGGCGTGAGCCACCGCACCTGGCCGATACTGGCATTTTTAAGCATACAGGACAGTTGTTTTGTAGACTGTTCCTAAATTTGAGTATGTCTGGTGTTTATGCATTTTTGGGCACGAGTACCAGTGTATCACATTAGGAAGCCCGTGAGCCAGCATCATTTATAATGGTCACCCAGTATTCTACTAGTTCATTTAAACCAATTTCCTATTATAGCATGTTTAGGTGGGTCTCAATTTGCTTTCTGTTTTTTTAGAGACAGGGTCTTGCTCTGTCACTCAGGCTGGAGTGCAGTGGCACGCACATAGCTCACTATAACCTTGAATTCCTGGGCTCACGGCAACCTCCTTCCTCGGCCTCCCAAAGCTCTGGGATTACAGGTGTGTACCACCACACCTGGCCTTCAATTTTTAAACATATAATAAACTGAGCTGTGGTAAATATTCTTTTTTTTCTTTTTCTTCTTCTTTTTTTTTTTTTTTGAGATGGAGTCTCACTCTGTTGTCCAGGATGGAGTGCAGTTGTGTGATCTCGGTTCACGGCAACCTCTGCTTCCTGGGTTCAAGCTACTCCTGCCTCAGCCTCCTGAGTAGCTGGGATTACAGGCACATGCCTGGCTGATTTTTGTATTTTTAGTAGAGACGGGGTTTCATCATGTTATCCAGGCTGGTCTCGAACTCCTGACCTCAGGTAATCTGACCACCTCTTTCGGCCTCCCAAAGTGCTAGGATTATAGGTGTGAGCCACCGCGCCCAGACCTTCGGTAAATATCCTTGAACTTACATATTTGCATGGCTAATTATTGCCTTAGGCTAAATTCTAGAAGTGAAACCCCTGAGTGAAAGGGTGAAGACATAGACTTGTTTTAAAGCTCTTGGTCTCTATGTGTTGCCAAGCCATTCTCCAGAAAGCAGTGAGGCCTTTCTACTCCAGTTAGTAGTGTCTGCCTGTGTCCTTACTCTCGCCAACCCTCCACATTAGAATCCTCGCCACTTTGATAGATGAAATGGTCTCTTATTGCTCCTTTAAACTGCACATTTGTTGTTAAATGTCAACATTCTTTTTAACTCTTTAATGGCTATTCGTGTTTCCTGTCCATGCTTTTGTGAGTTTCCTGTCCATGCTTTTGTCCCATTGTCCTATTGGTGTCATTGTCATTTTCCCATCACCTTCCTTAGTCGAGGAGGCAATTGTGGGTATGGGGAAGAGGAACCCTAGTGTAAAAGTCCCTGCTTTTGTACTCTCTGGTTTGCTGACTGGGGATTTGGTGCTGGTGAGTAGTGAAAGGAAAATGGGAAGAGACAACAGGTTTCTCATGGAACCGCGAAGACCTTGGTGGAAAGAACTGAACTCACCATTTCTGCAATGTTGACAATCTAACACCATTTGTGGAAAGGGAGGCTGGGGCACTAGGCTGGAGCTTGAGAAAAAGGAGAAATTGCAACGGAGACAGAGAAGTGGTTAGGTGGAAGGGAACCAGAAGTGTGGTGGGCAGAAGCTGAGTTTAAAGACAGTGTCAGGAAGCTGCCTGCCCACTTCTTGCTTTATCCTGCTTAAGGTAAGGCAGTGTGCACCTGCTCAGGCATTATGAGCTATGCTTGGGTCCCAGATACTTTTCCTGGCCTCTAAGACCTTACAGCCCAAAGCAGTATTGATGCTCCCCCAAGAGCTTGTTTCTCCTTCCCAATGGCTTCCCAAGGGTTGATACTGACCAGGGTGGTACCATCATCACTACAGTGAACTGCAGCATGCCAGGGATACAGATAGTTCCCTCTGGGAAATGACCCTTTTTCCTACAGTATTTCATCAAATAGAGATTCATTTTATTAAAGGGATTTTCTTTCATTGTATACCCCCTGAGAAGGATAAACCTGTCAGTCATTCACACTTCAGTCATAGGGACTTGTGACCTTAAAAGGTGAACTCCGAGGTTGGCCCTGATAATGTGTCCAAACACAAAGAAGGCAATAGGCCACTGTAGCCATAGAGATAAGCAAGAGTGCCAGGTGCAGCGGTGGCTCATGCCTGTACTCCCAGCACTTTGGGAGGCCAAGGTGGGAGAATCACTTGATCCCAGGAGTTCAAGATCAGCCTGGGCAACATAGGGAAACCCCATCCCTATGAAAAAATACAAAAATTAGCAGGCCGTGGTGATGCACACCTGTTGCCCCAGCTACTTGGGAGGCTGACGTGGGAGGATCACTTGAGCCCAGGAGGTTGAGGCTGCAACGAGCCATAATCATGCCACTGCAATCCAGCCAGGGTGACAAGGTGAGACCAGAGTGAGAAAAAAAAAAAAAAAAAGAAATAAGCAAGAGTAATCCACTCTTGGAGATTATTTGTAAATATATGGTTCGGGAGATATGGAGCCCCTCGTTGCCCCAGGCCCCTCCCTCTCTGCCTCCCTGTTGGTTACTCTTCATCTCTCCAACCTCTTACCATTGTAGTGTCCATGGTTATTCCCTGGGCCTCTTCTAGTTTTCTGTCTCCCTAGGTGATCTCATCCAGTCTCCTGGCTCCCTACCAGATTCAGATACCATCTATGAAGACCACCTTTGTGCTGATGACTCTCAAGATCATACACTTCCCGGAACTCCAGACTTGTACTTCCAAGTACAAGTACCACAAACTTAACATGTCCAGAACTGACCTGATCTTCTCCCTTAACCTTCTCTTCCTTCCTGATAGAATTGAGTTTTGCAGTTCTATTCTTTCCATTGTTTAGGCCCAAATCCTTGAAGATATTGCTGACTCCTCTCTTTTTCTCATACTCCACATCCAAACTGTCTTAAATCCTGTGGACTCTACCTTCAAAATATGTATATCCAGGCCGGGCGCGGTGGCTCACGCCTGTAATCCCAGCACTTTGGGAGGCCGAGGCGGGTGGATCATGAGGTCAGGAGATCGAGACCATCCTGGCTAACAAGGTGAAACCCCGTCTCTACTAAAAATACAAAAAATTAGCCGGGCGCGGTGGCGGGCGCCTGTGGTCCCAGCTACTCGGGAGACTGAGGCAGGAGAATGGCGTGAACCCGGGAAGCGGAGCTTGCAGTGAGCCGAGATTGCGCCACTGCAGTCCGCAGTCCGGCCTGGGCGACAGAGCGAGACTCCGTCTCAAAAAAAAAAAAAAAAAAAAAATGTATATCCAGAATCTGAGCACTTCTCATCTCTTCTCATCCCTATTGCCAATATCCTAGTCCAAGCCTATGTCATCTCTTGCATCTCCTAACTTGTCTTCCTGCTGCTGTCCTTGCTCTCCTTGTCCATATCTCTACACAGCAGCCAAAGTGAGTCAGTTGAAATACAAGTTAGACCACCTCACTCCTCTGCTCAAAAGTCTCCAATCGCTTCTCCACTCACTCAGAGTAAAGCTAACTTTCCTACAGGGCCTGCAAGGCTCTGCACAAGGCCTTTCCCTCTCAATCTCTTTCTCTCTCTCTCTTTTTTTTTTTGTTGAGACGCAGTCTTGCTCTGTGGCCCAGGCTGGAGTGCAGTGGTGCAATCTCGGCTCACTGCAACCTCCGCCTCCCGGGTTCAAGCGATTCTCCTGCCTCAGCCTCCTGAGTAGCTGGGACTACAGGTGCGTGCCACCACGCCGGGCTATTTTTTTGTATTTTTAGTAGAGATAGGGTTTCACCGTGTTAGCCAGGATGGTCTCTATCTCCTAACCTACCTGCCTCGGCCTCCCAAAGTGCTGGGATTACAGGCATGAGCCACTGCCCCCCAGCCAAGGCCCTTCCCTCTCTAACCTCATCTTTGATTACTTCTCACCATCCAGCCCCATTAGCTTCCTGCTGTTCTTGAAACAGGCACATTCACACCTTAGAGCCTTGTTCTTCTCACTGCCTGAACTGCTTCCTTCCCCAGCTGTCTTCGTGGCTCTGTCCCTCATCTCAAAAGGCACCTAATCAAGGCCTTCCTTGGCTACCCCATTTCAAAACTGGAAGCCTTCTCTCATGTTCCCCACCCCCATTGGCTTTTCTCCTTATTATTTCTCACCATCTAACTAACATATATTTAATTTATATTTCTTATTTACTGACTGCCAATTCCACAAAGTCAAGGATTTTTGTCTTTTTCATTTACTTGTTTTTGGACTTGACCATGCCTCAGTGTGTGGAGCAGGACCTCAACTCAGCGTGCACTGTCTCACTTAAAATACCCCCAGGAGGAGGATACCATTACCTCCACCCACAGTGAGATGTGGAGCTCAGAGAAGTTGAGTCACTTGTACAAGTTCATATAGCTACTAAGTGTGTTTCAGATGTGAGTTATTCACATCCAAACCCATGTTCTTTCTACCCTGAGGCGCCATCTGTCTTAGTAGGGTTTATTTTTTGTCATTTAAAAAACTAATGTGGGCATGGCTGGGAAACAAGTTTCTGCTTCGATTACATCAGAAACTACAGATCCAGACATTCTCTTATGCCTTTGCTGACATTCAGTGCAGCATTCAGTAAGTACTGATGCATGTCATTTGCTTATTTACTTATCAATTCATTTACACAGTATTTATTGAACACAGTCTTTATACCCCGCAATGTTTTAGGCCCTGAATTTATGGTCTTGAACAAAATAGACAGATACCAAGTAAATATGAAATATAATATCAGATAGCGATAAGGAGTATGAGATGATATAAGGCAGGGTGAGGGGAGAGAGAACTTGGGGGCTACTTTAGATTGGGAGGTTGGTCGGGTGCGGTGGCTCACACCTGTAATCCCAGCACTTTGGGTGGTGGAGGTGGGATCATCTGAGGTCAGGAGTTCGAGACTAGCCTAGCCAACATGGTGAAACCGTGTCTCTACCAAAAATGCAAAAATCAGCCAGGCATAGTGGCACACGCCTGTAGTCTCAGCTACTCCAGAGGCTGAGGCAGGAGAACCACTTGAACCTGGGAGGTGGAGGTTGCACTGAGCTGAAATTAAGCCATTGCACTCCAGCGTGGGTGACAGAGCAAGACTCCGCCTCAGGCCGGGCGTGGTGGCTCACACCTGTAATCCCAGCACTTTGGGAGACCAAGGCAGGTGGATCACCTGAGGTCAGGAGTTTGAGACCAGCCTGACCAATATGGTGAAACCCCATCTCTACTAAAAATACAAAAATTAGCCGGGCATAGTGGTGCACGCCTGTAGTCCCAGCTACTCGGGAGATTGAGACAGGAGAATCGCTTGAACCCGGGAGGTAGAGGTTGCAGTGAGCTGAGATCGTGCCACTGCACTCCAACCTGGGTGACAGAGTGAGACTCTGTCTCAAAAAAAAAAAAAAAAAAAAAAAAGACTGAGAGGTCAATAAGAGATGGCAACTGTAGTTTCAAAAATAAGTACCAAATTAAACTGCTCATCACCACACCCCTACCATCTCTAATTAGGAATATTGTGATAGTATCCTACCTGGCTCCCTTGCTTCCAACTTGCCTCCAACTGTTGGCCCAGGCCATTCTCGATGTGGTGACCAGTGAGAGATGATTGGGGCATGGTGAGTCTGATTTGGAATATATTTTAAAACTAGAGTGGGTATAGTTTGACTGAATAAGGGGTACACAGGTTGGGTCTCCAGGAAGTGGACTTTGAGATTTAACACGGAGCTGGGATGGCCCTTCAGAGCCATCCCCAACTGGGGCAAGGGAGCTGGGTTTTTGCCCCCCACATTAATCAGTCACGGAAGGTGGGTTGCCCCTAGAAAGAGTGTGACCTTGGGGAAGCAATTATCTTCAGTCCACAAAGAGGGCTGAGAGGTGAGGGCTGTCCTTGAGCAGAAGACTTGGGTAACACTGTCAACTAACTAAGTCTAACGGACATCTATAAAACACTCTGCTAAACAATAGCAGGATATACCATTTTTCTCAAGTGTACATGGAACGTTCTCCAGGATAGGCCATATGCTAGGCCATAAAACACGTCTCAATAATTTTAAAAGGACTGAAATAATACAAAGATGTTCTCTGATCACAATAGAATTAAATTAGAAATCAACAACAACAGGAAATTTGAGAAAATTACAAGTGTGTGAAAATTAAACAGCATGCTTCTAAACAACCAATGGGTGGAAGAAGAAATCACAAGGAAAACCAGAAAATATTTCAAGCTGAATGAAAATTGAAACAGAACATATCAGAATTAATTTTTGACATGTAGCTAAAGCTATGCTTAGAGGGGATTTATAGCTTGTAATTCCTATATTACCTCATACCATACACAAAAAACCAACTTAAAATTGATCATAGACCTAAATGTAAGTGCAAAACTATAAAACTATTAGAAAAAGGCCTAAAAGTAGATATTCATGATGTTGGGCTAGGCAATGATTTCTTACATATGATACTTTCTTACATCTACACAAGCAATAAAATAGTATTTTGTTTTTGGAGACAGGGTCCTGGTATGTCACCCAGTCTGGAGTGCCATGGTGCAATCATAGTTCACTGCAGCCTCAACTCCCGGGCTCAAGTGATCCTCCTGCCTCAGCTTCCTGGATAGCTGGGACTACAGGTGCATACAACCACGCTTGGTTAATTGTTAAATTTTTTTTTTTTTTTTTTTTTGGTGTGGAGACAGGGTCTCACTATATTGCCCATGCTTCACATAAAATATTGATAATTGGATTTCATCAAAATTGAAAACTTTTGTACTCCAAAAGGCACCATCAAGAAAGTGAAGGCTGGGTGTGGTGGCTTACACCTGTAATCCTAGCACTTTGAGAGGCCGAGGCAGGTGGATCACTTGGGGCCAAGAGTTTGAGACCAGCCTGGCCAACATGGTGAAACCCTGTCTCTAAAAAATGCAAAAATTAGCCGGGCATGGTGGTGCATGCATGTAGTCCCAGCTACTTGGGAGGCTGAGGCAGGATAATTTCTTAAACCTGGGAGTTGGAAGTTGTGGTGAGCCGAAATCATGCCACTGCACTCCCGCCTGGGTGATAGAGCAAGACTCTGTCTCAAAAAAAAAAAAAAAAGAAAGTGGAAATTGCCTTCATTAAGGAAAAAAACAAACATAAAAATAACAGCAACCATAAGAAAGTGAAAAGATAAACAAAAGCAATAGAATGAGATCAAGTATTTGCAAATCATTTATCAGATAAGGGACTTGTATCTAGAATATAAAAAGAACTTTTATAACTCAATAATAACAATAAAAAATGGGCAAGAGATTTGAATAGACATTTCACCAAAGAAGATACATAAATGGCCATCAAATACATGAAAACATACTGTTTGGGGTTCACTTAGCTTCTTGCATCAATCAGTTAATATCTTTTGCCAAATTTGGGAGTTTTTCAGGCATTGTTTCTTTGAGTACATTTTCCTGCTCCATTCTCTCTCTCTTCTTCTTAAATGCTGATGACAGAACGTTAGTTAGCTCTTTTGTTACAGTCCCATAAATGAACCTCTGTTCATTTTTTTCAGTCTATTTTTCTCCGTTGTCCAGATTGAGTAATTTCTCTTCTACCTTTAAGTTCGCTGAATCTTTCCTCTGTCCTCTCCAATCTGCTGTTAAGCCAATCTATTGAGTCTTCAATTTTCATGATTATATTTCTAAGTTCTAAAATTTCTATTTGATTCTTCTTCTTCTTTTTTTTTTTTTTTTTTTTTTTTTTTTTTTTGGAGATGGAGTTTCACTGTTTTTGCCCAAGCTGAAGTGCAATGGTACGATCTTGGCTCACTGCAACCTCTGCCTCCCAGGTTCAAGTGATACTCCTGCCTCAGCCTCCCAAGTAGCTGCAATTACAGGCACCTGCCACCATGCCTGGCTAACTTTTTGTATTTTTAGTAGAGACGGGGTTTCACCATGTTGGCCAGGATGGTCTTGATCTCTTGACCTCATGATCCGCCCACCTCCGCCTCTCAAAGTGCTGGGATTACAGGTGTGAGCCACCTCACCCGGCCTGATTCTTCTTTATATCTTCCATTTCTTTGCCAAAATTTCTGGTTTTCATTTGTTTCAAGAGAGTTTGTAATTGCTTGTTAAGTGTTGTTTTTTTTTTTTTCCTTTTCTTTTTGAGACAAGGTCTTGCTCTGTTGCCCAGGCTGAAGTGCAATCATGGCTCACTGCAGCCTTGACCTCCTAGGCTCAAGTGATCCTCCCACCTCAGCCTTCAAGTAGCTGGTACCACAAGTACACACCACCATGTCTGGCTAATTAAAAACATTTTTTTTTTCCAAGGGGCTGGGACCACAAGTACACACTACCATTCCTGGGTAATTATTATTATTATTATTATTATTATTATTATTATTTTGTTGTTGTTTTTTGTAGAGACAGCATTTCCCTATGTTGCTGGTCATGAACTCCTGGGCTCAAGTGATCCTCCCACCAGGCATGAGCCACTGCACTTGGCTGTAAAGCTTTTTTTTTTTTTTGAGACAGAGTCTCACTCGGTTGCCCAGGCTGGAGTGCAGCAGTGCAATCTTGGCTCACTGCAACCTTCACCTCCCAGGTTCAAGTGATTCTCCTGCCTCAGTCTCTCGAATAGCTGGGATTATAGGCATCTGCCACCATGTCTGGCTAATTTTTGTATTTTTAGTAGAGATGGGGTTTTGCCATGTTGGCCAGGCTGGTTTTGAACTCCTGACCTCAAGTGATCTGCCTACCTCGGCCTCCCAGAATGCTGGGATTACAGATGTGAGCCAATGTGCCTGGCCTGTGAAGCTTTTTTCTTTTTATTTTTTTTTTTTTTGAGATGGAGTGTTGCTCTGTCACCCAGGTTGGAGTGCAATGGCATGATCTCAGCTCACTGCAACCTCTGCCTCCGGGTTCAGGTGATTCTCCTGCCTCAGCATCCCTAGTAGCTGGGATTACAGGCATGCACCACCATGCCCAGCTAATATTTGTATGTTTAGTGGAGACGGGGTTTCGCCATGTTGGTCAGGCTGGTCTCGAACTCCTGACCTTGAGTGATCCACCCGCCTTGGCCTCCCAAAGTGCTGGGATTACAGGAGTGAGCCAATGTGCCTGGCCTGTAAAGCATTTTTAATACTTGTTTTAAAATACTTGCTTGCTTTAAATATGCATCAGGTGATTCCAACATTTAAGTCAACTTGGGTGTTGATGTCTGTTAATTGTCTTTTCTTATTCAAGATTTTCCCGATTCTTGGTATGACAAGTGATTTTCGCTTGCATCCTGCACATTTTGGATTGTATGTTATGAGACTCTGGATCTTATTTAAGTCTGTTTTAGTGATCATCCTTTGACACCGCACTAGTTGAGCAAAGAGGGTGCTGCCTCACTGCTGTCAGGTTGGGGGAGAGGCCCAGGTTCCTCACTTGGCCTCTGTGAACACTTGAGGGAGCCGTGCTCCTTGTTATTGCTAGGTGTGGATGGGGGTTCAGGCTTCCCACTAGGTCTCTGCTGACACACCCTGGCTGAGAGAGTAAGAAGCACCTCATTCCTGTTCCCCACGGGGTCTCCAGTGACACTGGTTGTGATGGAGGGGGATTTCATACCACCAGGCGGGGCTGAGAGTCCCAGCTTCCTACTTGCTGGGGAGGGGTGCCTCAGCTGGGTGGGAGTTGATGGCTAAACTCCCCACTCATCCTTTATTGGCAGATATGGGGGTGAGAGTGTTTTTTTTTTTTTTTTGCCTGAAATAGAGTAGTCATTGTCTAAAAGTTTTGTCTTTCCAGGATGTTCCTTTGTTGGTCCTTTGGCCAGAGACTTTCCGGGATTTTTTTCATCTTCCTGTTGGAGTTTCCTGGTTGCTGGCTTTTCCAGCACCCAGTCTTGTATATATGAGGCAAAAGCCAAACCCAGGGAACTCACCACTATATTGTTTTTTCGGGTCTTGAGATTCCTAGCCAGTCTGCCTTCTCTGCATCTTTCAGGATCTTCTTATGTTTGTTTTATATATACCATCCAGGATTGTAGCTGTATTTAGCAGGAGGAATCAGAAGAGCATCTACGTCATCTTGTCTTGGAGCTTGAAGGCAGCTGGTTAAGTCCTTAAAACATTCAACACAGATTTTCCATATGACTCAGCAATTGGGTTCCTAGGTATCTACCTAAGAAAAATGAAAGCAGGCCAGGTGTGGTGGCTCACGCCTGTAATCCCAGGAATTTGGGAGGCCGAGGTGGGCGGATCACCTGAGGTCAGGAGTTTGAGACCAGCCTGACCAACATGGAGAAACCCCATCTCTACTAAAAATACAAAAATTAGCTGGGCATGGTGGTGCATGCCTGTAATCCCAGCTACTTGGGAGGCTGAGGCAGGAGAATCACTTGAACCCAGGAGGCGGAGGTTGCGGTGAGCTGAGATTGCGCTGTTGCACTCCAGCATGGGCAACAAGAGCAAAACTCTGTCTCAAAAAAGAAAAAAAAAAGAAAGAAAAATGAAAGCGTATTGTCCACACAAATACTTGTATAAGAATTCATAGCAGTGTTATTCACAATAGGTATGAAGTAAAAACAACCAAATATCCATTGATCAGTGAATTGGTGAACAAAATATGGTGTGTCCCTTTGGGAGGCTGAGGCAGGTGCATCACTTGAGGTCAGGAGTTTGAGACCAGGCTGGCCAACATGGTGAAACCCCGTCTCTACTAAAAATACAAAAAATTTAGCTGGGCATGGTGGTGCACCCCTGTAATCCCAGTTACTTGGGAGGCTGAGGCAGAAGAATTGCTTGAACCTGGGAGGCAGAGGTTGCAGTGAGCTGAGATCACACCACTGCACTCCAGCCTGGGTGACAGAACAAGACTCTATCTCAAAAAAAAAAAAAAAAAAAGGTGTGTCCATACAATGGAATACTATTCAGCAATAAAAATGAATGAAATATGGATACATGCTGCAAAATGAATGAACCTCAAAAACATTATGCTAAGTGAAAGAAGCTAGACTCAAAAGGCTGCAGGAATCCACTTACACGAAATGTCTAAAATAGGCAAATCTATAGAGACAGAAAGATTAGTGATTGTCTAGGGCTCAGGTTTGGAATGGGGGCTAAGTGCAAAGGAATATGAAATTTCTTTTTGGTGTGATGGAAATGTTTCAAAATTAGATTGTGGTGATAGTTTTACAACTCTATAAATATACTAAAATCATTGAATTGTACACTTAAAATGGATGATTTTTTTTTCTTTGAGATGGAATCTCGATCTGTTGCCCAGGCTAGAGTTCAGTGGTGCCATCTTGGCTCACTGCAATCTCCACCTCCCAGGTTCAAGCAATTCTCTTGCCTCAGCCTCCCGAGTAGCTGAGATTACAGGGGGCCACCACTACACCTGGCTAATTTTTGTATTTTTAGTAGAGACGGGTTTCACCGTGTTGGCCAGGCTGGTCTCGAACTCCTGACCTCAAGTGATCCATCCACCTCGGCCTCCCAAAGTGCTGGGATTACAGCTGTGAGCCACTGCGCCCGACCAAAGTGGGTGAATTTTATGGTATGTAAATTATGCCTCAATAAATCTGTGAGAGGAGAGGAGGTAGAGACATTTTGTGTTGTAGAATTTCTTAAGGAATTTTGCTGTCAAGAGCTGCAGAGAAAGTATGTCTAGCGAGACAGCATATGAGGTCATGAGAAATTTTAAAAAACTCATTATTCCAGAAAATTCATACACATAAATAGAGATAATGAAAAAGAACTCCCATATACCCGTGACCCAGATGCAATAATCATTAATTCAGGACCACTGATGCCTGTAATCCTAGCACTTTGGGAGGCTGAGGCAGGTGGATCACCTGAGGTCAGGAGTTCAAGACCAGCCTGGCCAACGTGGTGAAACCCCGTCTCTAATAAAAAATACAAAAATTAGCCGGACATGGTGGTGCATGCCTGTAATTCCAGCTACTAGGGTGGCTGAGGCAGGAGAATCACTTGAACTCAAAAGGCGGAGGTTGCAGTGAGTCAAAATGGCATCACTGCACTCCGGCCTGGGCAACAGAGCGAGACACTGTCTAAAGAAAAAAAAAATTCAGGACCACTCTGGTTCCATCTCTACTCCCAACCTCCATACCAGATTATTTTAGAACAAATCCCAGATATGATATGATATGATATGACATGATATATGATATGATATTGTATCATTTCTATCACAAATATTTCAGTATCCTAAAAGATAAGAACTCTTAAATAATATAACCATTTTGCTAGTATTATTTCTGAAAAGTTTACATAATTTCTTAATATTATCAAATATGCAATGTTTAGTTTTCCCAAATTCTCCATTAAATATATATACAGTTTGAATCAATATCAAAACAATATCCGTGCATTGTATTCAGTTGATATGTGTCTTAAGTCTCTCTTTCTCTTCTTTGAAGTGGAATTCACATTTTAGAACAGTTTTAGATTTATAGGGAAACTGAGAGGATAGTACAGAGTATTCCCATGTGCCCTCCCTGGATTCAGTGTCCCTTATTAATAACATCTTATGTGAGTGTGGGTATATGTGTTATAATTAATGAATCAATATTGATAAATTGGTCGGGCATGGTGGCTCACGCCTGTAATCCCAGCACTTCGGGAGGCTGAGGTGGGCGGATCACCTGAGGCCAGGAGTTTGAGACCAGCCTGGCCAACATGGTGAAACCCTGTCTCTACTAAAAATACAAAAATTAGCCAGGCGTGGTGGAGCACACCTGTAATTCCAGCTACTTGGGAGGCTGAGGCAGGAGAATCACTTGAACCTGGGAAGTGGAGGCTGCAGTAAGCTGAGATCATGCCACTGCACTCTAGCCTGGGCAACAGAGCAAGACTCTGTCTCAAAAAAAAAAGATAAATTATTATTAAAGTCCATACTTCATTCATTCAGATTGTCTTAGTTTTCACCTGGTGTCTTTTTGTCTGTTCCAGGATTCCATAATTTCTTTTCCTTTTTTTTTTTTTTTTTTTTTTTGAGACGAAATTTTGCTCTTGTTGCCCAGGCTGGATTGCAATGGTGTGATCTTGGCTCACTGCAACCTCCACCTCCTAGTTTCATGCAATTCTCCTGCTTCAGCCTCCCGAGTACCTGGGACTACAGGTGCCCACCACCATGCCTGGCTAATTTTTTTGTATTTTGAGTAGAGACGGGGTTTCCCCATGTTGGACAGGCTGGTCTCGAACTCCTGGCCTCAAGTGATCTGCCCGCCTCGGCCTCCCAAAGTGCTGGATTGCAAGCGTGAGCCACCACGCCTGGCCTTCCAGGATACCATATTTCATGTATTTGTCATGTCTCTTTGGGCCCTCTTGGTTGTGACAGTTTTGCCAGTGTTCCTTGTTTTTGGTGACCTTGATAGTTTTGAGGTGTACTAGTCAGGTGTTATGCAGGCTGCCCCTCTTTTGGAATTTGTTTGGTGATTTTCTCATGGTTAGACTTGGAGCTTAAGTCTCTTTAAATCTTTTTTTACCCCCTTGACATTTATTTGTTGAAGAAATGGCTTGTTTCCTATAGAACTTTCCACATTCTGAATTTTGCTAATTGAATCACTGTACCATTTACCATATTCCTCTGCCTCCCCCATTTTCTTCTTAAACTGGTAGTTAGATTTAAAGACTTTATATGATTCATGATCTATTTTCTGGCAAGGCTACGTCATAGGTGGTATTGTGCTGTGTTTCTATCAGGAGGCATAGAATTCTAGTTGGTAGCCATGATGAGCATTGCTAGATCCATTATTTTCTTAGGGATTATAAAATGCAAATATTCTAAGTCTATTATTCTGTCTAAACTGATTTCATTTATACAGATTATGTCCCATCTACTATTTTGACATGACTTATTTAGGAAAGGCAGATTGATGCCATTCTTTCCCCTTTATTTAGCAGCTTTCAGAATAATGAGTTTGTTCTCTAGCATCTGCCAAAGGTAACCAATGACCCTTTATTTAGTATCACTATGAGTCAGTTGATTTTAATGTGTTTTAATCCGTTGCTATCACTATTTTTACTGAGGCTCCATTTATGCCATATTTGGGCAGTGCGAGCCTCAAGTTGATAAAATACTAATATCTTTGATGCCTTTCTTGTTTTCTGGTGATAAGATGTTCAGGCTCATCTTGTACATAAGCTGCTATATGTTTCTTTTTAGAGGAAATGGTACTAGGAGACCTCAGTTTGGGTGCTGAGGAAGGTTTGTATTTATTCATTTTTTATTTTCTAAGATAGGAGGAATAACATATTTGCTTGCTGATGGGAGTGAGCCACTGCAGAGGGAAAGGCGGTGTGCAGGAGATGGGGTATTGCTGGAGGAATGGCCCTGAGTAGGTGAGAGGCAGTGGGGTCTAGTGCCCAAGTGGAGGAGTTGGTTGTTAGTTGAAAGTGAGGAAGATGAGCTGAGCACATTGGCTCATGCCAGTAATCCCAACATTTTGGGAGGCTGAGGAGGGTGGATCACCTGAGTCAGGAGTTTGAGACCAGCCTGGGCAACATGGTGAAATCTCGTCTCTACTAAAAATACAAAATTAGCCGGGTGTGGTGGCGCATGCCTGTAATCCTAGCTAATTGGGAGGCCGAAGCAGGAGAATCACTTGAACCCAGGAGGCAGAGGTTGCGGTGAGCCGAGATTGCGCCATTGCACTCCAGCCTGGGCCATACAGTGAGACTCTGTCTCAAAAAAAAAAAAAAAAAAAAAGAAAGTGAGGAGGATGGAGGCTGTGTAATGAAATACAAGAAAGTGTGAAATAGTTGCCTTGAAATTCTGTGAGTGAGTGGCCAGGAAAATGCCGTATACTTCTTTTTCTTTTCTTTACTCTAATTCCATCACAGGTTATCTGCTGGGTGTTTCTAATGGCCAACTTGAAGTTTGTAAATGTTTGATGAGCATGGTTGAGTATTTTTATCCAATCACTTCAGCTGCTTGGATGCAGGCATGGAGTCGGTGGGAAGTTGGAGGTAGCCAGAGCTAGGCTTTTGACAGGCAGGCATGATGGAGGGAATGAGGGAAATAGGAGTTGAGATGCAAGATAGCTCTTACAACAATGCTTCATGAAACCTAAGCGGGATAAGGTTGGGAGGGCACAGGATCTCATAATGTCAGGGTCAAAGGGGTTGGAGGTCTGGAGAAGTGAAAATATTGTTTGATCTTTGGAGGTGGACACTAGAGGGAGTGATCTGCAAGGACAGGAAGGGGGATACTTAAAACTGAGATTATGGAGAGGTTTCAGGTACAGGTACAGGTAATGACAAGGTCTAGGTATGACTGTGGAGTGAGTGGCTGCAGTAGGGGGAGGACAAGATCACTGGAGGTGAGAAGGTCAAAAGGTCAAGGTGAGAGGCCAGGGTGTTGGGTGGAGTGTCTTGGTTGATAGAGAAGCCACAAAGAATGGTAGCAGGAGTGGGATGAA
This sequence comes from Homo sapiens, assembly GCF_000001405.40. Classification (NCBI taxonomy): domain Eukaryota; kingdom Metazoa; phylum Chordata; class Mammalia; order Primates; family Hominidae; genus Homo; species Homo sapiens. Next base: position 3,679,390 of record NT_113891.3, read on the forward strand.
GAGAAAGACAGTGACCCAGGGACTGAAAATTTTAGTGAATTGTGAAGAGTGAGGAGTGACTGGAAGGCTGTTAAATGCTGGCAACAGGAGCAGCTGAGGGTGACGTTGGAGGCCACATGTACTGCAAAGCAGCTAAGGCCCTGCATTACTCTTGACCACCAGAGAAAAGTTCATGTATTCATTCATTTATTCAAGCAGTAAGTTAACCAAGCTTGACTATCTACCCTGTGCTTAGCAAAACCCTCCCTGCCCTCACAGAATGTATATGTATTCATTACAAAATTGTCCTTATAAAGTCAGGACATCTTCAGGACACTTCCAGTTAATCAGACACCCCCGTCAATCCTTCTAGTTAACTGACAGTTTTTTTGGTTGTTTGTTTAGCAGTGAATTTTAATGAATAAAACATCTGGGATTAAAACTCTTTTTTTTCCTCCATTTTTTGAGATAGGGTCTTGCTGTGTTGCCCAGGCTGGAGTGCAGTGGTGCGATCTTGGCTCACTGCAACCTCTGCCTCCCAGGTTCAAGCGATTCTCCTGCCCTAGCCTCCCAAGTAGCTGGGACTATAGGTGCACACCACCACACCTGACTAATTTTTGTATTTTTAGTAGAGATGGGGTTTTGTTATGTTGGCCAGGCTAGTCTTGAACTCCTGACCTCAAGTGATCTGCCCGCCTTGGCCTCCCAAAGTGCTGGGATTACAGGCATGAGCCACTGTGCTCAGCCATATTAAAACTCTTGTGTAATAAATTCGCAGATATGGAAATCCTTCATTTTCCACAAAAAAACCCCATCCTGTGTAGATACCAGGTGACCTCATCACAAGAGTCAAAATGAAAGTGCTGTCAGCGTGGTGAGAGAGGTGGTGATGTCAGATCACCTGTGGAAGTGAAAGGACCTTGGAGTTGAAAGGAATCTTCAGGATGGTCTTGCCTCTGGCTTTCAAACTTTTTCTTTTCATCATGTCAAATGTAGAGGAATTTTGTCCATCAAACTCATATCTAGAATCCCAAAATAGAGAAGAGATATAGGATCAGTGCTCTGGCTGAGTCTTTCCCCTCCTGAGACCCCACCCCTACCCAGAGTGACCCTTCAAGGTTGCCATGGGATGTAGGATGCTGGGGAACACAGCCTGGAACTGTTCACTTGGTCCCATTTCTTCTTTTACTGAGGCCCAGAGGGGAGACGCGACCTGCCCAAGGTGACACAGGCTTGGGACCCATGCCCAGTGTCCTGCTTGCTGGTCAGGAGTGGCTGAGGAAAGCAGAGCAGGGGTGAGGTGGGAGGAAAGGGCAGGGCCGCACTGCCTTGGTTCTGGAGCCCTCGCTGATAGCCTTGGGCCTTTTTCACTTGTTTTTCTAACTTTGGGGACAAAAGATTTTCTTTCTTTCTTTCTTTCTTTCTTTCCTTCCTTCCTTCCTTCCTTCCTTCCTTCCTTCCTTCCTTCCTTCCTTCCTTCTTTCTTTCCTTCCTTCCTTCCTTCCTTCATTCCTTCTTTCCTTCCTTCCTTCCTTCCTTCCTTCTTTCTTTCCTTCCTTCCTTCTTTCCTTCCTTCCTTCCTTCCTTCTTTCTTTCCTTCCTTCCTTCCTTCCTTCTTTCTTTCTTTCCTTCTTTCGCAACAAAGGCATGATAAGAAATTTTTTGGTGGGTAGAGCAGAAGAGTATATAATAGTGAAAAAAACACTTAGCTTAGGAGTTTGACACAGTGTGATGTTGGTCAGACTAGCTAACCTCTCTGAGCCTCACTCAGTTCCTTCATCTGTAAAGAGGTTGGGGCTGGCGTGGGTGAGTGGGTGGGTGCTGGATGAAGAGGGAAGGAGATGGACAGGAGGCACCTGGCGGACTTGGCCAGTGTCAGCTGCCGTCCTAGGAGACTCTGGGCTGGGGCGGCATTACTGGTTATCCCTTTCCTGGGGAGGTTGACAATTAACCCTGGAAACAGTCTTTAAAATTTTTACTGGACACATATAATTATGGATTGACAATCTTCCATTTTAAATTTAGAAACTACAGGCAAAAGTTAAAGATATCACAAATGAGTTTTTTATTTTTATTTTTTCATGACAAGGAAATTAGTTGTGTGCTGGGGTCTAGTATGGGGAAAGAATCTATTAAAATATATTTAAAAAGGTAAATCCAAAAATTTATAATTACAAGAGTGAATGACAAGATGATTGTCAATAAAATTAAATAAGCAAAACAACTGCTTGCCCTTTAGAAAATGTATCCAAGCTCCAGGGATCCAAAATGTTTATGAATCTGTGGATGTCTGTGTGTGTGTGTGTGCGTGTATATTTTTTTGTCGTTGTTGTTTCTCTGCCTCTCTCGCCAAACTATATGGAGCCCTGGCTAAGGATAGAGGACTGTCAGATGTGTTTTCAGGGGAATCGCTGTTTTCTTCACATCAGGGGGAAGTTCTTAGGCAGCTGAAAGCGGGGGCTCAGGTGGGCATGGGGGGGTGGGAGGGCTGAGGTTTAGGATGGGAGGGTGGGTGAGAGCTAGTAAGGGTGGGTGGGGCACTGGGGGTGGGCAGCGGGTACTTGGCTAGGGGTTCAGGACCTGTCTCAGGGCTGCTGTCCAGGGGGGTGGAGGAAGGGGTAGTGAAGGGGTCAGAGCACTCAAGATGCGCAGTGTAGGCAGGGGACAGGCTGCGGTGTGTGAAGAGGGTAGCCTGAGGTGGTGAGACTTGCTGATCACCCAGCTGGGCTGCCTTGGTCTACTCACAACTGGTCTTCCCTGTGTGTTTGGTAAACACCAAAGGAGGTAAACTCTCCAATCCTGGCCTGTGCTGATGGTGAGGCGGGAGAAGGCTTCCCTGGGTCCCAGGTCCCCAACCTGGCACAGTCATGGGTCAAGGGCTGCCTGTTCCTCACCTGCCTTCCTCACGGGGCTTCTGAGCCTAGCCTTGCTTCGGGCATTAGGAGAGTCTGCCTGGAAGGCTCTCTGGCCCCCAATGCCCTGCCCTCCAAGGCTCCCAGTCTAGGTGGGAGAGACATACAGAACAAATAGCATCGTGGGGGTGGTGGGAGGTGGTGTGAACATGTCTCCTGCAAGCTCTGGGAAGAAGCTGTGGCCACACAATGGAATGTCTCCAGCCCTGACCTCTCCTTGGAACTCAGACCTTTCTGCCTCTCTCGCCAAACTATACGGAGCACCTGGTAAGGATAGAGGACTGTCGGATGTGTTTTCAGTGGAATCACTGTTTTCTTCACATTCTTCACATCAGCCACCTCCTCCACTCCCCACCAGGATGTCAACTGAAACATGTCTCAGTCCAAATTCTTTATTCCCTGCTTCTGCAGCTATTCCCTCCCTCCCCGCAATCCTGGCACAGCGTATTGCTTAGGCTGGACTACGCTGTGAATGTGTCTCCCAAAATTCATGTGTTGGAAATTTAATTCCCATGCAACTGTTGGAAGGTGGGGCCTTTTGGGAGGGCCTTTTGGCAGAGCCGGCACGAATGGATTAATGTCATTATAAAAGGACTTGATGGAAAGAGTTCATCCCTTTTGCCCTTCCACTCCCTGCCACGTGAGGACACAGTGTTCCTCCCCTCCAGAGGATGAAGCAACAGATGCCACATTGGAAGCAGAGAACAGCCCTCACCAGGCAGTAGTGCCTTGATCTCAGGTTTTCTGGCCTCTAGAACTGTGAGAAAAGACATTTCTTTTCTTTTTTCTTTTTTTTTTTTTTAAGACAGAGTCTTACTCTGTTGCCCAGGCTGGAGTGTAGTGGCATGATCTTGGCTCACTGCAACCTCCGCCTTCCGGGTTCAAGCGATTTCCGGCTAATTTTTGTATTTTTAGTAGGGACGGGGTTTCACCATGTTGGCCAGGCTGGTCTCAAACTCTTGACCTCAAGTGATCCGCCCGCTTCAGCCTCCCAAAGTGCTAGGATTACAGGCATGAGCCACCGCGCCCGCCTCGTTTTGCTATTCTTCAACTTCGCATGTTTGGATTGCTACAGCTTGAGGTCTTTAGTGTCTGGTTTCCTTCGCTCCCTTCCACGGTTCTAAGATTGTTTTCTGCATCCTCCGTACCCCTCCCTCGGTGTCTTCCTGCTGGGAACTGCTCTTTCTGTCTGCCACGTGGTGGCCACAAGGGGGCAGCAGAGGCTGAGGAAAATCTGGTGAGACCAGGTTGGGGGCCTTTTCCCGGGCCCACGAGTTACTCCCCCCCGCCCACGGAGCACCTTCTGTCCGGGCGCCTCCCAGGCCGCTGCTGCTTCTTGGTTCTGCTTCCTTTTCTGAGACCCGCTGCTTTAGAGAAGATTTCTGGAGCAGAGATTTGGAGCAAGGATCTCCAAACTCTTTTGATCACACACTCCATTCAGTAATATATTTTGAACATGCAGCTAACAAACATGTGCAAACATAATGCAGGTTGAAAGAACAAACGCAAATCACATTAAAAGGGCATAAGATTGAAGATTTTATAATAGTTCTAATATGTTCTCTGCCTTCTTTCCTGTCTCTCCAGATCCCTGGAGGACCCCTAGGGCTGGTGCCCCTAATCTGGTGGCCCCCTGTTTAGAGCTCAACTGAGCTTTGATGTAGACCTGGCCCCTGTTAGGGTTTGGCCACACGACCTGTGACCCTGGGCAGGTTTCCTCAGATCATCGAGGCTCTGTCTCTCAGCTGTAAAGTGAGGACAGTAAGGACCATCTCATGGTATTAAGCTAAAACATTCACGGAAATAAATATGTAATGCTCAGAGTAAGATGCCACCTAGTGAACAGTGGGCCTGAGTATTTGGTGGTGGTCATTAGAGAGCAGAGGCGCTGGCCTCAGGGTTCAGCCCACAGTTCTGCCTGTGGAGAGGAGACTCAGTGACAAGAGAGAAAAAAGTGTCCGACATCCTGGGGACTGAGAATCTGCCTCTCAGGGTTGGACAGGGCAGGGCCTCTTCTGCCTCCAGCACCCCAGGCCTCTCTCCTCTGATTCTATCAGGGACGGAGGCCAAGGTTGGAGACCCCTAGGCCTTTTCACCTAACTTGGTTTTCAGATTCCTCCCACTAGGACTTGTGTGTTTCAGCCTTAACCATGGATGGGCCTGACCTACACGGGATTGAGAGGGTCAGTAAATTCGTCCCCACCACTGACTGGGTCACCTACCTGGGCAGTACACATGCTGCTCTCGGCAACTGTTTCTTCTCCTGACACTTATGATTTTATATACAAATTGTTGGAAGTTATGTCGTAATATAGTCCTTTTGGTAAGAGTATATATGGTCAAGGATACTGTGACTGAATTTGAAGAGTAAATAATACAGCTGTGTATTGAGCTATATAATGACTAGGGCTCTCTTTATTTTGGGGACAGAGTGAGAACTTCTTCACTTATAAGGTGGCTTTGTCTTGATTGGTGAAAATAGAGAATTATTTCATTGTTGTATAAAAGTTCAGGCCGGGCACGGTGGCTCATGCCTGTAATCCCAGCACCTTGGGAGGCCAAGGCAGGCAGATCACCTGAGGTCGGGAGTTCCAGACCAGCCTGGCCAACATAGCAAAACCCCATTTCTACTAAAAATACAAAAATTAGCTGGGTGTGATGGTGGGTGCCTGTAATCCCAGCTACTTGGGAGGCTGAGGCAGGAGAATCGCTTGAACCCAGGAGGCAGAGGTTGCAGTGAGCTGAGATTGTGCCACTGCACTCTGGCCTGAGTGACAGGGCAAGACTCTGTCTCAAAAAAAAAAAAAAGTTCAAATATGTGTAATATGAAAACTGTGCAGCCAAAGGTGTGACTGGTGCTCAATATTATTTTATTGCATCTTTGTTCCAAATCCACTCCATCTTTGTCCTGCCTTGTGGTTCTGGAGCTGGACCCTATAAACATTTCTTCTTTGCCATTGGGCACAACGTTAGACTTTGACAGTAAATTGCACTGGAAGGAATACTGCAAGACATAGCAGAGAAAACAGCTTCATTCTAGTTCTGGTACTTTTTTTTGAGATGGAGTCTCACTCTGTCACTCAGGCTGGAGTGCAGTGGCGTGATCTCGGCTCACTGAAACCTCTGCCTCCCAGGTTCAAACGATTTTCCTACCTCAGCCTCCTGAGTAGCTGGGATTACAGGTGCACACCACCACACCTGGCTAATTTTGTATTTTTAGTAGAGACAGGGTTTCACCATGTTGGCCAGGCTGGTCTCGAACTCCTGACCTCAGGTGATCTGCCTGCCTTGGCCTCCCAAAGTGCTAGGATTACAGGCGGGAGCCACCGCGCCTGGCCTGCCAGGCTTTCTTAATATGCCCTACCACCATGAAACTTATATTGGGGGGGAGACTCAGATAGGGGCCAATGGGGGCAAGTTTGAGCCTTGCCAGGTTGATACTTGGGCACTGAGCAGAGTGACTAGTGTCTGTGTTTTGACATGTGTGTATAACTCCTGTTGGAATGGGAAATGTTAATTTAGTTCCCCCACACAACCTGTTGGGCTGCCTCTTGCAAAACTGGGGCCTTTTGCCTGTGGTTCCATGAAAAGAAAAGGAATGTTTTTCTTTTGTAACGTGGCTTGGCCCCCACAGCTACGGTGCAGCAAGCAGGGTCATCAAAAGCCACTCTGCTCTTCTGGAAGCAGCTGAGAAAGGGAAGCCATAAACCTGACAAGCTGGTAAAAAGCTAATTTCTTACCAGCTAGCCTCTGGCCTTTCTCTCTCTGTGCAAATGAGTTGAGTGAACAATAAAAATCACTGTTTGTCTCCTCTGCAAAGTTTTGATTAATAGGGAAGAAGATTTGTGTGACTAGTCTTAGGTTGTAGTGAATCTTGTGTACTTTTGCTACTTTGAACTATAAATATTTGTATTGTTTGGCCCCTTCTCAGAAATCACCTTTTTTGCCATCTTCCTTTGTCTTTGCCTTTTTGTGTCGTTCTGTCATGGAGAAGGATACCATAGGATAGAACACAGGCCTAGGATCCCTGTAAGCCTGCTGTTCAAGCCAGCCCTGCAGACTGGTCGGTTACAAACTTTGCTGCAGGTCCTTGGAACAAAAACTGGATGAGATTTCCCTTGTCTTGTTTTATGTGGTTGAGAGCTTGACTTTGTAACCATGTAGGGGTACTCTCTCTCTTGATCTCTGCCATCTGGAGGGTGGAAATTCTTGGGTTCAAGTCAGGTGGCTGGTCTGAGAGGACTGGGAGTCTGAGACACATTAGCATACTCTTCGTCCTGAATGTGTTGAGCCCTTAGGTGAGTTTTGTCTTAAAACGTCCCATCTCTGCTGGTTGGATTTATTAGGACAAAAAAACAGTCCTATCTCTACAGGACTTTTGTTGTATTTTGCTATCTTAAACCCATTTCCAAGAGGGAATACTTGGGGATGCCTCCTCTAGGAATACTTCTTGCTGCTTATATGGCAAAAACCTGGAAAATTACCATCTGCAATTTAAAAAAGGTGTTTGAGTCTCTATTGGAACTAAGTACACCATTGAAAGAAAAAGGATTTTAGAGATCTCTTATCTAAAACAATTGAAGGAAGGTTAAACAGTAGTGTCGTGGGTAGCCTTAAAAATTCTCTTGAGCAGTTAAAATCATTCGCAAGCTTGAAAATGACTGCTCTAGATTCTTTCTGGGAAGAGCACTGGCAACCACCCTATGCTGTAGCACAGTAGCTAAATCTCTGCCCTTTCACTATGGTGGCCTGGGATCACTTCCCAGCTTAGGGAATGCGTCCTTTCTGGTTTTGTATTTGTGGGACTTTTTGCCATTCATTGATGGACAGCTTCTGATTTCCTGTCTTGAATTTTCCTTGCTCTGAGATACCTTTGGGGTGATTCTAGATCTTGTAAAAAACTGCTTGGCATCTCTTTGGAGATACCTTGTGCATCTGTGGTTAAGTCATAACCCTAGTTAAGGCTCATTGGTTTCAGGTGGGAGGTTATCCTTGGTAGAGAGTTCAAAAGCCAGAAATATCAGCTGTTTGTTCCAGCTAAAAACTGGTAATAAGAGATCTGAAAGAATTTTCTTCAAGAGCTCTATAGTTAAAAGTCAACTTAATTAAAACTGATTTAGAATATATGTGTACAGATATTGTTTTAAAGCCTCTGCTCTCTCTCTGTAAAAACTTCTTAAGCAACTGAATTCTGTCTGCTTAAATTTTAATCTTTGTATGTAAAAGCTAGGAAACAAATATACTTTTAGAGATGGCTATTGACAGTTGTTTACAGTGAATAGTTATCACTACAGGGTGGTACTGCTTTTTTTTGCACATTTAGATAAGAAAAGCATGCTTTGGGGCACCTAGAAGGTATGGAATGAGGGCTAAGACTCCCATGGAGCATTAAGTGATTACAGAATAGGCTGATTGTTATAGGGTTGCCCACCAGCCTCAGGGGAATGTCCTTGCAGTGAAGTGCACCGTAAAAGCATTGCACTATCTTGTCCTGCGGTGTTCTCCTCTTTTGAGGACCCAGGATTCAGTGTAAAAGTTGGATCCTTAACTTTGGAAATCTGTTTTGCCTTCCAGCTGTGCCTGCTTATTAGGCCATAGAAACTGCATGCTTTCCTGGCCCTGTTCCTTAAAGGGCTCCACCCTAAAGCCAGTAATTCAATTAAGAAACTAACATCTTTAAAAAAATTTCAATGGGCAAGTGTGTCTGTTTTCCTAACCATCTTTTTTCTTTTTCTTTTTTTGAGACAGGGTCTTGCTCTATCACCCAGGCTGGAATACAGTGGTGAGAACATAGCTTACTGCAGCCTTGACCTCCTGGGCTCAAGTGATCCTCCCAGCTCAGCCTCCCCAGCAGCTGAGACCACTACGCCCAGCTAATTTTTGTATGTTTTTGTAGAGATGGGGTCTTGCCATGTTGCCCAGGCTGGTCTTGAGCTCTTGGGCTCAAGTAATCCTCCTGCCTTGACCTCTCTAAGTGCTGGGATTACAGGCATGAGCCACCACACACAGCTTCCTGGCCATCTTAACTGAACTTTTACTCATACCATTTTTCCTTGGTTTAAATAAAATATGAATTTTCTATTTCATTTCACTTAAGAATTGTGCCTTTAGAAATGCAGATTTGGAGTGGCATAGCTGACAATTATTTAGGGCAGGGAACAGGTAATCAGGAGAAGGTCCAAAATGAGGAAGAGAAACTTTAAAAACTGGCACATGAAGAATCTTACAAATCTATAAAATCTGCTTCTGTGTGTTTGTATGTCTGTGTGTTTATACATGTCATGTGTTTGTGATATTTTCACTACCAAAATATATGAAAAAGCTGTAATTAATGGCTTTTAGAAAAATAAGCACTTAAATATTTTATCAGAGAAATATATATATATACATATATATTTTTTAATACAGAGTCTCGCTCTGTTGTCAAGCTGGAGTGCAGTGGCACAATCTCGGCTCACTGCAACCTCCACTTCCCGGGTTCAAACAATTCTCCTGTCTCAGCCTCCTGAGTAGCTGAGACTACAGGTACACGCCACCATGCCCAGCTAATTTTTGTATTTTTAGTAGGGCCAGGGTTTCACCTTGTTGGCCAGGATGGTCTTGATCTCTTGACCTCGTGATCTGCCCACCTCGGCCTTCCAAAGTGCTGGGATTATAGGTGTAAGCCACTGTGCCAGGCCGAGAAATAGAAATTTTAAGGCCTTTTAGTTCATGTGACTTCAGTGATCTTTGGTAAATAAAGATGGTTTTAAAGATTATTAATAAAATCAAATAACATCTTCAAAATGTATGCATTTGGTCTAAATTAGTCAAAGGTTTTGCAAGGCTACATCAAGGATGCAGTTATATTATTGGGCCTAAGCCATAGGGTGAAAGATATGGCCCAGGTAGAGAGTGAGAGTGAAAAGAGGTCAGAACCTTGGGGACATCATCACTTAAGGAAGAGGAGCTTCCCAGGGACAATGAGGACCACTACATGGGAGGCAGGATGCTTCAAGGCACAGAATAGTTTGAATCATAAAAGGCTTCCTACCTCCAGGAAAAGGGAAGAGCAGTGTAGTTAATATTTAGATTTACTTTGCATTGCATTTAATGGAAAATAAAGGGGAAAAAAATGTATCTTGTTAGTCCTATATCATCTGTGCTGTGGTTAGAAAGATTAAAATAATAAGTCTTTTCAAGAAGTGGGGGGATAGCCCTAATTTTGGCAGGCCATAAGACATGTAGTGTCTTCTAGAACTAGGGGAAGAATTAAGGCCAACCAGCATCAAGAAAAATAAGCACCTTGTTTACTGGGTTTAGTATCTGAGTCGTTTTGATGCTTTAGTTGGAATAGAAACCAAATTGAAAAGTGCAATCGATGGCGAGGAAGTAAAGAGTATGGACATGATTCCTCTGAAAAGCTTGGTTATAAAGAAAAGGTGCAGGCCGGGTGTGGTGGCTCACGTCTGTAATCCCAGCATTTTGGGAGGCTGAGGTGGGCGGATCAACGAGGGCAGGAGTTTGAGACCAGCCTGACCAACATGGTGAATCCCCGTCTCTACTAAAAATACAAAAAATTAGCTGGGCATGGTGGCACGTGCCTATAATTCTAGCTACTCAGTAGGCTGAGGCAGGAGAATTGCTTGATTCTGAGAGGCGGAGGTTGCGGTGAGCTTAGATCGCACCATTGCACTCCAGCCTGGGTGACAGAGCAAGACTCTGTCTCCAAAAAAAAAAAAAAAAAAAAAAGGTGAGAATAATAGGATATTTTGAAAGTTTTTTTTTTCTTTTTTGAAGATTGGAGAGTCTTGACTGCATTCATATGTGTTTGAGGGGTAAGGTATGGGCATGGGAAATAGGAAAGAGGTTGAAGATGAAGTATGGACTTCTGGGAGACAGGAGATGATGGAATCTAGAGCAGGATACTCAAAGGATGATCCGCAAATGGGTGGCACTGGCATCACCTGGAAGCTTGTTAGCAATACAAAATTGTTAGACTTCATCACAGATACAGTGAATTAGAATCTGTGGGTGTAGGGCTTTAGCAATCACCAGGTGATTTGGATACATGCTCAAGTTTGAAAATCACTTGGCTAGAGCACAGGTGAAGGGAAAAACTTTGTATGGAAGCAGGAATGCTACTTCCACTGAGATATGAGAGAAGGATGTGAGGATAGATCTCTGGGGCAATTAATAGAGTTGTGAGTTGATTAATTTAATTTTCTCTGTGTGTGTGTGTATGTGTGAGAAATATTCAAAATAATAATGTCTTTTCAAGAGGTGGGGGGGATGGCCCTAATTGCGGCAGGCCATAAGACATGTAGTGTCTTCTAGAACTAGGGAAAGAATTAAGGCCAACAGCATCAAGAAAAATAAGAACTTTGTTTACTGGGTTTAGTACCTGAGTTATAATACAAAATTGTTAGACTTTATCCCAGATACAGTGAATTAGTATCTGTGAGAGTGGGGCTTTAGGAATGTACCAGGTGATTTTGATGCATGCTTAAGTTTGAGAATCACTTGGCTAGAGCACAGGTGAAGGGAGAAAATTTGTATGGAAAATCTGTATGGAAGCAGGAATGCCACTTCCACTGAGATATGAGATAAGAATGTAAGGTATGATCCTCTGCTGAGAATGAGGACTAGGAAGTGGTTTAAGAATATGCCTGAAGGTCTGCAAAAGCTGCCTTGGTCAATAGAAGGACATGCTTAAGTGAGCATGTTGGAGGCTCAGAGGAACATGGAGCTGAAGAATTGGGAGTCCAACATGCAGACTTTTTAATCTTCTGACAACTGAGAGGGCAGAGTTAATTTGATCTAGTAAGCGGATGTTTGAATTGTGGGTGCAACTGAATTGACTGATCATGGTTTAGGCTAGAAAGTTTCAGGTAATGTAGTCGGTAAGGGAAGGAAGCTGACTGACTGGAAACAAAAGGGGGAAGTGCCTGAAGGTACTAGTGAGGTCAAAGAAGAAAGGCAGTGGGAACTCTAGAGCACTAGAGCTGCAAAGATATTGGGTTTTGGTTGGAGAGTGAGATGCTGATGTGTAAGGTTTCAGAAGGGACCTCTTAGTCTCATTAAAATGCAAAGAAAGTATCCAGTAACAAAGGCAGAGTTCAAAACAAGGAAGAACTTGGAAGAACAGAGACAATTCAGAAGAGACTTTAAAACACAACTATAATCAATGAGAAATAAAAGCAGGTATCACATCTATGAAAGAACAAGATACTTAAACAAGGGAAGGATTAACAAGTAAACAACTCCTGAAAACTTAAAATATGAGAGCTCAGAATAAGTATTTAATAAAGGTTTGGGAAGGTAAAGGAGAAGAAATATCCCAGCAAGTATAACAAAAACATAAAAACATAGGCAATAGGAAAAGCAAAGATGTGAAAATAGAGGATTGAGTTTATATCAGTTACTTCATTAAACTTTCCTATTATTTATAGTAATTTGTCTTTAGATTAATTTGTCTTTAGATTCTATGGTGTAATCATGTCCTCTGTAAATGTTGACAGTTTTATGTCTTCCTTTCCAATCTTTTGGTTTCTTTTTCTTATCTCATTATGTTGGTAATGACCAAAATACAATGTTGAATAAAAGTGATGATAGTAGTCTCCTTGTCTTCATAATTTTAATGAGAATGCATCCCAACTTTCTCTTTTTGGAAGATGTGTTTCAGAATAAGAAAAATAGATACCCTTTATCAGGTTAAAGAAGTTCTCTTCTATTCCTGGTTTGTTTATTTATTTATTTTATTTATTTATTTGAGATGGAGTTTTGCTCTTGTTGCCTAGGCTGGAGTGCAATGGCATGATCTCGGCTCACTGCAACGTCTGCCTGCTGGGTTCAAGAGATTCTCCTGCCTCAGCCTCCCAAGTAGCTGGGATTACGGGCAGGCATCACCATACCCAGCTAATTTTGTATTTTTAGTAGAGATGGGGGTTTCACCATGTTGGCCAGGCTGATCTTGAACTCCTGACCTCCGGTGATCAGCCCACCTCAGCCTCCCAAAGTGCTGGGATTGCAGGTGTGAGCCACTGCACCTGGCCTTATTCCTGGTTTATTAATTGTTTTTTTCTTTAAGCCAGGGATGAGCAAACTACCACCCAATGGGCCAAATACAGTCTGCAACTTGTTTTTTTTTTTTGTATAGCCCATGAGCTAAGAATGATTTTTACATTTCATGTAAAATGTCACATAATATTTTGTGACATGTGAAAATTATATGAAATTCAAATTTAAGTCTCCATAAGTAAAGCTTTATTGGAACATAGCCATGTTCTTCATTCATTTATGTATTGTCTATGACTGCTTTTGTGCTATAAAGGCAGAGGTGAGTAGTTGTGATGGAGCCCATAGGGACCTACAAAGCCAAAGTAAACATTTGGCCCTTTATAGAAAAAGTTTACTGATTCTTGTTTTAAGTCAAAAATGGTATTGGGGGAAAGTTAGGTTCATGGATGTGCAGACCAAGAATAAGGGAAAGATCTCAGCCCTAACTCCTTCTTATACAGATTTTCAATAGGTCCATCTTTTTCAGGTTTACCCTCTTACCCTAGACTTTCTTAGTTTTTAGCTTTCCATTTCTAGAGATTTAGGGCTCTGTCTAAACAGTGGTTTTCCTTCTGTGTAGCATTTCTTTGGATGCACAATAGGTTCCACTTTCATCAGCTCCGCTTTTCACCAGTTTTCCAGAAAAGCATTACAGTCTGTTGCTGTTCCCTGTTCCCCTTGTCTGCCTGATTATTTATTTTCAGAGTCATTTTAGCAGTGTTTGGGGAGGGAGTTATACCTTTTATTCCTCAGGTATCACCACTCTTCTCTTCCTACCGCGAAACAGCACAGTGAAAGGGAGGAGATGGAGTGAAGAGACCGAGGGCAGGGAGAGGGAGGGGGGTGTGACGGGGTGGGGAAGTGAGGAGGAAGAGGGGGAAGAGCTACTGGGGAGGAGGAAGATGGGGGAGGAAGAGGATGATGGGGTGGGGTGGTTCAGGGAGTGAATAGGCCGGGTTGGGTGAGATGAGGCTGGGTGTATGTGCTTGAGAAGTCCGGGAGTGCGGAGGGGCAGAAAGGTAGACAGTGCGTGCGGGAAGAGGGGATGGGGGTGGGGAGGCGAGGGCGGTCAGTGGGTTGAGAGGAGTGGGGAGAAGATTTAGGGCGAGAGAGGTGCCATCGTGCTGGGGAAGGCGGGACTAGGAGAGGTAAAAGAATGGGGAGAGAAATGGGAGGGAGAGAAGGAAGCTGAGGGAGATTTGAGGAGAGAAGGCGCTTGAGGGGGAACCAGGAGGGGAGAAGGCTTGTGAGGGGGAAATGTGAGAGGAGAAGGGGCGCGAGGGGGAACCGCGAGGGGAGAAGGGGCGCGAGGGGGAACAGCGAGGGGAGAAGGGGTCCCGCCTCCTGGCCGCGCCGCCCTAGGTGTCGCCGCCTGGCGGTTACGAGGAGGCCGCCTCCTGCTTGCCGGCCTGGCGGTCCTACTCGACACCGCAAGATTTCAAAAGGGAAATTCCTCCAGGGCTGAGTCACAGGGAAGAAAGCGATTTCCTCCGCCTCTTCCAAAGCGGTAGGTTTCCTTCCTCCGCCTGCCTCTTAAATAACGTGGTATCTCGCAGTTTGGCTGAAACCTGAATTAAATGCAATGCTTTTTTGACTTTTACTTTCTCCCAGAACAACAGTTGTGATATGATCTGTTTTGGGGCCCTTCCTGCGCTCCGCCCTGGGCCAGAGTATGTAAAGCTCGTGGGTCTCTGTGTGTGTCTGAGCAGCTGCTCTGCCAAGACTCCACACAGTTGTGTGTGTGTCGGACCCAAGGCCTTGGTGGCATGGGCTCATGAGGGAATCTCCTGATCCACCAGTCGCAAAGATCCATGGGAGAAGCATGGTTTCCTGAGGTCGCACCATCACTCACTTCTTCCCTTGGCTGGGAGTGGGGGTTCCTTTGGCTCTGTGTCGCTCCCAGGGGGGCTGTCGCCCCATCCAGCTTTTCTTTGTTCTCTGTGGGTCAAGTTGTTTTCCTGATGAGTCCCAATGCAAGTACCTGGATATTTCAGTTGAAGATGCTGTATTCACTTGCCTCTTTTGTTCCTCTCTGTGAGTGCTGTGGACCATAGCTGTTTCTAATCAGCCATCTTGGCCTGGCAACCTACGGTAGTAAATCTTAACATTGGATAGTGTGATTCTTCCTACTTTACTATTCTTTTTTAATATTGTTTTAGCAATTTTTGTTCTTTTGACTTTACATATAGATTTTAGGACCAGTTTGTCTATATCTACAAAAGGAAGCTTTTGATAGGAAACGTGTTAAACCTATAGACCGATATGAAGAGAATTGACATCTTTGTTGTCTTCCAGTTAAATGACACTGCATGTCTCTCCGTTTGTTTAGATCTATTTTTATTTTTTCATCAGCATTTTGTAGTTTTCAGCCTGCTGATTCTGTACATATTTTGTTAGATTTATACTTAAATATTTAATTTTCTTTGGAGTGGTTGTAAATAGTACTGTGCTTCAATTTTGGCTTCCTACTTTTTATTGCTAGCATAGAGGAATACAATTGATTACTATTCTGTAACATTGCTAAAAATGTGTTTGAAGTTTCCTCGGAGTATTATCTCTGGATATAAGCTTCTGGGCTGATAGGTCTTATTTTTTAGCAGTTGAAAAATGTTGTGCTACTTTCTTCCTGTTTTGTGTTTTTTGGTGAGAAATCCACTGTAATTCTAATTGTTGTTCTCCTATAAATAATGCTTTTTCTTTCAGAATGTTTTCAAGATTTTTTTAAGTTTTCAGAAATTTGATTATGATGTATCTAAGCATGGATTTCTTTGCATTTATCATATTAGAAGTTGCTTTAGCTTTTTAAATTACACATTTATGTCTTTCATTAAGTTTGAGAAGTCTTCAATCATTATTTTGTTAAAAAGTTTTTTCAGACCAGCCTGGGCAACATGACAAAACACTGTCTCTACAAAAAAAATAAAAAAAATTAGCTGGTCATGGTGGCATGTGTCAGTGGTCCCAGCTACTCGGGAGGCTAAGGCAGGAGGATCACCTAAGCCTGGGAGTTTGAGGCTGCAGTGAGCTGTGATCATGCCACCGCACTCCAGCCTGTGTAACAGAGTGAGAGCCTGTCTCAATTTTTTTTTTTTTTTTAGCACCCTATGCCATCTCCTTCTGTAATTCCAGTCACAGGAATGTTAGACACTTTGTTATTGTCCCACAGATATTTGTTGCTCTGTTCGTTTTTTCTTTTCTTTCTTTCTTTTTTTTTTTATTATACTTTAAGTTCTGGGTTACATGTGCAGAATGTGCATTTTTCTTACATAGGTATACATGTGCCCTGGTGGTTTGTTGCACCCATCAACCTGTCACCTATATTAGGTATTTCTCCTAATGTTATCCCTCCCCTAACTCCCCACTCTCCGACAGGCCCCGGTGTGTGATGGTCCCCTCCCTGTGTCCGTATGTTCTCATTGTTCAACTCCCACTTATAAGCAAGAACATGCGGTGTTTGGTTTTCTGATCTTGTGATAGTTTGCTGAAAATGATGGTTTCCAGCTTTATCCATGTCCCTGCAAAGGACACAAACTCATCCTTTTTTATGGCTGCATAGTATTCCATGATATATATGTGCCACATTTTCTTAATCCAGTCTATCATTGATGGACATTTGGGTTGGTTCCAAGTCTTTGCTACTGTGAATAGTGCCACAATAAACATATGTGTGCATGTGTCTTTACTATAGAATGATTTATAATCATTTGGGTATATGCCCAGTATTGGGATTGCTGGGTCAAATGGTATTTCCAGTTCTAGATCCTTGAGGAATCGCCACACTGTCTTCCACAATGGTTGAACTAATTTACACTCCCACCAACAGTGTAAAAGCATTCCTATTTTTCCACAACCTCTCCAGCACCTGTTGTTTCCTGACTTTTTAATGATCGCCATTCTAACTGGTGTGAGATGGAATCTCATTGTGGTTTTGATTTGCATTTCTCTGGTGACCAGTGATGATGAGCATTTTTTTCATATGTCTGTTGGCTGCATAAATGTCTTCTTTTGAGAAGTGTCTGTTCATATCCTTTGCCCACTTTTTGATGGGTTTTTTCTTGTAAATTTAAGTTCTTTGTAGATTCTGGATATTAGCCCTTTGTCACATGGATAGACTGCAAAAATTTTCTCCCATTCTGTAGGTTGCCTGTTCACTCTGATGATACTTTCTTTTGCTGTGCAGAAGCTCTTTAGTTTAATTAGATCCCGTTTGTCAATTTTGGCTTTTGTTGCCATTGCTTTTAGTGTTTTGGACATGAAGTCTTTGCCCATGCCTCTGTCCTGAATGGTATTGCCCAGATTTTCTTCTAGGAGTTTTATGGTCCTAAGTCTTATGTTGAAGTTTTTGATCCATTTTGAGTTGATTTTTGTAAAAGGTGTAAGGAAGGGGCCCAGTTTCAGTTTTCTGCATATGGCTAGCCAGTTTTCCCAACACCATTTACTAAATCGGGAATCTTTTCCCCATTGCTTGTGTGTGTCAGGTTTGTCAAAGATCAGATGGTTGTAGCTGTGTGGTGTTATTTCTGACGCCTCCGTTCTGTTCCATTGGTCTATATATCTGTTTTGGTACCAGTACTGTGCTGTTTTGGGTACTGTAGTCTTGTAGTATAGTTTGAAATCAGGTAGCATGATACCTCTAGCTTTGTTCTTCTTGCCCAGGATTGTCTTGGCTATGCAGGCTCTTTTTTGGTTCCATATGAAGTTTAAAGTAGTTTTTTCCAATTCTGTGAAGAAAGTCAGTGGTAGCTTCATGGGAATAGCATTGAATTTATAAATTACTTTGGGCTGTGTGGCCATTTTCGTGATATTGATTCTTCCTATCCATGAGCATGGAATGTTTGTCCATTTGTTTGTGTCCTCTCTTATTTCCTTGAGCAGTGGTTTGTAGTTCTACTTGAAGAGGTCCTTCACATCCCTTGTAAGTTGTATTCCTAGGTATTTTATTCTCTTAGTAGCAATTGTGAATGGGAGTTCACTCATGATTTGGCTCTCTGTCTATTATTGGTGTACAGGAATGCTTGTGATTTTTGCACATTGATTTTGTATCCTGAGACTTTGCTGAAGTTGCTTATCAGCTTAAGGAGGTTTTGGGCTGAGACGATGGGGTTTTCTAAATATACAATCATGTCTTCTGCAAACAGAGACAATTTGATTTCCTCTCTTCCTATTTGAATACTCTTTATTGCTTTCTCTTGCCTGATTGCCCTGGCCAGAACTTCCAATACTATGTTGAATAGGAGTGGTGAGAGAGGGCATCTTTGTCTTGTGCCGGTTTTCAAAGGGAATGCTTCCAGTTTTTGCCCATTCAGTATGATATTGGCTGTGGGTTTGTCATAAATAGCTCTTGTTATTTTGAGATATGTTCCGTCGATACCTAGTTTATTGAGAGTTTTTGGCATGAAAGGGTGTTGAATTTTATCAAAGGCCTTTTCTGTATCTATTGAGATAATCATGTGGTTTTTGTTATTGGTTCTGTTTATGTGATGGATTACATTTATTGATTTGCGTATGTTGAACCAGCCTCGCATCCCAGGGATGAAGCCAACTTGATCGTGGTAGATAAGCTTTTTTATGTGCTAGTGGATTCGGTTTGCCAGTATTTTATTGAGGATTTTCACATTGATGTTCATCAGGGATATTGGCCTGAAATTTTCCTTTTTTGTTGTGTCTCTGCCAGGTTTTGGTATCAGGATGATGCTGGCCTCATAAAATGAGTTAGGGAGGAGTCCCTATTTTTCTATTGTTTGGAATAGTTTCAGAAGGTATGGTACCAGTTCCTCTTTGTACCTCTGGTAGAATTCGCCTGTGAATCCATCTGCTCCTGGGTTTTTTTTTGGGGTAGTAGGCTATTAATTACTGCCTCAATTTCAGAAATTGTTATTGCTTTATTCAGGGATTCGACTTCTTCCTGGCTTAGACTTGGGAGGGTGTATGTGTCCAGGAATTTATCCATTTCTTCTAGATTTTCTAGTTTATTTGCATAGAGGTGTTTATAGTATTCTCTGATGGTAGTTTGTATTTGTATGGGATCAGTGGTGATATCCCCTATATCATTTTTTATTGCATCTATTTGATTCTTCTCTCTT
Source organism: Homo sapiens (assembly GCF_000001405.40). Lineage (NCBI taxonomy): Eukaryota > Metazoa > Chordata > Mammalia > Primates > Hominidae > Homo > Homo sapiens. The sequence goes on from NT_113891.3 coordinate 3,698,402, forward strand.
TTCTTCTTTATTAGTCTGGCTAGTGGTCTATTTTGTTGATTTTTTCAAAAAATCAGCTCCTGGATTCATTGATTTTTTTGAAGGTTTTTTTGTGTCTCTATCTCCTTCAGTTCTGCTCTGATCTTAGTTATTTCATGTCTTCTGCTAGCTTTTGAATTTATTTGCTGTTGCTTCTCTAGTTCTTTTAATTTCGATGTTAGGGCATCAATTTTAGAACTTTCCTGATTTCTCTTGTGGGCATTTAGTGCTATAAATTTCCCTCTAAACACCGCTTTAAATGTGTCCCAGAGATTCTGGTACATTGTGTCTTCATTTTCATTGGTTTCAAAGAACATTTTTAGTTCTGCCTTCATTTCATTATTTACCCAGTAGTCATTCAGGAACAGGTTGTTCAGTTTCCATTTATTTGTGCAGTTTTGAGTGAGTTTCTTAATCCTGAATTCTAATTTGGTTGCACTGTGGTCTGAGAGACTGTTTGTTATGGTTTCCATTATTTCGCATTTGCTGAGGAGTGTTTTACTTCTGATTATGTGGTCAATTTTAGAATAAGTGCAATGAGGTGCTGAGAAGAATGTATAGTCTGTTGATTTGAGGTGGGGAGTTCTGTAGATGTCTGTTAGGTCTGCTTGGTCCAGAGCTGAGTTCAAGTCCTGAATATCTTTATTTTCTGTCTCATTGATCTGTCTAATATTGACAGTGGGGTGTTAAAGTCTCCCACTATTATTGTTTGGGAGTCTGGGTCTCTAAGAACTTGCTTTATGAATCTGGGTGCTCCTGTATTGGGTGCATATATATTTAGGATAGTTAGCTCTTCTTGCTGCATTGTTCCCTTTACCATTATGTAATGCCCTTCTTTGTCTCTTTTGATTTTTATTGATTTAAAGTCTGTTTTATCAGAGATTAGGATTGCAACTCCTGCTTTTTTTTTGCTTTCCATTTGCTTGGTAAATATTCCCCCATCCCTTTATTTTGAGCCTATGTTTGTCTTTGCACATGAGATGGGTCTTCTGAATACAGCATACTGATGGGTCTTGACTCTTTATCCAATTTGCCAGTCTGTGTCTTTTAATTGGGGCATTTAGCCCATTTACATTAAGGTTAATATTGTTATGTGTGAATTTGATCCTGTCATTATGATGCTAGCTGGTTGTTTTGCCCATTAGTTAATGCAGTTTCTTCATTGTGTCAATGTTCTTTACAATTTGGTATGTTTTTGCAGTGGCTGGTACCAGTTGTTCCTTTCCATGTTTAGTGCTTCCCTCTGGAGCTCTCGTAAGGCAGGTCTGGTGGTGACAAAATCCCTCAGCATTTGCTTGTCTGTAAAGGATTTTATTTCTCCTTCCCTTATGAAGCTTAGTGTGGCTGGATATGAAATTCTGGGTTGAAAATTCTTTTCTTTCAGAACGTTGGATATTGGCCCCCACTCTCTTCTGTCTTATAGGGTTTCTGCAGAGAGTTCGGCTGATAGTCTGACGAGCTTCCCTTTGTGGGTAACCCGACCTTTCTCTCTGGCTGCCCTTAACATTTTCTCTTTCATTTCAACCTTGGTGAATCCGATGATTATGTGTCTTGGGGTTGCTCGTCTTGAGGATTATCTTTGTGGTGTTCTCTGTATTTCCTGAATTTGAATGTTGGCCTGTGTTGCTAAGTTGGAGAAGTTCTCCTGGATAATATCCTAAAGAGTGTTTTCCAACTTGATTCCATTCTCCCCGTCACTTTGAGGTACACCAATCAAACGTAGATTTGGTCTTTTCACATAGTCCCATATTTCTTTTTTTTTTTGAGATGGAGTCTCGCTCTGTCACCGAGGTTGGAGTGCAGTGGTGTGATCTCGGCTCACTGCAAGCTCCACCTTCTGGGTTCACGCCATTCTCCTGCCTCAGCCTCCCAAATAGCTGGGACTACAGGCGCCCACCCCCACGCCCAGCTAATTTTTTGTATTTTTAGTAGAGACAGGGTTTCACCATGTTAGCCAGGATGGTCTCGATCTCCTGACCTCGTGATCCACCCACCTCAGCCTCCCAAAGTGCTGGGATTACAGGTGTGACCCACCGCGCCCTGGCAAGTCCCATATTTCTTGGAGGCTTTGTTCGTTCCTTTTTATTCTTTTTTATCTAATCTTGTCTTCTCTCTTTATTTCATTAAGTTGATCATTAAGTTGATCTTCAATCACTGCTTCATCAGTTTGGCTATTGATACTTGTGTATTCTTCATGAAGTTTTTTGCTTTGTTTTTCAGCTCCATTAGGTCATTTATGTTCTTCTCTACATTGGTTATTCTAGTTAATTTGATTAACCTTTTTTTAAGGTTTTTAGCTTCTTTGCATTGGGTTAGAACATGCTTCTTGAGCTTGTAGTTTTTTGTTATTACCCACCTTCTGAAGCCTACTTCTGTCAGTTCATCAAACTCATTCTCTGTCCAGTTTTGTTCCCTTGCTGGCAAAGAGCTGTGATCATTTGGAGGAGGAGAGGCATTCTGGTTTTTGGAAGTTTCAACCTTTTCATGCTACTTTTTTCCCATCTTTGTGGATTTATCTACCTTTGGTCTTTGATGTTGGTGACCTTCGGATGGGGTCTATGAGTGGACATGCTAATCCTTTCTGTTTCTTTTCCTTCTAACAGGCCCCTTTGGTGCCAGTCTGCTGGAGTTTGCTGGAGGTCCACTCCTGACCCTGTTTGCCTGGGTATCACCAGCAGAGGCTGCAAAGCAGCAAAGATTGCTGCCTGTTCTTTCTTCTAGAAGCTTCGACCCAGTGGGGCACCTGTCAGATGCCAGCCAGAGCTCTCCTGTATCAGGTGTCTGTCGGTCCAAGCTAGAAGGTATCTCCCAGTCAGTATACACGGGGATCAGGGACCCACTTGAGGAGGCAGACTGACCCTTAGCAGAGCTTGAATACTGTGCTGGGAGGTCTACTGCTCTCTTCAGAGCCATCAGGCAGGGACGTTTAAGTCTGCTATAAGCCCCTGACTGGGGTTGCTGCCTTTTTTACAGAGATGCCCTGTCCAGAGAGGGGCAATCTGGCAGTCTGGCCACAGCAGCCTTGCTGAGCTGCAGTGGGCTCTGCCCAGTTTGAACTTCCCAGCAGCTTTGTTTATACTGTGGCCATAAAACCATCTACTCAAGCCTCAGCAATGGTGGACGTCTCTTCCACCACCAAGCTCAATCATCCCAGGTGAATCTCAGATTGCTGCTGTGCTGGCAGCAAGAATTTCAAGCCAGTGGATCTTAGTTTCCTGGGCTCCATGGGCGTGGGACCAGCCAAGCCAGACCACTTGGCTCCCTGGCTTCAGCCCCTCTTTCCAGGGGAGTGAACGGTTGTGTCTCGCTGGTGTTCCAGGCGCCACTGGGGTATGGAAAAAGAAAAAAAGCTCCTACAGCTAGTTCAGTGTCTGCCCAATTGGCCACCCAGTTTTGTGCTTGAAACCCAGGGCCCTGGTGGGGTAGTCACTGGAGGGAATCTCCTGGTTTGTGGGTTTCGAAGACTGTGGGACAAGTGCAGTATCTGTGCTGGAGTTCCTCAGGCTCAGACCCTCATGGCTTCCCTCGGGTAGAGGGGAAAATTCCCCGACCCCTTGCACTTCCCAGGTGAGGTGATGCCCCACCCTGCTTCGGCTTGCCCTCCGTGGGCTGCACCCACTATCCAACCAGTCCCAGTGAGATGAACCGTGTGCCTCAGTTGGAAATGCAGAAATCACCCACCTTCTGCCTCGATCTTGCTGGGAGCTGCAGACTGGTGCTGTTCCTATTCGGCCATCTTGAATCTTGCCTGTTCATTTTTTATTTTTTCTTTCAGTGTATTTTCCTCTCAGTTCAGGCTGGAAAATTTCAATTGCTCTATCTTTGAGTTCACTGATTGTTTCTTTTGTCATATTCATTCTGTTATTGAATCCATCCAGTGAGTTTTCATTTTGGTTATTTTATTTTCCAGCTATAAAATTTCCATTTGCTTCTTTCTTTCTTTTTTTTTTTTAGAAATGTTCATCTTTTTATTTTAAGTTCCGGGGTACATATACAGGATGTGCAGGTTTGTTACATAGGTAAACATGTGCCATGGGTAGTGTTCATCTATAGCTCTATCAATGCTTCTTGTCTTTAAGTCTACCTTGTTTGAGAGCTATGTCAGCATTCTTTTTTTTTTTAATTATACTTTAAGTTCTAGGATATATATGCACAATGTGCAGGTTAGTTACATGTCTATACATGTGCCATGTTGGTGTGCTGCACCCATTAACTCGTCATTTAACATTAGGTATATCTCCTAATGCTATCCCTCCCCCCTCCGCCAACCCCACAACAGGCCCTGGTGTGTGATGTTCCCTTTCCTGTGTCCATGTGTTCTCATTGTTCAATTCCCACCTATGAGTGAGAACATGTGGTGTTTGGTTTTTTGTCCTTGCGATAGTTTGCTGAGAATGATGGTTTCCAGCTTCATCCATGTCCCTACAAAGGACATGAACTCATCATTTTTTATGGCTGCATAGTATTCCATGGTGTATATGTGCCACATTTTCTTAATCCAGTCTATCATTGTTGGACATTTGGGTTGGTTCCAAGTCTTTGCTATTGTGAATAGTGCCACAATAAACATACGTGTGCATGTGTCTTTATAGCAGCACGTTTTATAATCCTTTGGGTATATACCCAGTAATGGGATGGCTGGGTCAAATGGTATTTCTAGTTCTAGATCCCTGAGGAATCGCCACACTGACTTCCACAATGGTTGAGCTAGTTTACAGTCCCACCAACAGTGTAAAAGTGTTCCTATTTCTCCACATCCTCTCCAGCACCTGTTGTTTCCTGACTTTTTAATGATTGCCATTCTAACTAGTGTGAGATGGAATCTCATTGTGGTTTTGATTTGCATTTCTCCGATGGCCAGTGATGATGAGCATTTTTTCATGTGTCTTTTGGCTGTGTAAATGTCTTCTTTTGAGAAGTGTCTGTTCATATCCTTCGCCCACTTGTTGATGGGGTTGTTTGTTTTTTTCTCGTAAATTTGTTTGAGTTCATTGTAGATTCTGGATATTAGCCCTTTGTCAGATGAGTAGATGCAAAAATTTTCTCCCATTCTGTAGGTTGCCTGTTCACTCTGATGGTAGTTTCTTTTGCTGTGCAGAAGCTCTTTAGTTTAATTAGATCCCATTTGTCAATTTTGGCATTTGTTGCCATTGCTTTTGGTGTTTTAGACATGAAGTCCTTGCCCATGCCTATGCCCTGAATGGTGTTGCCTAGGTTTTCTTCTAGGGTTTTTATGGTTTTAGGTCTAACATTTAAGAGGATACAAACAAATGGAAGAACATTCCATGCTCATGGGTAGGAAGAATCAATATCTTGAAAATGGCCATACTGCCCAAGGTAATTTATAGATTCAATGCCATCCCCATCAAGCTACCAATGACTTTCTTCACAGAATTGGAAAAAACTACTTTAAAGTTCATATGGAACCAAAAAAGAGCCCACATTGCCAAGTCAGTCCTAAGCCAAAAGAACAAAGCTGGAGGCATCACGCTACCTGACTTCAAACTATACTACAAGGCTACAGTAACCAAAACAGCATGGTACTGGTACCAAAACAGAGATATAGACCCTCAGAAATAATGCCACGTATCTACAACTATCTGATCTTTGACAAACCTGACAAAAACAAGAAATGGGGAAAGGATTCCCTATTTAGTAAATGGTGCTGGGAAAACTGGCTAGCCATATGTAGAAAGCTGAAAATGGATCCCTTCCTTACACCTTATACAAAGATTAATTCAAGATGGATTAAAGACTTAAATGCTTCTTTCTTATATTTTATATTTGTTGCTAAGATGTTCCATTAAAAATAATTTCGAAGTTATTCATAATTGCTTGTTGGAACATTTTTAATGATAGCTGCTGCAAAATACTTGTGAGATAATTGCAATACCTGTGTCATCTTGGTGTTGACACTGTTTGAATTTTCTTATTTAGATTTTTGTGGTTCTTGATAATGACAGGTGATTTTTTGTTTATATGTTGGACATTTTGAATATGGTGCATTGAGGCCTGGTTTCTATTTAACGTTTCTGTTTTAGTAGGCAGTCAACTTGTTTAGGTTCAGAACACATGTCTTGACCCATGTTTATGGGCCATCATGCAAATGTTAATTTAGTGTTCAAAGTCTTTATGGTGCTATTCTGGCTTGTCCTACTTGTGTGCTACTTAGAGGTCAATCTGAAGCCTGGTGATGTTTCACATCACTGTTAAGTTCTCAGGTTTTGTAGATGTCATTTCTGATCAGTTTTTAAAAATTTTTTTAAATTATTTATTTATTTTTGAGACAGAGTCTTGCTCTGTTGCCCAGACTGGAGTGCAGTGGCACGATCTTGGCTCACTGCAACCTCTGCCTCCTGGATTCAAGTGATTTTGCTTCCTCAGCCTCCCGAGTAGCTGGGACTACAGGTGTGCACCACCACACCTGGCTAATTTTTGTATTTTTAGTAGAGATGGGGTTTCACCATGTTAGCCAGGATGGTCTTGATCTCCTGACCTCGTGATCCACCTGCCTTGGCCTCCCAAAGTGCTGGGATTACAGGCATGAGCCACCACTCCTGGCCTATTTATTTATTTATTTATTTTGAGACTGAGTGCAAAAGTGTGTCGCCCAGGTTGGAGTGCAATGGCGCTATATCGGCTCACTGCAACCTCCACCTTCTGGATTCAAGTGATTCTCATGCCTCAGCCTCCCAAGTAGCTGGGACTACAGGTGTGTGCCACCATGCCCAGCCTCTGATTAGTTTCTTACATGTACTGCTCACAAGAATTTCATACACAGATTCAGAATATTCCTTTCTCTTTTTTCTGTAATCTTACCAGCCCCACATACTTTAGTTGGGATAGAGAAGAAACTGCCTTGTGATTGCAGGGCAGGGGTTCTGCACCCTGTCTCTACAGCTGCTGCACCAGATACCTTTTGATTCAGAAATTACTTTTTTGGAAATTTAACTTCAGGAAAAATTTAGATAAATGTGTAAAGAGACATACATTTACTGTAGTGTTGGTTTAAATGAAAAGATAAAGTCCACCTACAGGGGAGTGTTTAAATAAATTATGCACTGATTAAATATTATATAGATACATATTATTATGGAAAAATTTTCATGGTATATTGAGTGAAAAGATGCAGGTATGTAAGTTTGAAATCTACTTGGAAAAATGAAGTATCTATCTGTATGTATACTCAGGCATTGAAGAAAGTTAGTGATTTAACTTAAATGTTAATAGCAGAGTCATTTTAAGGGATGAGGATGGTTATAGTAATTTTCACTTCCCTCTTTTTTTTTTTTTACATTTTTTAGTATTGTCTGTTTTTAAATGACCATGCCTTGCTTTGTATTCAAAATAAATTACAAACTCTAATTTGAACAAATCAGATCTAGTCACTTGTCTGATGACCAGTACAGTTTTAATCTTAATAAGTCTTCTATTGCCAGTCATTTGATTCTTGTATCTTATGCTGTCCTGCCTGAGAGTAGTCCTACCAAAACCAGTTTTATCTGAGGTTTTTCTTTTCCCTTTTTTTTTTTTTTTTTTTTAGAATTGCTTTCCTGTAGAGGAGAAGGATTGAGACATGACCTTTGGTGAAACTGAAGCTATAACTTGAATAATATTCGTTAATCTGGGGAGAATAAAATTTTGAAAGAAGAAATTTAATTTTGATGCTCTTCTTTAAAACCAAGGGCTCCACATTGTCTGTAAGATAAATAATTAAAGCTTTATTTACTATGGCATTCAAGGGACTTCTCAATTGGGCCCCAATCTACTTTTCTGATATCATTTCTGATACTACTTTTCACTTATAGTCCGGCAAGGCCTGTCCACTCACTCTCGTTAGACCCTTCATGCTGTCCTACCTCTGGGCATTGGCTCATATTCACTCCTTGGAATAGACTTGATTTCACCTTTTAAAATCCACTTTTATTTGCTTCATCTAACTTATGACTTCTTCAAAGCAGATCAAATATCATCTTTTTGTGAAGTATCCCAGCACTCTATTAGGGTGAAATTATCATTCCTCCTGTAATATTTTGTTCCTAAGCTGTTTGTTACTGTATATGATAGTTGTTTAGTTTTTTCCTCTTAAGACTGAGATTCTTTCAGTAAGTTTTGAATGATTTTCATGAACCAGCTAAGCTTAACTCTGGAGAAACAAAGACGAAAAACATCTGGTTTCTCACCTCCAGGTGCACAGAATCTAGTAAAGCGGGTAAACGTATAAACAGAGAATAATTGAGGTATATAAAAGTGATTTGGGAACTGTGTGGAGGGCAGTCTCCCTTAGTAGGTGTTTAGGAAGACTTTACAAATGAGATGACATTTGACCTGAATCGCAAATAAGTAGGAGCTTGTCAGATGGATAAAAGGTAGAATGTGAGTCCTTTTAACACCTAGTCAAAAGTGATTGGATGGTGGTTAGTTTTAATGTAATTTTTCTTATTTAGTGTATGAAGATGTCCATAAGTTACAAAGCAGTGTGGTTTCATCAGAATTGCCACTGGACCACAGGGTACTTCATATGATAAAGAAGATGTTTCTTTCCACAGTCATTCAGTCCACCATTGAATAGATCTGAAAGGTGTAAAGTTCACTGATATGCATCTGATTTCTTTTTTTCTTTTTTTTTTTTGAGACAGAGTCTTGCTCTGTCACCCAGGCTGGAGTGCAGTGGTGTGGTCTCGGCTCACTGCAAGCTCCACCTCCCAGGCTCACGCCATTCTCCTGCCTCAGCCTGTCATGTAGCTGGGACTACAGGTGCTTGCCACCATGCCTGGCTAATTTTTTTTTTTTTTTTTTTTTTGTATTTTTAGTAGAGATGGGGTTTTGCTGTGTTAGTCAGGATGGTCTCGATCTCCTGACCTCGTGATCCGCCTGCCTTGGCCTCCCAAAGTGCTGGGATTCCAGGCGTGAGCCACCCCACCCGGCCATTTTTTTCTTTTCAACTTTTCTTAGGCTGGACAGACACATTTCAGTGATTGGCAAAGCACCTCATTAAACTTGGCTGCTATAATTTTTCTTCTTTTTTCATCTCATTTTCTATTCTCTCATTTTATTTTTGCCTTTGTTTAATCTACTCTTTGTTGGTTTGGAAGTTCCTTCTGTTTTTAGCTGATAAAAATCTACGACTAATCTCAGATAATTTTATTATTTTTCGTTAGTCATTTTGCTATTCAGGGGTGTTTTCTTTTTTTAAAAAAATAGACTTAATAGACTTAAATAGATAGTTATTATTTGGAATGGACTACATCCAAACAATTATGAGGAACAATTGTGAGGAACTCAGTTCCAGAAACTTTTGTATCCAGTAACTGATAAATAGATAAGTAATGTACTAATGGAAAAAACTCGATCAAATAATAAACCAAAGTCAATCTTTTTTTTTTTTTTCCCCTAAGATGGAGTCTTGCTCTCTTGCCCAGGCTGGAGTGCAATGGTGTGATCTTGGCTCACTGCAACCTCTGCCTCCTGGGTTCGAACAATTCTTCTGCCTCAGCCTCCCAAGTAGCTGGGATTACAGGCGTGCACCACCACACCCATCTAATTTTTGTATTTTAGTAGAGATGGGGTTTCACCATGTTGGCCAGGCTGGTCTCGAACTCCTGATCTTGTGATCTGCCCACCTTGGCCTCCCAAAGTGCTGGGATCACAGGCGTGAGACACTGTGCCCTGCCAAAAAATTTTTTTTTTTGAGACAGAGTCTCGCTCTGTCATCCAGGCTGGAGTGCAGTGGTGCGATCTCAGCTCACTGCAAGCTCAACCTCCCGGGTTCACGCCATTCTCCTGCCTCAGCCTCCTGAGTAGCTGGGACCAAAGACCCCTGCCACCACACCCGGCTAATTTTTTTGTATGTTTAGTAGAGACAAGGTTTCACCGTGTTAGCCAGGATGATCTCAATCTCTTGACCTTGTGATCCGCCCATCTCGGCCTCCCAAAGTGCTGGGATTACAGGCGTGAGCCACTGCACCCAGCCCAAAGTCAATGTTTTGACCAAGAGCAAGGCTACCACTTGTTATTATTAATTAATTAATTAATTAATTTTTGAGACAGGGTCTTACTATATTGCCTAGGCTGGCTTCAAACTCCCAGGCTCAAGTGATCCTCCTGCCCTGCCTCCTGAGTAGCTGGAATTACAGGTGCGTGGCGCCATGCCTTACTATTTATTTCTAAACACATTGCAGAACATGGAATTTAGGGAGGACAAATTTTGATGAATCAAATAGGTACAGTGATATGGGTAGAAGATTGGTTTACTTTATCATAATTCCTTAAATACATATTGTGTACTTGATTAATGAAATGTTAAAAATAAATGCTTAGATATCATTTGACATTAAATAACTCAATCACTAAGCATGAACTCCATATTTAAAAACTTTATAAAATTTTCAGAGCTCACACAGACAAAATTCCTTATTGTCATGATCACTACATATAAGTTTGAGTTCTTTCTTACTTTTTTTTTTTGAGACAGAGTTTCGCTCTTGTCGCCCAGGCTGGAGTGCAATGGCATGACTTCGACTCACTGCAACCTCTGTCTCCTGAGTTCAAGCGATTCTTCTGCCTCAGCCTCCCGAAGTAGCTGGGATTACAGGTGCCCGCCACCACACCCAGCTAATTTTTTTGTATTTTTAGTTGAGATGGGGTTTTACCATATTGGCCAGACTGGTCTGAACTCCTTATCTCAGGTGATCCACCTTATCTCAGGCGCCCCCCGCGATGCGAGGAGTAAGAGCCAGCCCCTCTTCCCTCGGGCCTCCCAAAGTGCTGGGACTACAGGCATGAGCCACAAAGCCCAGCCCTTTCTTACTCTTCATTACATTGTTGAGTATAGTATTAACTATCCTATCAACTGACATTTATATTGCCATTTAATCCAGTTTGATAATTTTTGTTTTTAAAATGTGGCATTTCTTGTCCAACAGGAAAATATCACAATCCTAAATATATATGCACCTAACACTGGCGCTCCCAAATTTATAAAACAATTACTACTAGACCTAAGAAATGATATATACAGCAACACAATACTAGTGGGGGACTTTAATACGCCACTGACAGCACTAGACAGATCATTAAGACAGAAAGCCAACAAAAAAACAATGAATTTAAACTATGCCCTGGAACAAATAGACTTAACAGATATATACAGAACATTTTACCCAACAACTGCAGAATATACGTTCAATTCTTCAGCACATGGAACTTTCTCCAGGATAGACCACATGATAGAGCACCAAACAAGTCTCAATAAATTTAAGAACACTGAAATTATGTTAAGCACTGTCTCAGACCACAGTGAAATAAAACTGGAAATCAGCTCCAAAAGGAACCTTTAAAACCACGCAAATACATGGAAATTAAATAACCTGCTCCTGAATGATCATTGGGTCAACAATGAAATCAAGATGAAAATTAAAAAATTATTCAAGCTGAATAACAATAGTGACATGACCTACAAAAACCTCTGGGATACAGCAAAGGCGGTGCTAAGAGGAAAGTTCTTAGCCCTATATGCCTACATCAGAAAGTCTGAAAGAGCACAAATAGACAATCTAAGGTCACACCTCAAGGAACTAGAGAAACAAGAACCAAGCCCAAAGCCAGCAGAAGAAAGGAAATAACCCAGATCAGAGCAGAACTAAATGAAATTGAAACAAAAAAATACAGAAGTGAAACAAAAAGCTGGTTCTTTGAAAAGATAAATAAACTTGATAGACCATTGGCAAGATTAACCAAGAAGAGAGAAAATCCAAAGAAGCTCAAGTAGAAATGAAATGGGAGATAGTACAACTGACACCACAGAAATACAAAAGATCATTTGAGGCTACTATGAACACCTTTATGTGCATAAACTAGAAAACTTGGAGGAGATCGATACATTCCTGGGAAGAGAAAACCCTCCTACCTTAAATCAGGAAGAATTAGATACCCTGAACAGACCAATAACAAGCAGCAAGATTGAAATGGTAATAAAAAAATTACAAAAAAAAAAGTCCAGGGCCAGACGGATTCACAACTGAGTTCTACCAGACATTCAAAGAAGAATTGGTACCAATCCTATTGACACTATTCCACAAGATAGAGAAAGAAGGAATCCTCCCTAAATCATTTTATGAAGCCAGTATCATCCTAATACCAAAGCCAGGAAAGAACAAAAGAACATAACAACAACAAAAAAGAAAACTGAAGACCAATATCCCTGATGAACATAGATGCAAAAATCCTTAACAAGATACCAGCTAACCAAATCCAACAACATATCAAAAAGATAATCCACCATGAACAAGTGGGTTTCATAGCAGGGATGCAGGGATGGTCTAACATATGCACGTCAATAAATGTAATACACCACATAAACAATTAAAAACAAAAATCACATGATCATCTCAATAGACACAGAAAAAGCATTTGACAAAATGCAGCATCCTTTTATGATTAAAACTCTCAGCAAAATCAGCCTACAAGGGACATACCTCAATGTAATAAAAACCATGTATGATAAACGCACAGCCAACATAATACTGAATGGGGAAAAGTTGAAAGCATTCCCTCTGAGAATTGGAACAAGACAAGGATGCCCACTTTCACCACTTCAACATAGTACTGGAAGTCCTAGCCAGAGCAATCAGACAAGAGAAAGAATAAAGGCATCCAAGTTGGTAAAGAGGAAGTCAAACTGTCACTGTTTGCTGATGATATGATTGTATACCTGGAAAACCCAGAAGACTCCTCCAAGAAGCTCCTAGAACTGATAAAATAATTCAGCAAATTTCCTGGATACAAAATTAATGTACACAAATCAGTAGCTCTCCTGTACACCAGCAGTGACCAAGCTGAGAATCAAATCAAGAACTCAACCACTTTTTACAATAGCTGCAACAAACAAACAAACAAACAAATCACACAATCAAAAAAACTTAGGAATATAACCTAACCAAGGAGGTGAAAGACCTCTACAAGGAAAACTACAAAACACTGCTGAAAACAATCATAGATGACACAAACAAATGGAAACACACCCCATGCTCATGGATGGGTAGAATCAATATTGTGAAAATGACCATACTGCCAAAAGCAATCTACAAATTCAATGCAATTCCCATATAAATACCAGCATCATTCTTCACAGAACTAGAAAAAAAAATCCTAAAATTCATATGGAACCAAAGAAGAGCCCAAATAGCCAAAGCAAGGCTAAGGGAAAAGAACAAATCTGGAGGCATCACATTACCTGATTTCAAACTATACTGTAAGGCCATAGTCACCAAAACAGGATAGTACTGGTATAAAAATAGGGACAAAGACCAATGGAACAGAATAGAGAACCCAGAAATAAACCCAAATACTTACAGCCAGCTGATCTTTGACAAAGAAAACAAAAACATAAAGTGGGTAAAGGACACCCTATTCAACAAATGATGCTAGGATAATTGGCAAGCCACATGTAGGAGAATGAAACTGGATCCTCATCTCTCACCTTATACAAAAATCAACTCAAGAAGGACTAAGGACTTAAATCTAAGACCTGAAACTATAAAAATTCTAGAAGGTAACATTGGAAAAACCCTTGTAGACATTGGCTTAGGCAAGGATTTCATGACCAAGAACCAAAAGCAAATGCAATAAAAACAAAGATAAATAGCTGGGACTTAATTTAAGAGCTTTTGCATGGCAAAGGGAATAGTCAGCAGAGTAAACAGACAACCCACAGAGTGGGAGAAAATCTTCACAATCTATACATCTGACAAAGGACTAATATCCAGAATCTACAACAAACTCAAGCAAATTAGCAAGAAAGAAAGAAACAATCTCATCAAAAATTGAGCTAAGGACATGAACAGACAATTCTCAAAAGAAGATATACAAATGGCCAACAAACATATGAAGAAATGCTCAGCATCACTAAGGATCAGGGAAATGCAAATCAAAACCACAATGTGATACCACCTTACTCCTGCTTCTCTGAATCAGGGTTTTTCTAAAGAAATCTTTCAGAATCAGCAAAAGTGGGGATGACCCAGGCATCTTGATTTGCAAAGTCACAAAACTAAGTTGTCAATTATCACTGTAGATGAGCAACTCATCTTTTTAAAGTATAGTTACTGAACTGATTCTGAGAAATCTTTAGAGAGAAAAAACTCAACAGTACAAATTAACTAATTGGGAAAGTTAGAATGTCCTTTCTGAATTTTTCATTAAAAAATTACATTATCTGAAATAACATACAGCTACTAAACTGCTTTGTATTCTATTAAGAAATAGCTCCTAAAGATGTAGTCTTGTTTCATAGTTGTAAGCCCAATTCTTCTCTGTATAGAAAGGAAACATTGTGTACTTAATGAATTATTTATACAGAGCATTTGTTGCCAACTGTTGTTCCAGCTATCTACACAGGAGTCTGTTCTGAGGTGGCAATAGCACATGGGAAGATGAACTTTCCCTGTTTGTTTACCCGTTTTTCTTTGGCTGTATCTGATGACAGTATAAGATGTTCTTAATAAAGTTTTATGTTCTTTTTGAAAAAAAAATCAGAAAATAATAGAGGTTGGCATAGATGCGGTGAACAGGGAACACTTCTACACTGCTGGTGGGAATGTAAACTAGTACAACCACTATAGAAAACAGTTTGGAGATTCCTTAAAGAACTAGAAGTAGAACTACCATTCAATCGAGCAATGCCACTAGTGGGTATCTACCCAGAGCAAAAGAAGTCATTATACAAAAAAGATACTTGCACATGCATGTTTATAGCAGCACAAGTTACAACTGCAAAAATGTGGAACCAACCCAAATACCCATCAGTCAACGAATAGACAAGGAAACTATGGCATATATATATGGTGGAATACTACTCAGCCATAAAAAGGAATGAATTAATGGCATTTGCAGCAGTCTGGATGGGATTGGACACTATTCTAAGTGAAGTAACTCAGGAATGGAAAACCAAACATCATATGTTCTCACTCATAAGTGGGAGCTAAACTATGAGGATGCAAAGCCATAAGAATGATATTGGGGACTCAGTGGGAAAGGGTGGGAAGGGAGTGAGGGATGAAAGACTACAAATTGGGTTCACTGTATACTGCTTGGGTGATGGGTGCATCAAAGTCTCACAAATCACCGCTAAAGAACTTACTAGTGTAACCAAATACCACCTGTCCCCCTAAAACCTATGGAAATAATAAATAAATAAATAAAAACTTAAGTAAAAACAAATAAAATGTGGCCATTTAGTCCATTTATAATTAATGGAATTATTGATTGATATATATGGGTCTAAGATTATTTTATTGCTCGTTTTCTATTTTTTCACCTGTTTTGTATTCTATGTTTTCTTATGTTTTCGGCCTCCTATTTGTTTATTGAGACCACATCTGGCTCTGTTACCCAGGCTGGTGTGCAGTGGTGTGGTCTCTCTTGCAACCTCCACCTCCCAGGCTCAAGTCATCCTGCCACCTCAGCCTCCCGAGTAGCTGGGGCTACAGGTGCACACCAACATGCTCAGCTAATTTTTGTATTTTTTGTAGAGATGGGGTTTTGCTATGTTGCTTGGGCTGGCCTTGAACTCTTGGGCTCAAGGAATCCACTCGCCTCTGCCTCCCAAAGTGCCAGGATTATAGGCATGAGCCACTGCATCTGGCCTCTTGGCCTCCTTTTGGAATGATTTTTATAAATTATTCTATGATCAGCCTTTGTTAGTTTTGTATTATGCATTTTAAATTGTTATTGTTGTTACTTAGAAAATACAAATATATCCCTGATGTGAGTACTTTATTTTAAAATTTATATATTTAAACTGACAAATAAAAATTGTATACAATTATCATGTATAACATGATGTCTTGAAATACGTATACATCACAGAATGCTAAATCATGCTAATTAACATATATCAGCTCATATACTTATCCTTTTTTTATGATGAGAACACTTAAAATCTACTCAGTGATTTTTCAAGAATACAATAATGTTGTTTTAACTATAGTCTCCATGTTATAAAATAGATATTCTGACTTCCTTATTTATTCTATGAAACTAAATTTTGTATCCTTTGACAAACAACTCCCCAATTCCCCCATTTTCTGTCCCCCATTTCCCTGCTCCCAGTACCTGGTAACCACCATTCTACTCTCTGCTTCTTCGTTCAACTTTTTAAGATTCCACATATAAGTGAGATCATGTGGTATTTATCTTTCTGTGCCTTACATTTCACTTAACATAATGTCCTCCAGGTTCATCCATGTTGTCACAAATGACAGAATTTCCTTGTTTTTTAAAAGCTGAATAGTATTCCACTACATACATACATACATATATATATATATATATATATATATATATATATATATATATATATATCACATTTTCTTTATCCATTTGATGCAGGACAGACATGCCCCAAAATTAGAGCTTAGCCCAGGAAAGTTCTTGACTTTGCCCAGGAATGAATTCAAGGGCAAGCCAGTGGTTTTAGACAGCAATCTTTTATTGAACTTTATTGCTCCTTGCAGAGCAGGGCTAACTCATAGATAATGTGCCAAGTTGGCAATGAATGGACTGTTGGCAACTCTATACCCACTTATACCCACTTTCAATCATATGCCAATCAGTGGTGGGTTAATGCAAATTGAGGAGTAGTTTATTTAAAGCTTTCTAGGAAAGGGGTGGTAACTTCTCGGTCATTGTCATGGGAAGGGGCAATAACTTCTGGGTCCTTACCATGGCATTTGAAAACCGTCATGGTGCTGGTGTCTTATACTAATGAGTAGTGGGGGCAACTAGGGATTGCTTTTGTTACCATCTGCTAGTTTCTGCTGTTTTTTTCACTTATCCTGTCAGTACCAGGAAATAAGTCCTGCCAGTCTCCTACCTCATTCCCCCCTCAGATATTAGATACTCCTCCTTAATCTTAAGGGGGCTGAAGAAGGGTGGAGGTCCATCTTCTGTAACTGCTTCCTGCTGATTTTATGGGCATAGGCCCTGATATGGTTTGGATTTGTGTCCCTGCCCAAATCTTATGTCAAATTTTAATCCCCAATGTCGGAGGAGGGGCCTGGTGGGAGGTGATTGGATCAAGGGGGTGGAGTTCCCCTTTGCCATTCTTATGATACTGAGTTCTCACGAGATCTGGTTGTTTAAAAGTGTGCAGCACCTCCCCCTTCTCTCTCTTCCTCCTGCTCCAGCCATGTAAGATATTGCCTGATTCCCCTTCACATTCCATCATGATTGTAAGTTTCCTGAGGCCTCCCCAGAACATGTACAGCCTGCAGAACTGTGAGCCAATTAAACCTCTTTTCTTTATAAATTACCCAGTTTCAGGCATTTCTTTATAGCAATGTGAGAACGGACTAACACAGAAAATTGGTACTGGGAAGTGGGGCATTGCTATAAAGATACCTGAAAATATAAATCTTAAACTATGAACTTTGGGTGATAATAACACATACACATAGATGAGACTATGAACAAATATTAGGAGAAGCAAATCGTAATTTTAGAAACAGTAAATATTAGTAATTGGCTAAAACTCAATAGGCTAATCAGGACATTAGACACTGAAAAGAAAATCAGTGAATTGGAAGGTAGACTTGAGGAAGTTGTCTATACTGCATTGCAGACAGACTTAAAAATACATAAAAACAAGGTTAACAGAAATAGAGACTAGAATGAGAAGATCCAAAATACATTTGAATTCCAGAAAGAGAATATAGAAAGCATGGAGGAAAAGCAAAGTTCAAAGAAAGAATGCTTAAGAATTTTTCAAAATTGATGAAAGACATTACTGTAAAGTTTTAAGATGCACCCTCCTAAAGCAGGAATAATGAAAATGGACTGGACACATAGTAGTGAAACTGTGTAACACCAAGACAAAGACAAAATTCTAAATATTACCAGACAGAAAAAGACAAAATAACCTGCAAACTAACTAGGTATTAAGCAGACTTCTTAAGAGCAAAAACAAAGGCCAAAAGGCAATGGATAACATCTTCAATTAGCTGAGAAAATACATTGAGTTCCTTATTCAGCAAAACTGTTATTTTATAATGAAGGCGAAGTTAATTTTTCTGGCAAAAGTCCAAGAATTTATTATTCACAGATCCTCATTTAAAAATGAAACCACAGGCGGGGTGCGATGGCTCACACTGGTAATCTCAACACTTTGGGAGGCCAAGGCAGGCAGATCACTTGAGGTCAGGAGTTCGAGACCAGCCTGGCCAACATGGTGAAACCCTGTTTCTATTAAAAATAGAAAAATTAGCTGGGTATGGTGGCACATATCTGTAGTCCCAGATACTCGGGAGGCTGAGGTGGGAGAATCGCTTGAACTCGGGAGGTGGAGGTTGCAGTGAGCTGAGATTGCACTACTGCGCTCTATCTTGGGTGACAGAATGAGAGAGCCTGTCTCACACAAAAAAACTAAAAACCAAAAAACAAAAAAATCAAACCACAAAGCAAGGATTAAGATACAAAGAGAAATAGTGAGCAATATTGGTAAATATATGAATATATCTGAAAAACACAGACTATAAAAATAATTTTATCATGACTAATTTTGGGGTGCATAAATGTAGCAGAATGAAAATATCAGACAACAATAGCAAAGACAGTGGAATAGTACTGTAAAATTATGCAATATGGAAAGCACTTGGTAAGGTGTCATAAACAAAACTGAGTAAATCAGTAATCATCATAAATACAAATGGTTTAAACTTGCCCCTTAAAAGATCTATACTCTAAGACAGGGAAAAAGGATCCAGTTATTTTCTATTCACAAGACTTATTGGAATCTGAAAAGTAAAATAATAGAGAAAGACAAAGCAGAGGAAAATATTAACCAAAAAGCTATTATTTAAAATAGAATTTAAATCAGAAATTACTATTTGAAATAAAGAATACTGGAAGTTCCTGGGAAAGATGGCTGAATAGGAACAGCTCTGGTCTGCAGCTCCCAGTGAGACCAATGCAGAAGGCGGGTGATTTCTGCATTTCCAACTGAGGTACCCAGTTCATCTCATTGGGACTGGTTAGAAAGTAGGTGCAGCTCATGGAGGGTGAGCAGAAGTGGGGTGGGTTGTTGGTTCACCTGGGAAGTGCAAGGAGCTGGGGACCTCCCTCCTCTAGCCAAGGGGAGCCGTGAGGGACTGTGCTATCCGGACCAGGGACTGTGCTATCTGGACCAGATACTATGCTTTTCCCATGGTTTTTGCAACCCACAGACCAGGAGATTCCCTTGTGTGCCTACACCACTAGGGTGCTGGGTTTCAAGCACAAAACTGGGCGGCTGTTTGGGCAGACACCGAGCTAGCTGCAATTTTTTTTTTCATAGGCCAGTGGCACCTGGAACCCCAGCAAGACAGAACCATTCACTCCCCTGGAAAGGGGGCTGAAGCCAGGGAGCCAAGTGGTCTCGCTCAGTGGGTCCCACTCCCCCAGCGCCCAGCAAGCTAATAACCACTGGCTTGAAATTCTCACTGCCAGCATAGCAGTCTGAAGTCGACCTGGGACAATCCAGGTTGGTGTGGGGAGGGGTGCCCGCCATTACTGAGGCTTGTGTGGGTGGTTTTCCCCTCACAGTGTTAAGGAAGCCACTGGGAAGTTCGGACTTTGCAGAATTCACTGCAGTGCAGCAAAGCAGCTGTGGCCAGACTGCCTCTCTAGATTCCTCCTCAATGGGCAGGGCATCTTTGAAAGAAAGGCAGCCCCAGTCAGGGGCTTATATTTAAAACTCCCATCTTCCTGGGACAGAGCACCTGGGGGAAGGGGCGGCTGTGGGAGCAGCTTCAGCAGACTTAAACATTCCTGCCTGCCAGCTCTGAAGAGAACAGCAGATCTCCCAGCACAGTGCTTGAGCTCTGCTAAGGGACAGACTGCCTCCTCAAGTGGGTCCCTGACCCCCATGCCTCCTAACTGGAAGACACCTCCCAGCAGTGGTTGACAGACACCTCATACAGGAGAGCTCTGGCTGGCATCAGACTGGTGCCCTCTAAGATGAAGCTTCCAGAGGAAGGAACAGGCAGCAATCTTTGCTGTTCTGCAGGCTCCACTGGTGATACCCGGGCAAATAGGGTGTATAGTGGACCTCCAGTAAACTCCAGCAGGCCTGCAGAAGAGGGTCCTGACTGTTAGAAGGAAAACCAAAAAACAGAAAGCAATAACATCAGCTGGGCATGGTGGTTTATTCCCAGAACTTTGGGAAGCTGAGGCGGGCAAATCACAAGGTCAGGAGTTTGAGACCAGCCTAGCCAATATGGTGAAACCCTGTTTCTACTAAAAATACAAAAAGTAGCTGGGCATGGTGGCGCGCACTTGTAGTCCCAGCTACTTGGGAGGCTGAGGTGGGAGAATCACTCGAACCTGGAAGGTGGAGGTTGCAGTGAGCCGAGATCACGCTGCTGCACTCCAGGTTGGGCAACAGAGCGAGACTTTGTCTCAAAAAAAAAAAAAAAAAAAAAAGGCAATAACATCAACATCAACAAAAAAAAGGATGCCCACACAAAAACCACATCCAAGGTCATCAACATCAAAGATGAAAAGTAGATAAATCCACAAAGATGAGGAAAAACCAGTGCAAAAATGCCGAAAATTCCAAAAACCAGAATGCCTCTTCTCCTTCAAATGATTGCAATGCCTCTCCAGCAAGAGCACAAAACTGGACAGAGAATGAGTTTGACGAACTGACAGAAGTAGGCTTCAGAAAGTGGGTAATAACAAACTCCTCTGAGCTAAAGGAGCATGTTCAAACCCAATGCAAGGAAACTAAGAACCTTGATAAAAGGTTACAGGAACTGCTAACTAGAATAACTAGTTTAGAGAAGAACATAAATGACCTAATGGAGGTGAAAAAACACAGCACAAGAACTTCGTGAAGTGTACACAAGTATCAATAGCCAAATTGATCAAGTGGAAGAAAGGATATCAGAAATTGAAGATCAATTTAATGAAATAAAGTGTGAAGACAAGATTAGAGAAAAAAAATGAAAAGGAATGAACAAAGCCTCCAAGAAATATGGGACTATGTGGAAAGACCAAACCTACGATTGATCGGTGTACCTGAAAGTGACAGGAAGAATGGAACCAAGTTGGAAAACAAGCTTCAGGATGTTATCCAGGAAAACTTCCCCAGCTTAGCAAGACAGGCCAGCATTCAAATTCAGGAAATATAGAGAACACCACAAAGATATTCCTCGAGAAGAGCAACCCCAAGACACAAAATCTTCAGATTCTCCAAGGTTGAAATGAAGGAGAAAATGTTAAGGGCAGCCAGAGAGAAAGGTCAGGTTACCTATAAAGGGAAGCCCACTAGACTAACATTGGCTCTCTCTGCAGAAACCCTATAAGCCAGAAAAGAGTGGGGGCCAATACTCAGTATTCTTAAAGAAAATAATTTTCAGCTCAGAATTTCATATCCAGCCACACTAAGCTTCATAAGGGAAGGAGAAATAAAATCCTTTACAGACAAGCAAGTGCTGAGGGATTTTGTCACCACCAGGCCTACCTTAAAAGAGCTCCTGAAGGAAGCACTAAATATGGAAAGGAAAAACCAGTACCAGCCACTGCAAAAACACACCAAAATATAAAGACCAACGACACTATGAAGAAACTGCACCAACTAATATGCAAAATAACCAACTAGCACCAGGAGGACAGGATCAAATTCACACATAACAATATTAACCTTAAATGTAAATGGGCTAAATGCCCCAGTTAAAAGACACAGACTGGCAAATTGGATAAATACTCAAGACCCATCAGTGTGCTGTATTCAGGAGACCCATCTCATGTGCAAAGATACACATAGGTTCAAAATAAAGGGATGGAGGAATATTTAACAAGCAAATGGAAAGAAAAAAAAAAGCAGGGGTTGCAATCTTAGTCTCTGATAAAACAGACTTTAAACAAACAAAGATCAAAAAGACAAAGAAGGGCATCACATAATGGTAAAGGGATCAATATAACAAGAACAGCTAACTATCCTAAATATATATGCACCCAATACGGGAGCACCCAGATTCATAAAGCAAGTTCCTAGAGACCTATAAAGAGACTTAGACTCCCACACAATAATAATAATTCCTGGACACATACACTCTCCCAAGACTAAACCTGGAAGAAGTTGAATCCCTGAATAGACCAGTAACAAGTTCTGAAATTGAGGCAATAATTAATAGCCTACTACCCCCCAAAAAAGCCCAGGAGCAGACGGATTCACAGGCGAATTCTACCAGAGGTACAAAGAGGAGCTGGTACCATTCCTTCTGAAACTATTCCAAACAATAAAAAAAGAGGGACTCCTCCCTAACTCATTTTATGAGGCCAGCGTCATCCTGATACCAAAACCTAACAGAGACACAACAAAAAAAGAAAGTTTCAGGCCAATATCTCTGAAGAAGATTGATGCAAAAATCCTTAGTAAAATACATGCAAACTGAATCCAGCAGCACATCAAAAAGCTTATCCACCATGATCAAGTCGACTTCATCCCTGGGATGCAAGGCTGGTTCAACATACGCAAATCAATAAACATAATCCATCACATGAACAGAACCAATGACAAAACCCACATGATTATCTCAATAGATACAGAAAAGGCCTTCGATTAAATTTGATACCCCTTCATGCTAAAAACACTCAATAAACTAGGTATTGATGAAACATATCTCAAACTAATAAGAGCTATTCGTGACAAACCCATAGCTAATATACTGAATGAGCAAAAGCTGGAAGCATTCCATTTGAAAACTAGCACGAGACAAAGATGCCCTCTCTCACCACTCCTGTTCAACATAGTGTTGGAAAATCTGGCCGGGGCAATCAAGCAAGAGAAAGCAATAAAGAGTATTCAAATAGGAAGAGAGGAAGTCAAATTGTCTCTGTCTGCAGATGACATGATTGTATATTTAGAAA
Source organism: Homo sapiens (assembly GCF_000001405.40). Lineage (NCBI taxonomy): Eukaryota > Metazoa > Chordata > Mammalia > Primates > Hominidae > Homo > Homo sapiens. The sequence goes on from NT_113891.3 coordinate 3,721,328, forward strand.
ACTCCATCGTCTCAGCCCCAAAACTTCTTAAGCTGATAAGCAACTTCAGCAAAGTCTCAGGATACAAAATTAATGTGCAAAAATCACAAGCATTCTATATACCAATAATAGACAAAGAGAGCCAAATCATGAGTGAGCTCACAATTGCTACAAAGAGAATAAAACACCTAGAAATACAACTTACAAGGGACGTGAAGGACCTTTTCAAGGAGAACTACACACCACTGCTCAAGGAAATAAGAGAGGACACAAACAAGTGGAAAAACATTCCATGCTCGTGGATAGGAAGAATCAATATTGTGAAAATGGCCATATGGCCCAAAGTAATTTATAGATTCAATGCTATTCCCATCAGGCTACCATTGACTTTCTTCACAGAATTAGAAAAAACGACTTCAAATTTCATATGGAACCAAAAAAAGGGCCCATATAGCCAAGACAATCCTAAGCAAAAAGAACAAAGCTGGAGGCATCATGCTACCTGACTTCAAACTATACTATAAGGCTACAGTAACTAAAAGAACATGGGACTGGTACCAAAACTGATATATAGACCAATAGAACAGAAGAGAGGCTTCAGAAATAACACCACATGTCTACAACCATCTGATCTTTGACAAACCTGACACACACAAGCAATGGGGAAAGGATTCCCTAATTAATAAATGGTGTTGGGAAAACTGGCTAGCCATATGCAGAAAACTGAAACTGGACCCCTTCCTTACACCTTATACAAAATTACCTCAATAAAGACTTAAACAGAAAACCTAAAACCGTAAAAACTCTAGAAAAAAACCTAGGCAATACCATTCAGGACATAGGCATGGGCAAAAAAGATTTCATGACTAAAACACCAAAAGCAATGGCAACAAAAGCCAAAATTGACAAATGGGATCTAATTAAACCAAAGAGCTTCTGCGCAGCAAAAGAAACTTGTCATCAGAGTGAACAGGCAGCCTACAGAATGGGAGAAAATTTTTGCAATCTATCCATCTGAGGAAGGTCTAATATCCAGAACCTACAGGGAACTTAAACAAATTTACAAGAAAACAAAACAACCTCATCAAAAAGTGGGCAAAGGATATGAACAGACACTTCTCAAAAGAAGACATTTATGTGGCCAAGAAACATATGAAAAAAGCTCATTATCACTGGTCCTTAGAGAAATGCAAATCAAATCCACAATGAGATTCCATCTTATGCCAGTTAGAATGGCAATCATTAAAAAGTCAGGAAACAACAGATGCTGGAGAGGCTGTGGAGAAATAGGAACACTTTTACACTGTTGATGGGAGTGTAAATTAGTTCAACCATTGTGGAAGACAGTGTGGTGATTCCTCAAGGATCTAGAACCAGAAATACCATTTGACCCAGCAATCCCATTACTGGGTATATCCCCAAAGGATTATAAATCATTCTACTATAAAGACACATGCACACGTGTGTTTACTGCAGCACTATTTACAATAGCAAAGACTTGGAACCAACCCAAATGCCCATCAATGATAGACTGGATAAAGAAAATGTGGCACATATATACTATGCAGTCATAAAAAAGAATGAGTTCATGTTCTTTGCAGGAACATGGATGAAGCTATAAACCATCATTCTCAGCAAACTAACACAGGAACAGAAAACTAAACACTGCATGTTCTTGCTCATAAGTGGGAGTTGAACAATGACAACACATGGACACGGGGACGGGGATATCACACACCAGGGCCTGTCAGGGTGTGAGGGGCAAGAGGAGGGAGAGCATTAGGACAAATACCTAATGCAGGTGGGGCTTAAAACCTAGATGACAAATTGATGGGTGCGGCAAACCACCATGGCACGTGAATACTTATGTAACAAACCTGCACGTTCTGTACATGTATCCCAGAACTTAAAGTATAATAATACAAAAAGAAAGAAAGAATATCATTAAAATTAATAAAAGAAATTATTCTCCTGGAAAAAGCTGGATTCTATACACACAGAACAAATACCAAAAATGCATAAATGTAAATTGTATGAAGCAAAATTGTATCTCTTTACACAGTATACTAAGAAATCCAAGAAATGGCCAGAAAATTATTAGTAATGATATGAGAGTCTGATGTCACATTAATCAAGATAAATACAAAGATTACTTTTCTCTACACTTGTTAAAATTAATTTAAAAAAATGTAAAAATCACACTTACAATGACAACAAAACATTATAGGTACCTAGGAGTAAATATAACAAGAACTAATATGAAGAAGTCTGTAAACTTTTCAGAAAGCACCAATTGTAAAGTCTTGTGAAAGCACCAATATGAAGACCTAAACCAATGAAGACTCATACAACATTTCTGGGTGAAGTGACTTCAGTAATAACAATAATGTCAAATATCTCCAAATAGTTAACTCATTTTCAGCCAGAATGCTATTTTTTTTAGAGGGGAGTCAGGTAAAATTAAAGTTCATGTGGTGGAACATATTCCAAAAGAGCCAAGAAAACAAAGAACAAAGAGCAGAATGAGACATGCTTAATAGATACTCAAACTTTCTATATACCCTGTATAATCAAAGCAGTATGATATGACGTTTTTATCCTAATTGCCTCACTTTACAAAATTGTAATATTACCAATATACTGTATATCTGCTTGTGTATTTTATTGTCTATATATCTGCTTATGTACTTTATACATAAGCTGATAAGCAACTTCAGCAAAGTCTTAGGATACTGAACATCTGTGATTTATACCTGAAAAGAATAAATCGCAATAAATCATTGGATTTCTTGATCCACCCAGAACTCGTTTTTGACCCTTGGAGGGCAATGTGGCCCCTGTTGAGAATGCATGATTTAGGGAAAAAGAATAATTGATTCTACAAATGCTACCGATATAATTTGATATCTGTCAAGAAGGAAAAAAAGTGAAACCTCTGTTCACACCATAAACAAAATGGATTAAATATTTAATTGAAGAGAAATAGAAAATAAAAATTATAAAAGAAAAAAATTAAGTGACTATAAATATGTGTACCATAGTAGTCAAGGAGACCATTTATTTATTTATTTATTTTATTTTATTTTTTCAACTTTATTTTAGATTCAGCAAGTACATGTGGAGGTTTGTTACCTGTGAGTATTGTATAATGCTGAGGTTTGGAATATGAATGATCCTGTCACTCAGGTAGTGAGCATAGTAGCCAATAGGTAGATTTTCAACCCTCATCCTCCTCTCTTCTTCCCCTCTCTTCTTGTCTCCAGTATCTATTGTTCCCATCTTTATGTTCATGTGTACCCAATGTTTAGCTCCCACTTGTGAGAACAAGCTGTATTTGGTTTTGTTTCTGTGTTAATTAGCATAGGATAATGGCCTCCAGCTGCATCTGTGTGGCTGCAAAGGACATTTCATTCTTGTTAATGGCTGGGTAGTATTCCATGGTATATATGTACCACATTTCTTTATCCAGTCCACTACTGATGGGCACCTAAGTTGATTCCGTGTCTTTGCTATTGTGAATAGCACTGCGATGAACATATGAACGCACGTGTCTTTTTGGTAGAATAATTTTTCTTTGAGTGTTATATATATATATATATATATATATATATATATATATATATATATATATATATATATGTAATGGGATTGCTGGGCCAAATGGTAGTTCTTTTAGTTCTTTGAGAAATATCCAAACTGCTTTCCACAGTGGCTGAACTAACTTACATTCTCATTAATCATGTATATGCATTCCAAAGAGACCCTTTAGAAAGCCCAGAAGTTTCCGAGGATAAGGCAGACATATTTGACTAGATGAAGTATATTTTTGTATAGTAAAATGTACCTTCATTTAATCTACTTCATGTCAGTTAACAAATCTTTGATGAGCATCTACTATGTGCGAGGCACTTTTCTAAGCATGGAGATTCAGCAGTGAACAAAGTCCCTTAGAGTTTACATTCTTGTGGGGCAGAAAGTCAATAAACAAAAATAAATATATGATGTCAGGTGATAAATGCTAGTAATAAAGATACATCAGGGCAAAGAGATAGAGAATGGGGGGTACTGTTTTACTTAGGGTAGTCAAATTTAAGCATATTTCTTAAAATAATTGAGTAGTGCATATGTTTGAGGGGGAGTGTTCAGGCTGATTCTGAAGCAAGAACATGCTTGGCAGGCATGAGGAGAAATGAGGAGGCCAGTGTGGCTGCATCAATGGAAGGGAGATGGAGAGTGGGTGATGAGGCTAGAGGAGAAGCCAGAAGCTAGATACTGTAAGGCCTTCAAGGCCAGGATAAGAACTTTCATGAAGCTGGGCCTGGTGGCTCAGCCTAATCCCAGCACTTTGGGAGGCTGAGGCGGGAGGGTTGCTTGAGCCCAGGAGTTTGAGACCAGCCTGGGCAACATAAGACCTCATCTCTAGCAAACCTAAAAAATAAAAAATTAGTTGGGCATGGTGGCGTGCATTTGTAGTCCCAACTACTCAGGAGGCCAAATGGAAGGATTGCTTGAGCCTGGGAGGTTGAGGTTGCAGTGAGCTGTGATCATGCCAGTGCACTCCAGCCTGGGCAACAGCTCGAGACCCTATCTCAAACTGACAAACAAAGAAACAAAAAAACAACTTTGCAATTTTTACACTGATGGGGGTTGGTCTTTGGAGAGTTTTGAGTAGAGAAGTGACTTCATCTGATTTATATTTTGAAAGCACGATTCCGTTGGGAGTGGGGAGTGGGATTGGGAAGCTCAGTTTGGAAGCAGGCACAGCAATGCAGGTGAGATATGGCGATGGTTTGGACTTCTTGATGAAGGAGATGAGTAGTAGTCAGATTCAAGATATAATTTTAGGGTACAGGTTGATGAATTGGATGTAGAGAGAGAATGAGTAGATTGGGAAAACATTTTCAACACAAATGGCAGATAAAAACTTAATATGCAAAAACACATAAAACTGAGTAAGACAACGGGCAAACCACCAGTTTGAAAAGCAATTAAATCACAGGAGAGAAAATTCAAAATACGATTAAACTTATGAAAAAATGTTCAGTCTCACTAGTAGTCAGGAAAATACAATTAAAGAAACAGTTAGATACCACTTTTCTCAATAGACAAAGATTAAAAATAGCTACCGCTTCCAGCACCAGTGCAAGTATGGGGAAGATAGGACTCTCATATCTTCCTGTAGGAATATGAATTATTACAAATTTGGGGAAAAGGAATTAGGTAATATCTATTAACATTAAAATACACATTTCTTTTGATCTGGCAGTTCTACTTCTGGAAATCTATCCTAGAGAAATAAAATCCTGATCATATATAGAGATGTGTATTGCAGTATCATTTGGCAATGGCAGAATCATTTAGCCAAAGGCAAAAGGTTGGAAACAAGCTAAATGTCTATCTTTAAGGAAATGGTTGAATAAGCAGTAATTCATTCACACTACTGGATGCTGTGCTATTAAAATGTTAGATTGATGTGTTGCCCATGATGTATTGTTAGGCGAAGAAGACAAGTTGCAGAATTATGTATATAGTTTGACCCTATTTTTAGAAAAAAATTCCTACATATACTCATATTTGCATATATTTTTATATAAACATGGATTAAGATGTGGAGAGATTCATAGAAAGTTAACACTGTGAGTTTTTAATTTTTGAAGAGAGAAACTTAATAAAGATTTGAATAGAAAATTTATTGAGACCTAGCTTACAACGTGTATAATCTGTAGTGTGGCATCTCAGGTTTGACTTCCCGGTCTTGGCAAGTGCTCAAGCTTCTGGATGATGACAGATAAGAGTGTCTTTATTCCTGAAACACTAAGATTACAGGCTTGTATTTCTTCGAAACCACAATTGGAACTTCTCAAGTAGAGTGTAGGAACACTAGTTGTTTTTTTCCTATTCCTGATTGTTTTTAAGGGGGAGAGTAAAGGAATCTCATCAAATATAAAACTGAATATTTTGATCAATTTTTCAGCTTATTCTTTTATTCCTTTGGATCCTGTTTTTTCCTTCTATATCTTGTCCCCTTTCTCGGTTCCCTGTATTCACTTCCTTGATATGTCAGTTATAACCTAGGGTGAGAGATATTTAGGGGAAAATGGGAAATTGCATTTTTTTATTTTTATTTTTTGAGACAGAGTCTCACTCTGTCGCCCAGGCTGGAGTGCAGTGGCATGATCTCGGCTCACTGTAACCTCTGCCTCCCGGGTTCAAGCAATTCTCCTGCCTCAGCCTCCTGAGTAGCTGGGACTACAGGTGTGCACCACCACGCCTGGCTAATTTTTGTATTTTTAGTAGAGACGGGTTTCCCCATGTTGGCCAGGCTGGTCTTGAACTTCTGATCTCATGATCTACCCTCCTCGGCCTCCCAAAGTGCTGGAATTACAGACATGAGCCCCACACTCAGCCAGGAAATTGCATTTTTAATGCACTACTAACTCAGGGAGTCTTTAATTGGGATAGGAGCCGCATTAACTGATTTTACATAAATTGTTTGTTTCCTAATATTTTGTGTTTCTCATTCAGCTTCATTATCTCTAAACTCACCTTTCTGCTTTTCTTTCCTACGTTCTGCTCCTAAATGAAAAATGACTAATTGAATTGACTTCTATTCCATTCTTGTGAACAGGACATTTGACATTTGTATTAGTTTATTTGCAAAACAAAATTTACTATTGATTTCTTAAGGTAAGTTTCACATTCCTACTTTTATATTGCCACTATCTTAGAAGTACATATTTATGTATTTTCTTAAAATTTTCATCATTTTGTTAAACATGGTGTCATTTTGATAGCTTGTCCTTTCTCCCTTCCTTTGTTTGGGGTCCTTTAAGATTTCCACATGTGTATCTTTACAGGAGGGTTAACAATTGCTTTAAATTTGTCAGTTTTTCAGTGGCCTTTAGAAAATGGTCCACAGAATTTTTATAGTTGGAGTATTCTATTGTATGATTTACTTGCCTTCAAAGACCTAGTGGGAGTGCAAATGTTTTGACCCCAAGTTAGAAGTTATGGAGAAGATACAGGGAGGTTTCTATAGATCTATCTCTTCTGAATTCTTGCTTCAGTGGGACATACACACAGATATGGAGTCAGCTGAGCTGGGTTGCTGAAGCCTATCTACTGTTTTTTAGTAATTGCCTTGACAAGGTCCCTGCTTCTTACCAGAAATCTGAGAGAAGTTGAATTAGTCATACCCTTCTAAAACCTAGTAGTGGCTGGGCACAGTGGCTCACGCCTGTAATCCCAGCACTTTGGGAGGCTGAGGCGGTGGATCACCTGAGGTCAGGAGTTTGAGACCAGCCTGGACAACATGGTGAAACCCCATCTCTACTAAAAATACACTAATTAGCTGGGCTTGGTGGTGCACTCCTGTAATCCCAGCTACTTAGGAGGCTGAGGCATGAGAATCACTTGAACCCAGGAGGAGGAGGTTGCAGTGAGCCAAGATCATGCCGCTGCACTCCAGCCTGGGTGAAGAGTGAGGAAAAACAAACAAGCAAACAACCTACTAGTTAGCTGTCACATGGACCAGAGGGGCTATAGGAAAAATGACATGAGAATGATGAAAATCTAATACTTTTAACTATGTGAAAATCTTTCTGGTCAAAAATGTTCCCTGATAAACAGCATAATGTATGTAAAAGACATGCCAACAAAGGCTGGTAAAATCTCTAAATGTGTATTTTCCACAGATGACAAAAGCAACTTACAATATTAAAATCCATGTTTAATATCTGTCTTCTTCTCTCTCACTCTCTCTCTCTCTGGCAACTCAGTTTTGCTAAACCTGTGCAGCTCATCAAAGACCTGAGGATTCTGTGACTTCTAAAATTAACATAGGCTTCCATACCTGCGGCAGGGCTGTGAGAACACAGTAGACAGCCATACAGTGGATTAGATTGTGCTAGAAGTTATGGAGATACTCTTTTAAGGTTGTGATTGGGTAGCCTGAAACATTTATGAAACATTTTATACTTTGGGCAGAGACTAATGTCTGGTTTCTCTCCTTTTTTCATCAAACGCCTCCAAAGAATAGCATATCAGTATGAAAAGCTTCCTTGGAAGACATCTAGTTAGTCCAAAGAATTTGATAACTAGAATTATAGACTCTCAGGAAGTCTATTTGGAAGGGACCATAAAGATAACTTATTCCAATTACTCAGCTGTTTCCTGAGTCTCCTCTATGGCATTCTCACTGAATGAGCCTTAAACTCTTGCTTAAACTCTTTGGACCTCCACTTCTCCTTATTACTAAGATAAAATTTGTTACTTTGTACCTTCCATTCACTGATCTCATTTCTTTGGGGCTATACAAAATATTCTAATCCCTTATGAACTTTCACTATTTGAAAGTAATTCTCATTGTTTCCTCATATTTGTCTTCCCAGGGGAATTCTGCAACTTCCTGCACACTTGAGTCTTTCTCTCCTGAAGGCATTTAGTTTATCCACATCCCATGATTGAACTAAATGTATATTCAGGGTGTGGGCTAACCAGCACAGTATTGAACAGTATAAAAATAAAATTTCTAAAAATGATTATTTTAAAATAGACTAAAATAAGTTAACTCTGTTGGATGTTTGAAAGGCACATCCCACAACTACTTACTTGTATCTCTATATTCTTCCTGCTTACCTTCCTTCTCCTAGCTTCCTTTCTTTGGAAAGTGCTCTTTAGAAGTTCATTAGTCAGCTCCAAATAGCAACTACAGTGTTCTTTCAGTCCTTATTTTCCTTGAAGTCTCAGTCATTTTTTTCTCAAAACTCTCATCTTCCTTAATTATTGGAACATTCCACTATACAGGTTTTCCTTCTATCTTCCTATCCCTTAGTTAAATTTCTTCAATATATTACATATAACAAACTCAGTCCTTGGACTTCTGCTTTCGTTAGTCCTGTACTTCCTCCTTTGAAGAACTCACTCTTATTGCTTCAATTGTTACCTGTACTCATCTAATTCCAGATATCTCTTGAATGACAAATGTTATTGCTTATCCCCTTAAAACAATTTGTTGTTCCCTCCCTGTCCCCCAAATTAGTTCCTAGTTTGTTTGTTACCTAGTTTCAAAAGTTTTGAAACCATTGTTTTTTTCACTTTTCCTTACTCCTATGCAGTCAGTCATCATGAAGTAATGATTCTTCTTTGATTTTTTTCCTATTTATTCTCTTTCCATTACTTACTCCAAGTACTTCTTAATTAGATTTACTATCTATGATGTTTCTTTTTCTATCTTATTTTTCACAATCACATGATACAACCTTATTTTTAAAATGATACAACCTTATTCATTTCACTCTGTGTCTCAAACATTGTAGAATGCTTCCAGCTGCCTGAAGAGTAAAATATAAATTCCTGGCTTGTTTTTCAAATCCTTTTATATTCTCCTTTTCAAAATTATACCCCAGGATGCCTCCCATGAATCTTCCGTAACAGCAAAATTGCCTACTGCACCTGGAGCATGGCACGACAGCCTTTAACCCTTTACCTTTCTTTTACTCTTTGTAATTCACTCAGCATATCAACACCTTATCCATCTGCTGTGACATATTGTATACCACTACTCCCTTCCCCATGAAGTTACCACCTCTACTTTCTCATCCCATGATGGATTATGTTGTCCATCTAAACTTTTTGTAACTTAGATTTTACTTAAAAAATTGCCATGTATACATATATCACTATATATGTTATAAGCTACTTGATTGCAGGAGCTCTGACTTGTGTTTTTCTGTACACCCCTTATTGCTAGACCAGTGCCTTGCAAACATTAGGCTTGCCATGAGGAGTTACTGGTTGATTGGTTGGAAAGGCTATCATAGACATACTTGTCAAAGGAAATTACTATATATTTCTTTAATTAAAATGTTTTACTTCAGAAAGTATCCAGTCTTTCTTGACGGAATCATATACGTCTTAACTTATAAAACAAATATTTGGAAACTGAGGTTTGTGGCTGAGAGATTAAAAAGGGTGAAACTTCTGAAGAGCAGAAACTGTGATATGAAGATGAAAGGGATTTTATAATTGTAATCTGTTTAGGCAATGGCTGGGATATGGTTTGTATCTGGAGTATGGGAATCATAATAATCACTTGTCTTATGGGCCTTTAAAAAATTTATCCTTACTCTTCCACTTTTTTGTTGTACTTCCTTCCTGTATTTGCCTTCGCCCTTTTCGAGCCTTTTGATTTTTCACCATTGATTTCTGATTCTCTCTTTCCTTTAACTTTGTCCTTTCCTTTGTCACCTTTTGTGTTTTTGTCACCTTTTTCTTTTTTATTTGGATCTTTCTCTGCATCTCTCTCCTTTTCTTTATCATTATTTCCTTTATCCTCAAAACTCTCCTTCTTTTCTTGGGCTTCCTGTCCTTTTAGTACACCTGACTCACTCTTCTTTACTTGGGATTCCAGTGTTTCTGGTACACTCACCTCAGTGTTCTTTACTTGGGATTCTGGTCCTTTCAGTACACCTGCCTCACTCTTCTTTTCTTGGACCTCTTGTTCCTTTGGCACATCTGCCTCAGTCTTCTCTACTTGGCCTTCTTGTCCTTTTGGTACCTTCAACTCACTCTTCTCTACCTGGGCTTCCTGTCCTTTCAGTACAACTGACTCCCTCTGCTTTACCTGGGCTTCCTGTCCCTTTGAGACACCAGACTGACTCTTCTTTACTTGGGATTCCTGTCTTCTTGGCACACCCATCTCACTCTTCTCTACCTGGGCTTCCTGTCCTTTCAGTACAACCAACCCACTCTTCGTTACTTGGGCTTCTTGTCCTTTTGGGACACCTGACTCACTCTTCTTTACTTGGGACTCCTGTCCTCTTGGTACATCTGACACACTTTTCTTTATTTGGGCTCCCTGTCCTTGTGGTACACTCATCTCACTGATTTTTAGTTGGGTTTCCTGTCTTTTTGGTATTCCAGCGTCACTGTCTACCTTGACCTCCATTCCTATTTTGTCTTTCTCTAAATCAGTGCCTTTTCCTTCTCTTTCTGGCTCCTTTATGTGTGCTGATTTCAAGGATTCTACAGAATTCGTAAATATGATGTCATTCTTTAGTGCTTCCTTGTTTTCTTCTCGGCTATTCTGAGACCTTGCAGTGCCTCCACATTTTAGAATCTGGATTTTGGAACAAGATTTTTTTGCAAGTTCTTCATCCATGTAACCTGTTAATATAACTGAGCATACAACAAAAGGGCGTGATTTAGATATCAAGTATTTTCTCTTTATTTCTATTTTTTTCCCCTTGATACTGGTTCCTTTTTTGTCTTAAAACTGACAAACTAAAATTTTTCTGAATCTCAAGTTATCTAAAATGATGGTTCTCTGTACATAAAATTATAAAAGTATCGATAAAATTCTGGACTATTTTCAATAATTTGGAAGATTAATGAGAGAAAAGGTAAAATGTACTGTAAATGAACTGACATTTGTTCAGTGGATTATGGCTAATGAATAATGCTTAGTGGCTAACAGAGGATGTATTCTGAAAAGAAATAGAATTTGTTTTAAGGAAAAATTGTGGGAGGAAGCAATAATTATATTTCTCAAGACAGAAAAAGGAAACTCAAAAATGCTTTCCATATTGAATAAAAGCATATCTTATTATGCAAAAGTAATAACAGTACTAGCTGATAATTATTAAGTGCTTACCACATACCAAGTACTCACTGCTCTAAGCACTTTATGTATTAAATCATTTGATACTCACAACAACCAGGTAGGGTATTATTAACCTCATTTTACAGATGAAGAAACTGAGGCACAGAATGCTTAAATGAATATGAATAAGGTTATGTAATCAGTAGGTGGTGGAGCTGGGATTTGAATCTGAGTAGTCAGACTCCAGTGTTCAGTTTTGATCATTACTGTAGACTACTTCTTGCAATATCTGCAAACTCTGCAAAAATTTCAGGTCCTTTGATCATGTTCAGGTAAATCAGCTGTTACGTCTCAATTCCTGTGTGATTTAACAAACCTGAATTTATTGGCTTCTGCTAGGTATTTTTTATTTGCTTTTGTTTTTTTTAAGTAATATGGTTCCCTGAATTAAGTAAAAGAAATATCTGAGCCACCAAGGAATTGTGTGGGTTCTTGCCGTGGAGCAGAGGGATGTCTTGCTTTGAGAAAATCTAATATTTAATATTTACTATAGTAGAAAGAATACTGAATATAAAAGCTGAATCAGAAGACTTGGGCTGGGGGCAGTGGCTCACACTTGTAATCCCAGCACCTTGGGAGGCCAAAGTGGGCGGATCACTTGAGGTTGGGAGTTGGAGACCAGCCTGGCCAACATGGTGAAACCTGATCTCTACTAAAAATACAAAAATTAGCCAGGCATGGTGGCACACACCTGTAACCCCAGCTACTCATGAGGCTGAGGCAGGAGAATCGCTTGAACCCGGGAGGCAGGGGTTGCAGTGGGCTGGGATTGCACCACTGCACTCCAGTCTAGGTGACAGAGCGATACTCCATCTCACACACACACACACACACACACAAAAAAAAAAAAAAAAGAAGACCTAGGTTTATTATTCCTGCTAGCTGGGTTTAATGGGTTTATTAAGGTAAATCAGTTAATCCTCAAAGATTCACTGTTTTTATATTTAGTTTGATCTGCTCACTTTGTAGAGTTACTAAATATTGTAGACAAATGTTAAAGTAACATAGCCTTTGGAGACAGACTGGTTCAAATCCTGCCTCCGCACCTGCCTAGCTGGGTGACCTTTGGCAAACTTTACTTTCTGTCTGTAAAATGGGGGCAATAGTAGTAGCTACCTCAAAGAGGTGTTATGAGATTAAATAATGTTATCTAAATAAAAGCACGTGGTACAGTGCATGGGACATAAGTAGTCAATAAATATTGGCCATTACTACTTCCCAATGAGATAGTACAGGAAAAAACTCTCTAATTCAATCAAGACAAGGCATTCTTAGTTTCCAACAAATAATTTACAGGAGTGGTTAATTGTATTACAGGAAAATTTCTTTTTTTTTTTTTTTTTGAGATGGAGTTTCGCTCTTGTTGCTCAGGCTGGAGTGCAATGGCACGATCTCGGCTCACCGCAACCTTTGCCTCCCGAGTTCAAGGGATTCTCCTGCCTCAGCCTCCCAAGTAGCTGGGATTACAGGCATGTGCCACCACACCCGGCTAATTTTGTATTTTTAGTAGAGATGGGGTTTCTCCATGTTGGTCAGGCTGGTCTTGAACTCCTGACCTCAGGTGATCCACCTGCCTCGGCCTCCCAAAGTGCTGGGATTACAGGCGTGAGCCACCACACCCAGCCAATTACAGGAAAATTTCTTGCTTAAAAGTGAATTATTGGACTTTTCGTTTTTTACATTTAGGGTTTGATGTTTGAAAAATTGGCATACACATAACTTCAGAATTTTATCAATTATAAAAATGAGGCACACCTGTATTAGATAAGAAACTAATTATAAATCAAAAGAGTTGTTGTAGTTCAGTGTTTTCTTTTATTATTTTCAGCTGTTGACATCCAAATAAAAATAACATTAGGAAAATTACAGTAATGTTTTCTGAATCTTTTTGTATATGTCCCCACCTAGAGTTCTTCATTAAAATATGGTTACTGACATTTTATTCTAGACAATCAATTTTCAGTTTCCTAATGAAAATCAGTGGTAATATATTTCAAGCATTGCTAAATTGAGAAAAATAGTTCAGAATATTTTGATCTTCGACAGTGCTACCAGTGGACACTGTTTTGTTTTGTTTTGTTTAGGGGTATGGTGGTGTGGAATGGTAAGATCATGCTCCGCTGAAGTTTCTAACCTTAAGAATTTCATGGAATGTACTCCTCACATAAGCTGATTTTCCTTAAGCTATGAATATTTTTAGTTTTACTATCCCTTGGGGGTAATTATTTGCTACTGTGTGTAATACTTCATGACTCATTTTAACCTAAATTTACCTTCTAAATTATATAGGCTTTGTAAACCAAAATTAAGTATTATAGGATTTCCTGAAGCACCCAGTGTTTATTCTAGCTACACCTTTCCTAATTTCACAGAATTAAAAAACTTTTTATTCTTTCTCCCACTACACTGAAAAATACCTCTAGTTACTTCTAATAGAATCTTCATACCCTTATTTTAATATATTTGCTGTCATCTTTTAAATCTTGAATTTAATTAACATAGATTAGATTTACAGGATTTATTTTTGAGTAATCTAGCTATCCCATAAAGTGAGGTTCACTTTTATTTCAACTTTGCATTGCAGAAGTAAGCCACAAATCATTATTCCACCACATTCTAAGTTCTTTTCTTCCTTCTCCCAGATTTCAAGATAGTTCATACATCTTTTCCTTCTCTTGGACCTCATAATCATCTAACACATACAGTGTAAATCTTCATAATATAAAGACTTGGAAGCCCTGGCTGCAAGTACATTTATTGCAGGCAGTAGCCCATACTACAAAATTTTAATACAATCAAAAGATTTAATCAAGACTTTGGGGATCATCATAATATATTCAAGCTGAATAAAAAGTAATTATTAAAATTTTTAAATTGGATTAATTTTTGTTAAAGCTAAAAGATATCATGAAATAGCTATCACATTAACAATTCTATCTAAATGATACTTAACATAGAAAATAGAATGTGGGCTTTATTAGGAAACTAATCTTAGGTTCTTAATCCAGTGGTTGTCAGGGAGAGCACAATTGGATCTAGACTGTAAAAGATCTATTCAGTATCAGAGGGATAAATCATTATAGTTCTCAGGCTATGAATTACATTTTAAAAGATCATATACTTATTAGTTGAATGAGGAGGTGAGAAATAAGAGACTCAGTTTGCTGGGATGATGATGTTTGTTGGTTTAATCTATCTTAAACCTTTCTTTGAACATTGACTTAAACCTTAACCTCCTTTTTCTAAAAATATCAACTGGGGCCGATGCAGTGGCTCACACCTGTAATCCTAGCACTTTGGGAGGCTGAGATGGGAGGATCGCTTGAGGCCAGGAGTTCGAGGCCAGCCTGGGCAACATAGTGAGACCCCATCTCTATTTTTTAAAAGAAATAGAAAAACAATCAATTGGGAAAAATGTGTTTGAAAGAGTATATCAATAAGAATATGTCTTTTACAAAAAATTTTTTAAAAGATTAAACAGATTTTTCTCTGGCAACTTAAAAAATTAGTATTCATTAAAAATTTATTACCTCTGGGAAGAGACTTGGCCTGTGATCCCTTCTCAGAGCCCTTGTATTAGTCAGGGTTCTTCTGAGTCAAGTTGACATACAACATCAATCATCAGAGCCCACCTTTTTTTTTTGTAAGAGAAACTCACAAGATCACAGTCCTATCACTTTTTCTATGTGAGGAGAGCATTTGAGGGATGTTGGCGCATTATAATTATTCTGAATGCATACTGTTTCTTGTACCATGAATCAAAAGAAATTAATTTCCCCGGCTGGGTGCAGTGGCTCACGCCTGTAATCCCAGCACTTTGGGATGCTGAAGTGGGCAGATCACCTGAGGTCAGGAGTTCGAGACCAGCCTGACCAACATAGTGAAACCCTGTCTCTATTAAAAATACAAAATTAGCTGGGCATGGTGGCACATGCCTGTAATCCCAGCTACTTGGGAGGCTGAGGCAGGAGAATCACTTGAACCCGTGAGGCAGAGGTTGCAGTGAGGCAAGATCGTGCCATTGCACTCCAGCTTGGGCGACAAGAACGAAACTTTGTCCAAAAAAAAAAAAATTAATTAATTGCCCCTTTCAACTTCATCTCCCTGCCTTCCTTTCCCTCCAAACCCACTCTCTTTCTAGTGTGAACTGAGAAAGAAGAATGAGGCTTAAACACGATTAAATATAAGGACATATTTTGTGTTTGTGTCAGTGTTTGGAATGTTTGAAATGCTTGAAACGTGTCTCACTAGGTTTAAGTCTTATTTGCTTCTTTTGATCATATGTTTACAGAATTAAACAAAAGTTATTATTCTACTTTGTTTTGTATGGTTTCCTTGCTTGAAGAGCTGAGTCATATATTAAGTAATCCCAATAGAGATAAATCTGAATCCAGAAAACAGTTAAAAAAGTCAAACATTGATTTAAATGCGGTCTTCTATTTTTAAAAGGATCCTTTTGTGTACATTTAGTTATCCAGCTTTTCTGTAGATGTATATTTATATTTGCAAACATTCCATAAAGTTTCCTGACTAATCACAAAAAATGCATTTGTGATTCAGTATAGGAGGCAATGTGTTAGTATGGGAAGAGTGGGAAGAGTGTGTATTTTGGAGATAGGACATCCTGGGTTTAAATCCTGACACCAATGTTTACCAACTCTTTAACCTTGGGTAAATACCTGAGTTAGTTTCCTAATCTGTAAAATGGGGAATAATAATACCTACCAGGCAGGCATATGGTAAGAATAAGAGATGTTACTTTTGTAAGTGCCTAGCACAGTGCACAAATACATAGTCAATGCTCAATACCTACTGTCTTTCAAAGGTAGTTATTTAGAAGGCAATAGAAAGGAGATGGTATTTTGTTTTTAACTAGTTTTTTTCCCCCATTAATATGATTCAGAGGGACTTCACCTATAACTAAAAAAAAGTTCTAAATTCCCAGCAAATAACTAATGGAATTCAGAAACCAATCTTCCTTTCATTATGTTTTCCTGAGAATCAGGGAGGAGATTCTTTTTCAGAGCCTAGAAGATGGCCAGAGATTGTGGCACCCTTTCATATGAGCTTCATCTTCTCTACAGCAATCTCTTAAATTGTAGTTATTTAAAAACTTGGGGCCTGGCACAGTTGCTCACACCTGCAATCCCAGCACTTTGGGAGGCTGAGGCAGGAGGATCACTTGAGCCCAGGAATTCAAGACCAACCTGGGCAACATAGTGAGATCCTGTCTCAAAAAGAAAAGTGGAGGGCGGGGGGGAACCTTGGAAGTTTCTGGAAGATAGGAACATTCAAATTGGCCTTAGAAGCACAGGCCTCTATTTTGGGAGTAGAAACAGACAGGTCACAAAAGAATTAAAAGCAATGTAAAATATCAGAGTTGAGAATAGATATGGAACTTACCCACAGGAGTCAGTGCTAAAAACAAAACACAAAAGAAAGATCAGTGAGGATTTTCTAACTCAAGAGAAACCCACCTTCCAATAGTATCCTTCCTAGGTGAACTTAGAAACAGGACTTGGAGGGAGCACAAAACTCTGTTTCATCCTCAGGAGTGTTGCTGGCCAATGCTCCATATCGCACTCCACACAGAGGGTTATCTTTAGGATGCCATTTAATTAATATAGGCATTTGAAATCTTGGGTAGGTAAAATCACTTCTACTGAAATTCAAACTATTGTATTTCCTGCCTTTCTTTGTTCTTTGATAAGTCTTTCATATGTCTTCTGCAAAACAGTTTTTTGCTCACTGTTCTGGTCCGTTTGAAAAATGTATATTGTTGATTAATTACCAAAATCACATCTAGTCCTGACACATATTCTTTTTGTCAATCTTAGAGGATTTTCTTTTTTAGTAAAAATTATTAGTTGCCAGATTATAGCACAGAGGAAATAGGCTCTGTTGTGATAGATTAGCTGGGAATATATGCTACCAATAATCTTTGGTAGTAAATAACTAGAATCAAACACAAGACCATTATACTTTGTTACAAAAGGAAAATAGATAAGAAGAATTAAAATTGAAATATGAGGAAATCACTTATTGAAGAAATATTGACTGCTGTAAGGTAGAGGAACTCGTAACACAAGAACATTTGGGAAAAAGAACTTAAAGGTCCTAGGCACAGAAATAGGTAAGGCAAGGAAATGATCCAAACTTACTGATTTTTCCAGAACTGTCCACTGAAAGAGATAAAGGCAAACACATCAGTAGGTACTGGGCATTCCCTTCTTCCCAGTCCCCAAACCTCTGCATTGAGTGGGATCTGTGTCATTAACAACTAAATTTCATTTATTTAAATGTGAAGAAACTTCATTTCCCTTCCCCCTTCTCTTTGCCCAGTGTAGTTTACAAAGACCTTGTGATAAGCTACTTTAAATCACCTTTACTTATCATTGATCATTAGCAATTTTGTCTAGAATGTCAAGATTACAATTTATAAAATATAGGACATATAATGGTCTTGCTTAGAAGATGTGTGCTAACATTATTTTTTGACATTGTTTGATACGAATTTTTTTTTAATATATTTTTTTGAGACAGGGTCTCAGTCTCCCAGGCTGCAGTGCAGTGGCATGAACATGGCTCACTGCAGCTTCCACTTCCGGGGTTCAAGCGATCCTCCAGTTTCAGCCTCCTGAGTAGCTGGGACTACAGGTGCGTGCTACCACACCCAGCTAATTTTTGTATTTTTTTGTAGAGACGGAGTTTCATCACGTTGCCCAGGCTGGTCTGGAACCCTGAGCTCCAGCGATCCACCTGCTTTGGCTTCTCAAAGTGCTGGGATTACAGGTGTAAGCCACCATGCCTGGCCTGGTACGAAATATTTAAGATACAGTTGTTACCAAGTACTGAAATATAGGTATATCTCTTGTGTTGATGTTACTTGATAAACCTAACATAGAAAGCACAAAATAGGCTGGCGCGGTGGCTCATGCCTGTAATCCCAGCACTTTGGAAGGCTGTGAGGCAGGCGGATGGCTTGAGCCTAGGAGTTCAAGACCAGCCTGGGCAACATAATGAGATCCCCATCTCTGCAAAAAAAAAAAAGAAAAAATTAGCTGGGTATGGTGGCAAGCACCTGTAGTCCCAGCTGCTCAGAAAGCTGAGGTGGGAGGATTGCTTAGGAAGTCAAGGCTGCAGTGGGCCATGATCACACCAGTGCATTCTAGCCTGGGTGAGTGAAACGCTGTTTTTAAAAAAAAAAAAGCACAGAATAATAAGAAAGCATGAAACTGTAAGAAACATATACCAGGATTGTTTACCAGAGATACATATGTGGAGTTAGGGTATTTAAACCATAGAATGGGAGTTGGCAAAATACAGCCCATGGAATAAATCTAGTTTTTCCATATAAATCTAGTTTTCCAAATAAAAATAGCATCTAGGACATGCTATTTTTGCATGTCCTGTGAGGTAAGAATGGATTTTACATATTTAAATAGTTGAAATAATAATAATAATAATAATAATAATAATAATAATAATAATATTTTGTGGCACATGAAAATTGTATGAAATTCAAATTTCAATGTCTAAAATAGTATTTTATTGGGACATACCCATGCTCATTCTTTTATATATTGTCTATGACTGTTTTTGTGCTACAACAGCAGGGTTGAGTAGTTGTGACAGAGACTTTAAGGCTTATAAAATTTAAAATATTTGGCTGGGCATGGTGGCTTATACCTGTAATCCCAGCACTTTAGGAGGCTAAGGCAAGGGGATCGTTTGAGGCCAGGACTTTGAGACCAGCCTAGGCAACATAGCAAGACTCAGTTTCTACAAAAAATAAAAAAAAGTTAGCCAAGCATGGTGGCACACATCTGTAGTCCCAGCTACTCAGGAGGCTGAGGCAGGAGAATTGCTTGAGCCCAGGAGTGGAGGTTGTAGTGAACTATGATCACACCACTGCACTCCAGGCTAGGTGACAGAGCAAGACCCTGTCTCAGAACAAAACAAAACCAAAAACACCAAACAAACCAAAAAACACAAAAACCCAACAAACAAAAACAAACATAAAACATTAAAAACATTTGTAGAAAAAATTTGCTCACCCCAGCCCTACAAGAAACTAATGTATTAAAAATATATTAGGAACTTACTAGTGTGAACTTGAGGTATTCCTGAAAATCAAAACAAGAAAATAGGTTAATGGCAGCATTTTTGGAACAGAAGTACAGTTCTTTCCTACTCCCAATTCCCTAGTTGTTTTTTCTAGGGTACCATAAAGACTTCTAGCAGAATACAATGAAATATGATGAGACAACAGATCCCTTAGTGTGTTATAAGAACCTGACAGTTTTTACCACCTTTATGTGGTCCAACTTATTGTTGTCTCTCTAATTGAGCTCTCTGCTTTCACCCTTGCCTCCCAGTCAGTTCCCAGTACAGCAGTTAGCGGGACCCTTTTAAAGTGTCAGCAAGACTCCTGCTTAAGAGCCACCAATGGTTCCCCATCTTGGTTTAACAAAAGTCAAAATCACAACAGTGGCTTTCAAAGATGGCCCTGGAAGATCTGTCCCTCCAAATCTCTCTTATAGCTTCTTTTTATGTCACTTTTCATTCTGTTCCAGCTATATGGTACTTGCTATTTTGCTTTTCCTCAAATAGTCTGGAAATGTTCCTACCCTAGGGTGGTTTACTTGTTGTCTTCTCTGATTGAAATATTCCCCCCTCAGATATTGCCTGGCTAATTCTCTCACCTATTTCATGTTCCATCTAGTAGTTATAGCAATTGCTGAGAATGAGGCATTAAACTTTCCAACTGTAGTTGTGGGTTTTTCTGTTTCTCTTCAGTTCTAGTACGTGTTTTTTTTTTCCCAGTGTGTTTTGAAGCACTGTTGTTTGGTTCATACATATGTAGAATTTCTTTGTCTTCTTGATGCATTGATATTTTTATCATGATATAATGTCCCTCTTTTGTCCCTGGTAAATTTCTTTTTTCTTTGCATTTAGGTCCACTTTACGTGATATTAATGTAGCCACTTCTGCCTTTTTTTTGAAAAAATTAATGTTTCATGGCATATATTTTTCATTCTTTTTACTTTTATTGTTAAATTTGAGGTGACTTTCTTGTAGATAGGATATAGTTAGGTCATGTTTTTAATGTACTCTGGTAATCTTTTGAAAAAATTGGTGTATTTAGACCTACACAAAATAAATTTGTGTGATTTGCCTGATTGTTATGAGAGGCAAGTCCCAATTCTTTCAAGGAGGGGAAGTCAGAAAAGGCTTAATCTCTGCAGCACTAGTGGTCCAAGTTTAGATGTAATAAACTTTATGGAGGAAAAGGCAAAGATCAATCTTTCTTTTTTATCTTGAATTCTATTTTAGTGTTTTCTCTGTTTGCATTTTGCAGTCTGTCCCTTCTTCTACTCCCATTTGCTACATCTTCTTGTTTTTATTATTTCTACCTTTTATCTTTTGGAGTTTCATCTTGTGACCCTGTGGCTTCAGACTGTGATACAAACTTCTTAGTGTATTATTTCCATAGTCTTCCCAGCATATTTTCCCAGCATTATTTCCTCTTGCTTCTCTTTTGCAACTTAACTCTCTAACCAGAAGAACAAATTGATTTTGGTCCTTTCTATGTGGTTTCTTGTTTCTGTGGGCCTTTGACTTATTTAAAAGACAAAGACAGGAAGAAGAAAGAAAGAAAGGAAGGAAGAAGAAAGAATGAGCGAATGAACAAAAGAAAGAAAGAAAGAAAGACCCAAACTAAACCAAAATAGAAACCAAAAACAACAAAAGTGTCAGTGCAAATAAAGGAATCGAGATGCTACAAAAGACCAGAGGAAACTGAGAAAAACAGTAGGAGCTTACTGGTTGCTATTGGACCAATTGCTAAAAATAAAATAAAACAAATCAGTTTTTTTTTTTAAATTATGTATTGAGTTCCTATTGAAAATCCACTTGGAACACCAGAAAACAGACCTTTGGGAAACATTAAATCTTCTAGGAATATGCTATCTCTTATTAAGTCAATTTTAACTCCACTTTAATAACTTAAATATCCAGGCCATTTTGAATGGCACGTATGATGGGTTATATGAGTGAAGGCCACTTTTTCTAATGAAATAAAATATTTTTTTAAACATTCTTAAACTAGGTCACATTCTTTCAGGAGACTGGCTAATAGTTAAAGGTTACTAATTTACGTTATCTCTTCATCGTCTTTTTTGTCTTTTCATGTTTTCTCTTCCTTTCAAATCTCTACCATTATACCAGCTCTCATTGTATTTTTTTTACAGTACAGAAAGTTTATTTGTAATTAAAATGTAGTTGAGTTTAGCACCTTTTCTTTTTCTTTTCAGTTTTTATGAGAATTTAAAACTCTTCAAGAGTTGTAATACTTATTTTAAGTTTTGCTTCTTTTACTTTTTTTCCTATTTCAGTCTCTAATCTCAAAATATCTGTTCTCTTCTTCACCGTTCGTTGTATTCTCCTTCTAGATTTCCATTACTAAGTTTACTTACTCTTTGCCTTACTGTGGCAGGGCAGGTCTCGCTAACGCAGGCCTCCATAACAACTGTTTCAGCACTGACTGAGTGGTTAAGTTAAATGTTGAAAGCTGATAGAGCCAGGCTAGAATGTAACAAGCCCACCAAGAGTTTGCCTAGGCCTTTCCTGGGCCTTGAAGCATGACAAGATTACGAAGGAATTCTTAACAGGACCCGTTTAGGATTAAAACAAGTTTATTGGGGGGTCTGAAGAAACTCCCCAGGCCTTCACAAACAAGTTTATTGGGGGTCTTCTGAAGGAACTCCATATTTAGCAGGAGACAAGATAAGGGTAATCACCCCAGCACTTGGACCCATTTAGATTAAGTAAATTTACTGAAGCTCTAGAGGAAAGCCTTCAGGACTCACATCTTAGTCACAGATTAGAAGAAGTTAATGACTTATGTCTTTAGATGAATGCTCACTTACACGTAGACATATAGCTTAGAAGGTATATTGGCTCTGGAAAACTTTGTAATTTTCAGTTGGTCTGGCAAAAATTTCCAGGCCTTCTCTCTGTACCTACTTATATAAATAAAAACTGTCTTCTTTCTCAGTTCATCTGCATCTCGTTATTGGGCCATGAAGAAAAGCAGCCCGATTCTCCTACCTCAGCCTCCCAAGTAGCTGGGATTACAGGTGTGTGCCACCACACCCAGCTAATTTTTGTATTTTTAGTAGAGATGGGGTTTTGCCATGTTGGCCAGGCTAGTCTCGAACTCCTGACCTCAGGCAATCCTCCTGCCTTGGCCTTCCAAAGTGCTGGGATTACAGGCATGAGCCACCACGCCTGGCCAGGTCATATGTTTTTTAAAGGTCTGTATTGTCAATAAAAACTGGAGGCAAATTGGAACTGAGAAACATTTTTCTTTTCTTTTTTAAGTTGCAGTGCTTGCAAGCAAGTCCTGTCTTCAGAAGAACTGGCTCACTTAATAAGAGACATAGCAGGAGTTTAAGGGGCATAATCTATAAAGTTGGTCAGTTTGCCGATTATTCTCATTGGTGGAAAAATAATTCTCCATCATAATTATATATTGGCAAGGGTCATAACACATTTGTATGACAGTGAAACAGCAAAATAACTAACATGAACTCTTTTTTTGTTTAAAGGACCTTCACCCATTCCTGCATGTAAGTTAGGACAATTTTAGAACACTAAGATAAAATGCAAAAACAGCAATCATGGAATTTTTGAAACTAACTGTACGACTAAGGGGGAATTATGTAAACAACTAATTATGTTTTGTTAAAGATTTACGGGAGCATTGTGACCTGACCAAGGACAAAGACATTCCCAACCTCTTCTGACTCTTGCTGGCATCCAGATCTCTGTGTTCCTCAGTCATCTCTTGATTCTAACTCCTGCGCATAATTTCCCCATATCCCCCCTCCCATAGAAACCCTCCAGCCAGCCTGAAAGACATTAGAAGGGTGGTACTTTAGAATGCTGGTTCTCCATCTTCTCGGTTTGCTGACTCTCCAATATAATCTGCTTTTCATCCCACCAACCCTTGTCTCTCATGTCTGGCTTTTCAGCTGCAAGCAGCCAAACCTGGGTTTGGTTACTTACATTTATGTGTATCAATATTGTAAAAATCAGCACTAAAATTGTTTCCATTAGGAAGCCAGCAATGTAAAGCATATGAACTTAAGCCTTTATTTTAGGTTGCAGTGCTAAATGGAACTATTATTCAATTTAAGAACATATAAAGCAAGTTGTCTGTCCCTCCCTCCCTCCTTCTCTCCTTCCCTTCCTTCTGGTTTTCTTTCCTTCTTTTTTCACCTCCTGCCATCCTCAGTTTATCTCATGATACAAGGTTTTTCTGACTGTCATGTTTAATGTCAAGTGCTCAGGCAAAATAGATGATTTGGCTAGGCTAACAAAGTATTCATTTTGCAGTATTTCCATTTTTTTAGTGCATTTTCTTATGATTTTGAGGAAATTTTGCTTTCTCTCCACATTTCTATTTTGTTCCTTGTATTGTTAGTGCTTTTCCTTTTCTTTAATTTTGTTTCAAAATAATCAAAATTATTCTGTTGATTATTTTTAAATACTTTTCATTTCATTAATTTTTGCCTAATAAAAGTAGGACATTTTTATTATTGTGTACTACTCTTGAGATTTTTCCTTTTTTAATCATCTTGAGCTCATGTTTAGTTCATCAATTTTTATTAATGAATAATTTCTATTAAAACCATTTACCATAATAATTTCTCTCTAAATGATATTTTGGTTGTATCCTAAGTGTTTTGATAAGTAATGATTTTATACTCACTTATTTCTATATATTCTGTAATTTCTCTCACAATTTTGTTTGTAACCTGTGGATTATTTGGATGTATGCTTTTTTGTTTCTAAATATGTATATGTTAATATTTTTTGTTATTTATTTCTGTTTTGTTGCCTTGTGCTCAGAAAATATGATTTATATTATGTTGAAGTGTACTTTGAAATTAGTTGAGGCTTGCTCTAGTTGAAGGAATTGGTGGTCAAGGTAATCTTTTCCATCTGTGCTTGCTTGGTGGAATGTTCAGTGTACATTACTAGATAAAGCTTTCTAAAATTATGTCAAAGCCTCTCTAGCCTTACTAATTTTTGTCTGTTTATTTATTTTATGAGAGAAATATTATTAAAATATCTTTATTTAGTTACAGATGTCTTTGCTATTTTGTCAGTTTTTGTTTTATGTATTTCAAAGGCTATGCTATAAGCTCACAACTTTCACTTATATTTTATCTGATATTTGCACAATTATATCAAGTTTTGTTTTGTTGTTAATTGCCTGGTTTTTTTTTTTTTTGAGACAGAATTTCGCTCTTGTCACTTAGGCTGGAGTGCAATGGTGCAATCTTGGCTCACTGCAACCTCTGCCTCCTAGGTTCAAGTGACTCTCCAGCCTCAGCCTCTCAAGTAGCTGGGATGACAAGCATGTGCCACCATGCCTGGCTAATTTTGTATTTTTAGTAGAGACAGGGTTTCACCATGTTGGCCAGGTGGGTCTCGAACTCCTGACCTCAAGTGATCTACCCGCTTTGGCCTCCCAAAGCGCTGGAATTACAGGCATGAGCCACTGCACCTGGCCAATTGCCTGGTATGTTTTAAAATTCCTTCATTTAAATTTTTCTGTGTGTCACCTTATTTTAGGTATATTTCTTAATAGAGTTTAGCTATTTTTCTTATTTTTTTATAGGAAAATAGAAAAATTAAAAAAATTTAATTCTTTTAATTACATCTGAGAGCTTCTAGCTTTTAATCTGGGAGTTTAATCTACTATTGTATAATATTGTGCTAAGCAACATATTTAGACTTTTTTTTAACCCTCATTTAAAAAAATTTGCTTTTTCACGCCTGTAATCCCAGCACTTTGGGAGGCCGAGGCGGGCGGATCACGAGGTCAGGAGATCAAGACCATCCCGGCTAAAACGGTGAAACCCCATCTCTACTAAAAATACAAAAAATTAGCCGGGCGTAGTGGCGGGCGCCTGTAGTCCCAGCTACTTGGGAGGCTGAGGCAGGAGAATGGCGTGAACCCGGGAGGCGGAGCTTGCAGTGAGCCGAGATCCCGCCACTGCACTCCAGCCTGGGCGACAGAGCGAGACTCCGTCTCAAAAAAAAAAAAAATTTGCTTTTTATTTGCTTTCTCTTTTTCTTTTTTCTTGCTTTCTTGTGGACTAATATAGTTTTCTTTCTTCTTTTTATTTTCCCTATGGGTTCAGAAGATGTATGTCACATTTCTATTATATTAATAGTTGTCTTTTATTTTTGCCATAAATATCCAAATGTATATATTTAATAAGATGAAAAGTTAATCAGTACATCTGACCTTTTGTCAAATTATCTTAGTTCATAATCATTAGCCTTGTCTCTAAGGTTTTTTTCCCTAATGCTTTAGGTCTACTCATTTTAAAGCACACTAATATATTTCTCCTTCACTCTCTCCTTCTCCTTCTTTTCTTCCTGCCTTTTTTTTTTTTTTTTGACAGAGTCTTGCTCCTAGGCTGGAGTGCGGTGGCATGATCATGGCTTACTGCTGCTTTGACCTCCCAGGCTCGAGCAATCCTCCCACCTCAGCCTACTGAGTAGCTGTGACTACAGGCATGCACCACCACACTCACCTGATGTTTGTATTTTTTGTAGAGACAGGATTTCACCATGGTGCCCAGCCTGGTCTCCAACTCCTGAGCTCAAGCAATCCACCTGCCCTGGCCTCCCAAAGTGCAGGGCTTATAGGTGTGAACCACTGTGCTCAGACTCTTTCTGCTTTTCCTTCTCCTTCTTCTCTTCCTTCTCTTTTTTTTCTTTATAGTCAACATTTTAGATTTACTGTCATGTTTTGTTGATTTGTTTTCTTACATGTTTCTTGGTTCTAACTTCTTTTTGAGTTTTTACTCAAAAGTAAACTCCCTGAAGTATGTCCCTTTGATAATTCTTTCATTGGGGACCTGTGTTTAATGAGTTTCTATGTTCTTGAATATACAAAATGACTTCATTTCAGTCTCACTCATAAATGATAATTTTGCTGATTGTATCTTATGGGTTTATAGTAATTTTCCTTCAGTCTTTTGATGATATTGTTCTGTTGTATTTTTAACATTTTTTTATTTTTAATTTTTATGGGTATATAGTAGGTGCAAGTAGGTACATGAAATATTTTGGTACACTCATACAATGTGTAATAATGTGTAGTAATCACATCAGGGTTAACTGAATATCACCTTAAGCATTTATCATTTCTTTGTGTTACAAACTTGCAATTATATTCTTTTAATTGTTTAAAAATGTACAATAAATTTCCTTTGACTATAGTCACCCTGTTGTGCTATCAAATATTAGATCTTATCCATTCTATCTAACTATTTTTGTACCTATTAACCATTCCCAATTTTTCTCTCTCCTGACTACCCTCCCCAGGCTCTGGTAACCATCATTCTACTCTCTATCTCCATGAGTTCAATGTTTTAATTTTTAGTTCCCACAAATGAGTATGGACATGTGAAGTCTGTGGTTCTATGCCTGGCTTATTTCACTTAACATAATGACCTTCATTTCCATCTAGGTTGTTGCAAATGATAGGATCTCATTCTTGTTTGGATTTCATTCTTGTTCTGTTGTATTCTGGCACATATTATTGCTAATGAGATGTCTAGTGTTAAAATGATTTTTTGCAGGTGATCTGCTTCTCTGGTTGTCTTTATGATTTGCTTTTTAATGTCTGTTTGTCAGCTTACTACGATGAGTTTTGGCACATGTAAGTGTGTGTGTGTGTATATATCTGTCTGTGTGTTTTAAAGTTATCTAATTTCAGCTTTCAGTGGACCATTATGATCTGAGGATTTATGTCTCTTTTCTTCTGGAATGTTATTAATTATTACATTTAAAATTATTACCTGACATTTATTCTTTTAATTTTCTCTTATCAAATTCCATTACACCTGACCTCATTCTATTTACAGCTCTTCTTTTTCATATTTTCAATATCTTCTGTGTATTATTTTGAGCTGAGATTTTCAATATTTTCCATGTACTATTTTGAACTGAGATTTCCTCAGTTCTGTCTTCCAGTTTACTCTTTTAAACTGTGATTAATAATATTTAAATATTATTTACATATAGTTACATTAGAATTTATATATTATCTAATCATTGTTTCAATTCTAATAACTTTCTTATTTTCAAGGTTTCAGCTTGGTTCTTTTTTAAATCTGCCTGTTCTTTCTTCAAACTATCTCTCAAATATATATACATATATATATATATATATATATTTTTTAATCTTTTTAGAAAGGATAGTCTTTCTTTTATTCCCCAATAGGTAAGCCACAACCTATCAGAACTCCAGCCTTTCGTGGCCTTTTCATGCTATACTAGCTGTCATATGCCGTATCAGCTGCCTTACTGTTTAAAATTTTATTATCTCCTTCACCTCCTCCATTTAGGCATTTCTTCCCTCCTATCTTATCAAGGTTACTTATGACATTCATTTTGCAAAATTCCTTGTCAGTTCTTACTCCAAAAATTTATTGCTTAGCTGTTTTTGATGCTGTTGTTTATTTTTTCCATATTGAAATACTATCTTCTCTTGAGTGCTGCGAGACCCCCCCTTTACTGGTTCTCCTTCTTTCTCCCTGCTCACTACTTCTCTATATGCATAGTTAGATTTTTCTCATTCTAAACTTCTAAAACTGATTAATCCTTACCCCTTCATTTTTACATATACCTTTGATTATCTAATTTAGTCCAATCGTCTTAAATGTTACCTATATGCTGATTACTGTCTAATTTATTTCCCACCCAATCTCTCCCTAAATCTTCAGACTCAAATATTTAATTGCCTTTTGATATAGAGTATATGCTTGGATGGGGGGCAGAATGTTTAGTGGGATTTTTCTTGTTACTCCCAAATTGACAAGTAGGATCACAAAGCTGAGGAAAAAGAGGTTATAACTTCCCATTACCCTCCTCAGCAAACTGAGGTGAGACAAGCCCTCAGGAGGGATTGCAGCATTGCCAACTCCATAATTAAAAGGGAAAGGATTCTTGAGGCTGTGCAGTGCAGAGGTGCTGCTTGCCGGCCTTGACATGATGGCCAAATTAGCTCTCCTATCTCAAGTGTCACCCTTTTTCCAAGACAACATAAGCAAACAACTGTAAAGGGCAGGAGCTTTAAGAGTCTTTAGAGTTGTGAGTAGTTAACAAAGGAATGGTGTTGTAGGGGAGGAAGAATAGTGCTTTCTTTTTCTGAAGGCAAATGAGTAGCACTTTGAGATTTGCTTACAGTGATTGGGGGTATCTGTGAGAAAGGATGTGTGGCAACCCATCTCCTGGTTGAATAGTGGATTTGTTGATTTTTTTTGTGCCTATCTGAATGAAGGAAAATAAAATTGGAGAGAGACAGTAGTGCAGAGTGTCCTTGTTCTGTGATAAGGATTCTTGAGCCTCCTGAGGGTTCAGTGGGCAGTGCAAAATACATCCTGGCTTGAGCCTTCTTGCTAGTATGTCACTCAAGTGGGTGGCCTACTTGGTAAGGGCATCTCTGCAGTACAAGCAATGAAGTGTATTGCTCGAGAGGGAGTTGAGGGGCTCTGGAATTGGCAAGACTAGAGTCAGTACTCCCACATCAGGGACTAGGCATGGTCGAGTTCTTGTATGTTCCTCCAAAGAACTGGAATATGTATTGTGCAAGACATTTGGGTGTCTGCTCTAGATGACATCAAAGGACAGTCAGTCTCAGGTTCTCAGAGAAAAGAACCTACAACTAACAGAGGAAGGAGATTGCATGCCCCAAATCCATCCTCTCAGCCTCAACAGTGGGAATTATAACAACGGTGGGAATTATAGCAACAAGGAGAGTGGACAGGAAGGGGAAGCACATTGTATTTCTCCTCCCCATTCTGAGTCAGTGTGCCTGGGACGGGCCATTAGGAGAGGAGAGGGTTTTAAAGGGGATGGCTTAAGCATTTTAAATAATTTAGCATAACTAGAAAATTATGGGTTCTAAGACATCATTAAATGATAGGAAGGAGACACATGGCAGAGAACATGCTTGAAGCTTGCTAAGGTCAGATTATTTGATTAATTAGTCCTAAATGTTCCAGGCATCTAGAACCAAGCATACACAAAACTGAACTCACAATAGCATCCTATAAATCTGCTCTTCTCCACTACCTAAATCAATAAATAGTTTCATTTGTCAAGTTTCTTAGACCCCAAATCTAGGAGTAACCCTTGGTGTCTTCTTTTTCCCTTAAAATCACATTCAGTCGAACAGCAGGCCCTGTTGGCTTTGCCCCCAAAATAAATAAAATCTGAAGACCTTCCTCCCACTTCCACTCTGATCACTCTCTCCTTGCCACACTCACCTTTAGTTTCAGGCCTCTTAACTGGTCTTCCTACTTGCCCTCTTGAGCCCTCACTCTCACCCCAGTTAATCCTCCACAATAATAGAGTGATCTTTTAAAATTATAAAGTAGACCCTATCATTTCCCTGTTCAAGCCCTTCAGTTACTTCTCATGATGCCTAGAATGAAATCTGCAATTTTTTATTAAGGACTGCAGGGCCCGACATAATCTGGCTTTTGTCGCTCTGGCCCTACCTCCTGCTCTGCCTCCTTCTTTCTAGCCTGGCTGGCTGTTTTGCACCTCCATAGCAGGCCTGTGCATGTTGTACTTGTTCCTTTTGCCTGAAGCACACTCCCCCTTCTATACCATCTTTCTTTAGTCTGTTACTCTTCTTATTTTTCTACATGAATTTATCTGCCTGACATTTAGTATATGTTTACTTGGCATTATTTGCCTGTTTTATCTCAACATATAAACTCCTTAAGTGCAAGGACTTTGTCTTGCTCATGGCTATATTTCCAGTGCTTAGGATAATGCCTGGCCTACAATAGGCCAATATATATTTGTTGAATACATATATTTTTAAAATGCATTAATATCTTTGAAGACTTTTTCTTTTTTTTCCTTTAGTGTTTGACTTGTTCAATGCTGTTAGGTTTCTTATTTTAGTCTTCTTCAGATTGCTCTAGTTATATTTCTCTGGGTTGGAATTCTCCAATTTGTTGGGACTTGTGAGGTATCACTCACATGGTGCTGGATTTTCTCATAGATTTCATAACTTTTAGTAGTTTCTTATTCCTTGGGGGCTATCTTTCATGGATATTCTATGATATAAATACCCTGGGTTGTGGATCCCTTCTTGGTGGCTATTGTCCTAACTTCCTGGGTACACTGCCTCTGAACCAGATCTCAGCTGTTTTAACTTGGAATATTATGCACACTGCATGGGTAGCACACCTCCAGCAGGGCTCTGCACCCTGGACAGATCTAACTCTGGACCTGTGTGGGTGGCTTTGTTTTCATGCCTGGGGCAGATGGGTGAAGATATTTTGGCTTCTCCGCATGGGGAGGCAGTGTGTTTTCTGCTCCTGGCTTTACTCCAAGTGGTGGAATTCCAGTTTTCTACATGTTGTATCTTGAGGCTTTGTCCACCATCTAGGATCAGGTGTTGAAACCCTACCTTTGTTCCTGAGGCAAAGCTGCTACCTCTTTTCCTCATCCCCTCACCATTCCTCCCAAGAGCTTAACTTTAGCTTTCCTTTCTTTATATGTGTCCCTATATTCCATTTCTGCTCCTTGGAAATCACTCTTACCCTCCTTCTTTATGCTTAGGTATGACTGTGTATTTTTCATTTAAAAATATTTCCAGCCAAGACTTAGCCAGCCAAAAATGAGGTGTTATAACCCCTAGTTACTTTGGCATTCCTTTTTTCTTTCTCCCTACCCCTCGGGTATTGGATTTTTACGTTATTTCCCTGCCCATCCTCTTTGATGACTCCTCTGAAAAGGACACTATGCATTCAATTTGGGTTCTGCCTTGTAATTTCTAGCTGTGAGACCAATAATCCCTTCTCCTGAACTTTGGTGGGCCTTGGTCTCTGTTCCCAATTATATGGCCCATGTGCAAACATAGACATCTGGAATTTCCAGCTTCATTTCTGGGTCTCAACCACTGAGTATGTATTTTCATCTGTGCAGTGAGAATACTTAGCTGATCAGCCTCTTTGCTCAGG
Organism: Homo sapiens; assembly: GCF_000001405.40. NCBI lineage: Eukaryota > Metazoa > Chordata > Mammalia > Primates > Hominidae > Homo > Homo sapiens. The sequence continues at coordinate 3,753,044 of NT_113891.3, forward strand.
CTTCAGAAAGGTATGTGGATAGGGATTTTGGAGAGACACTCACTTATAATTCTTTGTTGACAGTTCCATTTCTCTTCACTCAAATACCAATGTCTTTGTCCTAACATTATTGAAATTAGTAAAGTGTTGTTATTATGAAAACTATATCCAGAGTGTGTTTAGAAGGAACTGGAGGAGGATATATAAGCATATTTGAAATCTGTTAGAATAACATAGATGTCTTTCATGTTTAAAAATTGGAAAATTTTACCTACTATCTGGATTAAGTGAGATGCTTTGACAACTCTAGATGTGAATTCTTGCATGAAGAGGTTGGCTGGAGCTGGGCAGCAGCTACCTTCTTCAGACTATGCGTGTCCTCCCAGTTTAACACAGTTCCCAGGAGACTCACCTCAACTCGCTCATTTACTGACCTGCCTGGGCTCTTTTGGCATCTGCGTTTTTAACCTTGACAGGAACTTTGGGTTTTAATATTAATGTGATTTAATTTCAGGATGAGGAATCTCAGCTGATATTGGGTTTGCTTAAATCATTTGTAACTGAGATATGAGAACCAGATTTGCATTTTGGAAAACTAGGACACAGTGTGAAAGGTGCTTTCACGAATTCTATATTAAATATCATCATGGTCGACGCTTGATCTGGTTTAAAAATTGAGTCACTGTTGGTATGTGTTACCTTGGAAGTTGGGTTTAGAACTAAAATAATGGGGCTGGGCGTGGTGGTTCACACCTGTAAACCCAGCACTTTGGGAGGCCAACGCGGGAGGATCACTTGAGGTCAGGAGTTCAAGAACAGCCTGGCCAAATGAGGAAACCCTGTCTCTACTAAAAATACAATAATTAGCTGGGCATGGTGGCTTGCACTTGTATTGCTAGCCACTTGGGAGGCTCAGGCAGGAGAATTGCTTGGACTCGGCAGGTGGAGGTTGCAGTGAGCCTAGATCACGCCACTGCACTCCAGCCTGTGTGACAGAGTGAGACTCTGTCTCAAAACAAAACAAAACAAAAAAACCTAAATAATGGGAAATATTACAGTTATGAATCAAAAAGTTTGTCTTGCAGTCCTAATCTGGAGGACTTTGGGTAATGTAGAAGCAAATGAATATGAGAAATATGAGTCTCAATCTTTTGGATACTTAGAAGTAGAAACATCTAACATAAATCTCCACATATGACCAGCTGAGAAATAAAGAACTTACTTGCAGTTCTCTGCGAAATTACTAAAAAATAAGCAAAAAGAAATCCATTTAATTTTTCTCAAATGGAGAAAACATAGCATTATCTAACATATTTTGTTGGAGTCTGTGAGGGGAGGACTTGTGTGGGCAAAGAAGGAAGCATTCCAAACCGCCCTATAGATTAGTTTTAGATTAGTTTTACAATGCAAAACTAGATATAAGATTAGGCAGTGATGATGTGATGAAATCAAAGGTAGGGTTTCCTTAAAGGCCCTCTTCATTTACTGGACCCAACAGCTTTGGGTATAGTCTCGGGTAGAGACTGCCATATCTTTCTGTTTCCTTTGAATAGCATTATAATGTTTGAGAGAACACTGAAAGCCTCTCTCCATTTAAACATCATTATGGATTTCATCTCTCAATAATTCTGCTTACGTGTTATTTCATAATATTGTTCAGTTTATTACTGATGAATCCTAGCTTAGTCCCTCTTTTAATTAGTGTTTAAAAAGATTCTCTGTAATATAGACCATGTAGGGTAATAAGGAAGCAAGGGAATAATGGGAACCACAAATCACTTGGACAGAAGTGAAGTGAAGGGGACCAAAGAGAACCAAAGTAGAAAAAGACATGTAATACTTACTTATAGGTGCTGCCAGCTGACCTAAAAAAATTAGATATCAGTGAAGATTTGTTTGAAAGGAGCAAGTTTCCTTCTAGGGAGAGATATTTGTGTTGGGGAGAATCTTGGTAGTCACACAGCTCTGGATGACAATGGCTAATTCTCTGTTAAAAGCTCCAATTCTTTATGATTGCATTCTTGGGTAAGTATTTGGGTCAGTTTCTTATCTCTTACAAAGGGGTTAGTGGAGTGATTCTAAGGATTAAATGGGATAATGTAATTAAAGCACCTATATAATTCTATAGGAGGTGCAAAGTACATATGTGTTTGAAATCATGTAAATGTAAGCTTCCTTCTCAGGGAGAAGCTAGATTAGCAGAGGGCAGAGGAAACTGGGAGCTTTGAGTCAGGTAGCTGCACACAGAGTTAGAAATGAGTAGGGTAGGCCAGGCGCCTTGGCTCACACCTGTAATCCCAGCACTTTGGGAGGTCGAGGCAGGCGGATCACGAGGTCAGGAGATCAAGACCATCCTGGCGAACACTGTGATGTTCTAAAAATACAAAAAAATTTCTCCTCCCTATTCTGAGTCAGTGTGCCTGAGACTGGCCACTAGGAGAGGAGAGGGTTTTAAGAGGGGTTGGCCTGAGTGTTTTTAATAATTTAACATGATTAGAAAATTATGGTATGCTACCAGGCTACAGTAAGCAAAACAGTATGGCACTAGTAGGAAATAGACACATAGATCAATGCAACAGAATAGAGAGCCCAGAAATAAGGCCACATGACTACAACTATCTGATCTTTAACAAAGCTGAGAAAAACAAGCAATGGGGAAAGGGCTTCCTATTCAATAAACGATACTGGGATAACTGGCCAGCCATATGCAGAAGATTGAAGCTGGACTCCTTCCTTACACCACATACGAAAATTAACTCAAGATGGTTTAAAGATTTAAGTGTAAAACCCAAAGCTATAAAAACCCTGGAAGACCACCTAGGCAATACCATTCTGGACATAGGAATGGGCAAAAATTTCATGATGAAGACAACAAAAGCAACTGTAACAAAAGCAAAAATTAACAGATGGGATCTAATTGAACTAAAGAGCTTCTGCCCAGCAAAAGAAACTGTCAACAGAGTAAATAGGCAACCTACAGAATGGGAGAAAGTTTTTGCAAACTATGCATCTGGCAAAGGTCTAATATCCAGCGCTTGTAAGGAACTTAAACAAATTTACAAGACAAAAACAATCCCATTAAAAAGTTGGCAAAAAAAGGGAATAGGCACTTTTCAAAAGAAGACGTACATGCAGCTCACAAACATATGAAGAAAAGCTCAACATCACTGATTGTTAGAGAAATGCAAGTCAAAACCACAATGAGATACCATCTCGCACCAGGCAGAATGGCCATTATCAAAATGTCAGAAAATAACAGATACTGGGGAGGCTGTGGAGAAAAAGGAACAGTTTTACCTTGTTGGTGGCAACGTAAATTAGTTCAACCATTGTGGGAAACAGTGTGGCAATTCCTCAAAGACCCCAAAACGGAGCTACCATTCGACCCAGCAATCCCATTTCTGGCTATATGCCCAAAGTAATAAAAATTGTTCTATCATAAAGAAACACACGTGTGTTTATTGCAGCACTATTCACAGTAACAATGACATGGAATCAACCTAAATGCCCGTCAACGATAGACTGGATAAATAAAATGTACATATACACCATGTAATACCATGCAGCCATAAAAAGGAACAAGATCATGTCCTTTGCAGGAACATGGATGGAGCTGGAGGGCGTTATCCTTAGCAAACTAATGCAGGAAGAGAGAACCAAATACCACATGTTCTCACTTACAAATGGGAGATAAATGATGAGAACACATGGACACAGAAGGAAACAACAGGCACTGGGGCTTATTGAAGGGTGGAGGGTGAGAGGACGTAGACAGTCAGGAAAAATAACTAAGGGGTTCTAGGCTTAATACCTGGGTGATGAAATAATCTGTACAACAAACCTGCATGACACAAGTTTACCTATATAACAAACTGCACATGTATCCCTGAACTTAAAACTTAAATAAAAATAAAGAAAGCAAGTTGATACTACTTATCATAATATTTCCTTACAAGTAAATAAAGGAAAGCTAAAAAAAGCCAACCAAAGACATAATGAAATATTATTTGGCCATAAAAAGAACTGAAGTACTGCTGCATATTACCATGTGGATGAACCTGGTGAACCTTATGCTAAATGGAAGAAGCCAGGCACAAAAGACCTCCTATTGTTTGATTCCATTTATATGAAATGTCCAGAACAGCTGAATCTATAGAGACAGAAAGAAGATTAGTGGTTGCCTGGGGCTATGGTGTGGAGAGGGTTTTGGGTTGGGGGATAGTGGGAAGTGATTGCTAAACAGAGTTTTTCTGGGGGGTGATGAGAATGTTCTAAAATTCATTGTGGTGATGGTTGCACAACCCAGTGAATATACTAAAAAGCATTAAATTCCACACTTTAAATGAGTGAATTGTGTCATATGTGAATATCATCTCAATAAAGCTGTTATTTACAAAGATAAAAAAGATAAAATTATGGGTTCTAATGCATCATTAAGGGACAGAGAGGAGATATTTTCCAGAAAACATGCTTGAAGCCTGCTAAGGTCAGATTATTTAATTAATTAGTCCTAAATATCCCAGGCATCTAGAACCTAACATATGCAAAACTGAACTCACAATAGCATCCTATAAATCTGCTCTTCTCCGCTACCTAAATGAATAAATAGTCTCATTCGTCAAGTTTCTTAGACCCCAAATCTAGGAGTAACCCTTGGTGTCTTCTTTTTCCCTTAAAATCACATTCAGTCGAACAGCAGGCCCTGTTGGCTTTGCCCCCAAAATAAATAAAATCTGAAGACCTTCTTCCCACTTCCACTCTGATCACTCTCTCCTTGCCACACTCACCTTAATTTCAGGCCTCTTAACTGGTCTTCCTACTTGCCCTCTTGAGCCCTCACTCTCACCCCAGTTAATCCTCCACAATAATAGAGTGATCTTTTAAAATTATAAAGTGGGCCCTATCATTTCCCTGTTCAAGCCCTTCAGTTGCCTCTCATGACACCTAGAATGAAATCTGCAATTTTTTATTAAGGACTGCAGGGCCCGACATAATCTGGCTCTTGTCGCTCTGGCCCTACCTCCTGCTCTGCCTCCTTCTTTCTAGCCTGGCTGGCTGTTTTGCACCTCCATAGAAGGCCTGTGCATGTTGTACTTGTTCCTTTTGCCTGAAGCACACTCCCCCTTCTATACCATCTTTCTTTAGTCTGTTACTCTTCTTATTTTTCTACATGAATTTATCTGCCTGACATTTAGTATATGTTTACTTGGCATTATTTGCCTGTTTTATCTCAACATATAAACTCCTTAAGTGCAAGGACTTTGTCTTGCTCATGGCTATATTTTCAGTGCTTAGGATAATGCCTGGCCTACAATAGGCCAATATATATTTGTTGAATACATATATTTTTAAAATGCATTAATATCTTTGAAGACTTTTTCTTTTTTTTCCTTTAGTGTTTGACTTGTTCAGTGCTGTTAGGTTCCCTATTTTAGTCTTCTTCAGATTGCTCTAGTTATATTTCTCTGGGTTGGAATTCTCCAATTTGTTGGGGCTTGTGAGGTATCACTCACCACTCACATGGTGCTGGATTTTCTCATAGATTTCATAACTTTTAGTAGTTTCTTATTCCTTGGGGGCTATCTTTCATGGATATTCTATGATATAAATACCCTGGGTTGTGGCTCTCTTCTTGGTGGCTATTGTCCTAACTTCCTGGGTACACTGCCACTTAACCAGATCTCAGCTGTTTTGACTTGGAATATTATGCACATTGCATGGGTAGCACACCTCCAGCAGGGCTCTGCACCCTGGACAGATCTAACTCTGGACCTGTGTGGGTGGCTCTGTTTTCATGCCTGGGGCAGATGGGTGAAGATATTTTGGCTTCTGTGCATGGGGAGGCAGTATATTTTCTGCTACTGGCTTTACTCAGAGGGGCCTAATTTCAGTTTTCCGCATGTTGTATCTTGAGGCTTTTGCTGTCATTTGGGAGCAGATGTTGAAACCCTACCTTTGTTCCTGAGGCAAAGCTGTCATCTCTATTTTTTCATCCCCTCACTGTTCCCACCAAGAGCTTAACTTTAGCTTCTTCTTGCAATGTGTTCCTATATTCAATTTCTGCTCCTTGGAAATCTTACCCACCTTTTTTATGCTTAAGCTTGGCTGTATATTTTTCATTTATAGATATTGCCAGGTAACACTTTTTAAACTTTTATTTTAAATTCAGGGACACATGTGCAAGGTTGTTATATAGGTAAACTTGTGTCATGGGGGTTTGTTGTACAGATTATTTTTCTACCCAGATATTAAATCTAGTTATTTTTCCTGATCCTCTCCCGCTCCCACCCTCCACCCTCTGACAGGCCCCAGTGTCTATTTTTCCCCTCTGTGTGTCCATGTGTTCTCATCATTTAGCTCCCGTTTATAAATAAGAACATGTGGTATCTGGTTTTCTGTTCCTGCATTAGTTTGCTAGGGGTAATGGCCTCTAGATCCATCCGTGTTCCAGCAAAGGACATGATCTCATTCTTTTTTTGGCTGCGTAGTATTCCATGGTGTATATGTATCACATTTTCTTTATTCAGTCTACCATTGATGGGCATTTAGGTTGATTCCATGTATTTGCTATTGTGAATAGTTCTGTGTTTAACATAACTGTGCATGTGTCTTTATGATAGAATGATTTATATTCCTTTGAGTCTATACCCAGTAATGGGATTGGCCAGCCAACACTTAGCTATCCAAAAAGCAGGTGGTATAATCCCTAGTTACTTTTGCGTGCTTTTTTTCATCCCCTCTACTAGGATGATATATAGGATCCAAGACCCTATATATCTATTGGGTCTTGGATTTTTACATCTTTTTCCTGCCCATACTCTCTGATGACTTCTCTGAAAAGGACACTATGCCTTCAATTTGGATTTTGGCTTGTAATTTCTAGCTGTGAGACCAGTAATCCCTTCTCCTGACCTCAGGTGGGCATTGGTCCCTGTGCCCAATTATAGGGCCTATTCCCAAACATGGGCATATGGATTTTGCAGCCTCATCTCTGGGTCGGAACCATTGTCTCTGTATTTTTATCTGTGCCATGAGAATACTTAGCCGATCAGCCTCTTTGCTCAGGCTTCAGAAAGATGTGTGGATGAGGACTTTGGAGAGACACTGGCTAATTCTGTGTTAATAGCTCCAATTCTCCTCTCTCAAATACCAATGCCTTTGTCCTAACATTATTGAAATGAGTAAAATGTTATTATGAAAACTGTATCCAGAGTGTGTTTAGATGGAACTAGAGGGGAGTATGTAAGTATGTTTGCAATCTGTTAGAGTAACCCAGATGTCTGTCATGTTTAAAACTTGGAAAATTTTACCTACTATCTGGATTAAGTGAGATGCTTTGGCAACTCTGAATCTGAATTCTTGCATGAAGAGGTTGGCTGGAGCAGGCAGCAGCTACCCTCTTCAGACTATATGTGTCCTCCCAGTTTTACACAGTTCCCAGGAGATTCACCTCATCTCACTCATTTACTGACCTGCCTGGGCTCTTTTGGCATCTGCATTTTTAACCTTGACAGGAACTTTGGTTTTTAATATTAGTGTGATTTAATTTCAGGCTGAGGAATCCCAGCGATGTTAGGTTTGCTTAAATCATTTGTAACTGAGATATGAGAACCAAATTTGCATTTTGGAAAGGTAGGACATAGTGTGAAAGGCGGTTTCACGAATTCTATATTAAATATCATCATTGTTAGTGCTTGACCTGGTTTAAATATTGAGTCACTGTTGGTATGTGTTACCTTGGAAGCTGAGTTTAGAACTAAAATAATGGGAAATACTACAGTTACGAATCAAAAAGGTTGACTTGCAGTCCTAATCTTGAAGACTTTGGGTAATGTAGAAGCAAATGAATATGAGAAATATGAGGCACTTAGAAATAGAAATAACTAAGATAAGAAAAGTCCCCACATATGACCAGCTGAGAAGTAGAGTACTTACTTGCGGTTCTCTGTGAAATTACTGAAAAATAAGCAAACAGAAATCCATTTAATTTTTCTCAAATAGAAAACACATAGTATTATCTAATATATTTTGCTGGAGTCTGTGAGGGGAGGACTTGGGTGGGCAGTGAAGGAGGTATTCCAAACCACCCTATAGATTATTTGGTTTTAGATTAGTTTTATAATGCAAAACTAGATGTAAGATTTAGCAGTGATGATGTAATGACGAAGTCAAAGGTAGAGTTTCCTTAAAGGCCCTCTCCACTTATTGGACCTGAACAGCTTTGGGCATAGTGTTGGGAAAAGACCACTGGATCCTTGCACTATAATGTTTGAAAGAACACTGAAGGTTTCTCTCCATTTAGACATCATTTTGGATTTCATCTCTCTCTCTCTTTCTCTCTCCACCCCCCTGAAAATTCCTCCTACTTGTTATTTCATAGTATTGTTCAGTTTATTGTTGATGAATGCTAGCTTAGTCCCACTTTTAATTAGTATTTTAAAAAAATTATAGGGCAAGCAGGGTAATAAGGAAGCAAGAGAAGAATGGGAAACTCAAATCACTTTGACAGAAGTGAAATGAAGGGGACCATAGAGAACCAAAGAAGAAAAAGAGATGTTATACTTACTTATGGGTGCCATGGGTGGACCTAAAAACCAAATTAGATATTGGTGAAGATTTCTTTGAAAGAAACAAGGTTCCCTCTAGGGAGGTATATTTGTGTAGGGGAGAAACTTGGACACCTTTCTGGGTCTAAATTATGATTCTATGACTATGTATTCTTGAGTAAGTATTTGGCTCAGTTTCTTATCTCTTACAAAGGGATTGGTGGAATTATTCTAAGGATTAAATGAGGTAATGTAATTAAAGCACTTAAATAGTTCTAGAGGAGATACAAAGTAAATATATGTTTGAAATTATGTAAATATAACTTCTTTCTCAGGGAGAAGCTGGATGAGCAGAAGGCAGAGGAAACTGGAAGCTTTGAGTCAGGTAGCTGCACACAGAGTTAGAAATGAGCAGGGTAGAGACAGGTCTCTAAGCCTTGCAGGGAACAACAAGAACAACAACAGAAAAGAGTAGAAAAAGAAATGGAACTTACCGCGGGGTGCTGAAGGTGGACCAGCTGAAAAACAGAGAGGTATCTTAGCAACTGTTTTTTCTCCCATGATATTTTCCTTTCTATGTAGAGAGTTTCTTCTTGGTAGGTCATTATAACAATAGGGAAAACTTTCCCTTTGGTATTCATTTATTTTTAATATGAATCAGCAGAATGTGAACTTTCAAAAAATCATTAATAACTTCATGGAATTTTGATGATAGGAAAGTAAGTGGTTAAAGTAGTATGCACCCCAAGCCTGGAAATCTTAGCTGTACTAGGGAAAGGAGAGATTCCAGAATCCTACGGTGGTGAAAACATGGACATACTGATGGCAAGTGAAATGAATCCAGCTTGCAACTAGACCAGAAACAATTATCTCCTTTTTCTTTCCCCATTGCTCAAATTGTCTTTCAGTTTGTTAAGTCCCTTGTAATATATCATTTTGACCTGCTGATAAACTTTCTCCCCTGCCCTTTATTTTTTAATAAAATAGTAAGTTTGATTTTTTCCATAGAGTTATTTAAAAGGTGAGAGAATGATGTGTCACATGAAAGCAAAACACGGAGGAAATAACAACTTAAAGTTGTTATTTAAAGTTTAGGCTTAAATCCTCTAAAGTCTCTAAAAGGTGATACAAATTTTTCTTAGATGTTTTGGAATTTAAATGTGGAAAAAAGAGACCAGATATGGCAGGAGGTTCAAATGAAAAAGGGTTACAGAAACTTCTTATCTACTCCTTTCTCTCCTACCATTTTTTCCCTTTTTAAGGTAGTCTCTTGTTGATGGGCTTTGAAATTTTGTAAAATTTTTTTCTCTGCTCTGACTTATCTCTTCCCTTTTTGCAGTGACTGGTAACTGCTTGAAATCCTGCAGGGGATTGTAAATTGATAGTCTTAAAACTTTCCAGTACATCATGAATAATGCAGAGAGGTTTTGATAATGAGACAGCAAGAGGCCAAGATATATCTCAAGCCCTTTGTATCCCAATATGGGCAGATAAAGACTCTTGGACTCCACTAGAGACCAACTGAGTCCTAAAGGAGAGAATTCAATGAACACATAGACTTACTGATTGTGTGAGGATGCGATCTGACTGAAAAACAAGCAAAGATACTTTTTGTTACCCCTTTCTTGTTTCTTTTCCTACTCATTTTTTTTTCTATTGGTAAATTTACTAGTGATATACTTGCTTGAACATTTTTTTTTTTAATCAAAGGCACTAGAAATTTCCAGAAAACTAATTATCAGCTGGTTGAATTCTGGATAATGGAAAAACAAAAGGCTGAGAAAATAGAACTTCAAGTTCCATGTTGCAACTCAAGTTCCAATAGACATCAGTGGACTTTGATAAGTGCACCACAGAGAAACAAATAAATAACTGACTAATTGCCTGTATAGATGACTTATCTAGAAAGCAGAAATGGATCTATATCATTTTTCTGTCATTTTTTTTCCTTCTGCATGGAAAGTTCCTAACATTCTTTAGAGTCATGTAAAAACTTTTTTCTCAGGTCTTTATTTTTTATGCGAGTCAGTGAATGTTCTAGAAACTTATTAATAATTTATTTATGCCTTTCTGCCCATGGATGCCACGGAAGAAGCATCATTAAAGTCTCTCTTCTCCTGGCCGTCTTATCTAAGTCAGAGTCTCCTAAAGAGCCAGAACAACTGAGGAAGCTCTTCATTGGAGGGTTGAGCTTTGAAACAACTGATGAGAGCCTGAGGAGCCATTTTGAGCAGTGAGGGACACTCCCGGACAGTGTGGTCATGAGAGATCCAAACCCAAGCACTCCAGGGGCTTTGGATTTTTCACATATGCCACTGTGGAGGAGGTGGATGCAGCCGTGAATGCAAGGCCACACAAGGTGGATGGAAGAGCTGTGGAACCAAACAGAGCTGTCTCAAGAGAAGATTCTCAAATACCAGGTGCCCACTTAACTGTGAAAAAGATATATGCTGGTGGCATTAAAGAAGACACTGAAGAAATCACCTAAGAAATTATTTTGAGTAGTATGGAAAAATTGAAGTGATTGAAAACATGACTGACCGAGGCAGTTGCAAGAAAAGGGGATTTGCCTTTGTAACCTTTGATGACCATGACTCCGTGGATAAGACTGTCATTCAGAAATACCACAGTGTGAATGGCCACAACTGTGAAGTTAGGAAAGCCTGTCAAAGCAAGAGATGGCTAGTGCTCCATCCAGCCGAAGAGGTCGAAGTGGTTCTGGAAACTTAGGTGGTGGTCATGGAGGTGGTTTCGGTGGGAATGACAACTTTGATCATGGAGGAAACTTCAGTGGTTGTGGTGGCTTTGGTGGCAGCTGTGGTGGTGGTGGATATGGTGGCAGTGAGGATGGCTATAATGGATTTGGTAATGATGGGAGCAATTTTGGAGGTGGTGGAAGCTACAATGATTTTGGCAATTACAACAATCAGTCTTCAAATTTTGGACCCATGAAGGGAGGAAACTTTGGAGGCAGAAGCTGTGGCCTCTATGGTGGTGGAGGCCAATACTTTGCCAAACCATGAAACCAAAGTGGCTATTGTGGTTCCAGTAGCAGCAGTAGCTATGGCAGTCGCAGAAGATTTTAATTAGGAAACAAAGCTTAGCAGGAGAGGAGAGCCAGAGAAGTGACAGGGAAGCTACAGGTTATAACAGATTTGTGAACTCAGCCAAGCACAGTGGTGGCAGGGCCTAGCTGGTACAAAGAAGACATGTTTTAGACAAATACTCATGTGTATGGGCAAAAAACTCGAGGACTGTATTTGTGACTAATTGTATAACAGGTTATTTTAGTTTCTGTTCTGTGGAAAGTGTAAAGCATTCCGACAAAGGGTTTTAATGTAGATTTTTTTTTGCACCCATGCTGTTTATTGCTAAATGTAATAGTCTGATCGTGACACTGAAAAAAATATATATTTGTGTTCTGAGTAATGGAAAAATAAGGGACCAAGGAAATTGGAACATTATCATATCACAATGTGGATGCATACATTTTGGCTTAAGATATGTTAGACACTGCTGGAGATAATTGAGTTTCACTCATGAAGGGAAATGGTCAAACTTACAAGAGGATCCTGTAGCTGAAAAACAAAGATAAATCAACGTGTACAGCCTGCTGAAAGAGGAGCTAGTTTTCGTACTACTTTCCTGAAAGGAAATATCAGAAATGGCAATGGAAGAATCATCCTTCTTAGGGCAGGGGCATAGAGCGCTGTGCTGGGGAATATACCTGCCATCATGCCTTGTGGGGATTCTGCCTTCTGCTTAGTATAGGAGGCTGCAGGAAAGGGAGATGATTGATCTCTTCCCTTTTTGCAGTGAGTGGTTACTGCTGGAAATCCTGCAGGGGATTGGTAATTTCTTTAAACTGTGCTGCCTTTACCTTTCTTCTCCCTATTTCTGCCATCCTGTGAAAGCTTTCATTTATTCATACAAATATCCTTCCCTTCCCTTGTTGACAAGTCACTATAAACTTTGGGTAGTTTCCGAACTTTATCTCTCTATTTTGGGTTTGGTATTCTCCTTTATTCATTCCTTATAGGAGTGGAGCAGCAGCTAAATAGAGGAATAAGCAAAAGAAATGAAGAAATGTGAGTTTCTACACACACAAGACAGAAATGAGCAGAGAGGAAAAGTATGCCAGGCCCTATAGGAAGCCAAAGGCAGCTATCATACAATAGACATGGAACTTAACCAGTCATTTCTGAAGTTTCATCTGGTGGTAAAAAACGGAAGGAACACAAAATGGAGAAATCAACATGTGTAGAACCAAGTGAATTCAGTTCTCCCTTGATAGGCTTAAAGAGGGTAACTGCAGAGAGGATATGGGGGGCCCTAAAATCTGACAGCTCAGTGCATGTCCGGCCTTACGTGCCTTACTTTGTGCTTTGTAGCCTCAGACCTGTTTCTGCTGGTCTGAGGCAGGAGATTGGCTATAAAGTGGTAAAGTGAGGCTTTGTTCTTCCTTCTCATTTCATTTAGGGACAGTAGATGCTTGAAACACTTCTAGAGGTTCATAATGTCTTAAACTTATATGTACTTTTGTCAGTCTCATTTTCTTTTTCTTTTTTTTTTTTCTTTTTGAGACAGAGTCTTGCTCTGTTGCCCAGGCTGGAGTGCAGTGGCATGACCTCAGCTCACTGCAACCTCTGCCTCCCAGGTTCAAGCGATTACAGGTACCTGCCACGAAGTCTGGCTCATTTTTGTAGGTTTTTTTTTTTGAGACGGAGTCTTGCTCTGTCACCCAGGCTGGAGTGCGGTGGCGTGATCTCGGCTTACTGCAAGCCCTGGCTCCTGGGTTCATGCCATTCTCCTGCCTCAGCCTCCCAAGTACCTGGAACTACAGGCACCCGCCACCATGCCCGACTTATTATTATTTTTTTTTTTTTGTATTTTTAGTAGAGACAGGGTTTCACTGTGTTAGCCAGGATGGTCTCCATCTCCTGACTTCGTGATCTGCCCACCTTGGCCTCCCAAAGTGCTGGATTACAGGCGTGAGCCACCAGTGTGCCAGGCCTAATTTTTGTATTTTTAATAGAGGCGCGGTTTCATCATGTTGGCCAGGCTGGTCTTGAACTACTGACCTTAAGTGATCTGGCCCACGGGGCCTCCCAGAGTGCTGGGATTATAGGCGTGAGCCACTGCGCCCGGCCTCATTTTTTTTTGTGTGTGTTTTTGAGACAGAGTCTCGCTCTGTCGCCCAGGCTGAAGGGCAGTGACACGATCTCGGCTCACTGCAACCTCCACCTCCCGGGTTCAAGCGATTCTCCTGCCTCTGCCTCCTGAGTAGCTGAGATTACAGGCGTGCACCACCACGCCCAGCTAACTTTTGTATTTTTTTTTTTTAGACAGAGTCTCACTCTGTCACCCAGGCTGGAGTGCAGTGGTGAGATCTCGGCTCACTGCAATCTCCACCTCCCAAGTTCAAGTGATTCTCCTGCCTCAGCCTCCCAAGTAGCTGGGACTACAGGCATGCGCTACCATGCCTGGCCAATTTTTTGTATTTTTAGTAGAGACGAAGTTTCACCATGTTGGCCAGGCTGGTCTTGAACTTCTGACCTCAAGTGATCCACCCACCTTGGCCTCCCAAAGTGCTAGGATTACAGGCATGAGCCACCTTGCCTGGCCAAATTTTTGTATTTTTAGTAGAGACGGGGTTTCACCATGTTTGTCAGGCTGGTCTCGAACTGCTGACCTCGTGATCCACCTGCCTCGGGCTCCCAAAGTGCTGAGATTACAGGCATGAGCCACCATGCCTGGCCCTGGCCTCATTTTCTTTAGTCACTCTTGTTCACTAACCTTTTAATTAATTAATTATATTTAAGAGGTACAAGTACAGATTTCTTATGTCATATATGGCATAGTGGTGAAGTCTGGGCTTTTAGTGTACCCATTACCCAAATAGTGAATATTCCACCCAATAATTTTTATTGACTTGAAAAGCTTTCTTCCTACTCTTCTTTACTAGGGCTGTTGCGAGCCACTAATTTTTGTTAAAGTCATTTAAATTTTAATCAGTTCATTTTGCACTTTCTCCAAATCGCTTATAACTTAGGGGAAAGCTAGAAAGGAATAAAATAGCAATATATTTTTCATTTATACACTATCATATTTTTAAATTGTTTACACATAAGGGAGAGGGAGTCAAGCAGGGGAGAAAAGGGAAAGGGAATTCATGTATCCATGTAGATTCTCTGGCACATGGTGGCTATTAGGGAACTGTGGACCAGATGTGACCCTTCCTTTAGCCCCAGTGAGATCCTCTGAGGTGAGCTGGCTTATGTTTATCCTCCCTGTAATAATTATGAGAACTTCCAAGGCTATAAGTCTTGGCAATCTGTGAGTACTGAGAAAAGCAGTCTTGATTCAGGGGAATAGTCAATAACAAATGGCTCTTATTCATTCACAAAAAGGATAGTTAGAACCAGAATTCAGGGCAGTAAATATCCAGTTTTAATGGTCGTAGTGTGGTTGTGTGGGATGCTGCCTGCCCTCTACACATTTTGGGTTTGTTTTCCCAAGTTATCTTATAGGACTGTAAACTCCATGGCGTCAGTGACCAACCATATCTTTCTCTCCCTTATTCATGACTTTATCCTCAGTGCTCAGCTTAGTATCAGATACATGGTAGGAGCTCAGCTAGATGAAGGAATGTTTGTTTGAATATATGTGACTTGCCCTCTGATAATTCTTCCTGCTTGACTTAAACTTTCTAATGCTATCCCTTAATTTCTAGATTCAGAATTTCCCGTGTCCTGGGGTTGGTTCGATGCCCTAGATTTTAACACCAGTTTCTCCCTAGCTCGTCACAATATGAACTTTCACTTTATTCTCTTCCATATGTGATGCTTCTGCCAGTTCCTGTAAATTACAGCCCAATTACTGTTATATCCTGTTCCATGAGGTGCTCTGTCCTATCTTTCTTTTCCTCTCTCTTTGTCGTGCGTGTGTGTGCGCGCGCGCACGTGTGTTGGGGATGTTTGGAGATAGTGAGCCGGATAGGACATGAGGAAAGAGAAAGGCCTTTGGAGAGAAGACTGGAGAACTCAGGTTAGACTAGACCCTGCATAGTATTTCCTGTTAAATTTTGTTGTCTTTTCTCCCTTTTGTATTTATTCTTAAAATTTGATTTTCTTTTCTCATTTCCTCCTCATTGTCTCCTCCATTATCTTTGAGTAGGCCCTTTAGAAACTACAAAGCACTTCAGAACTGGAAAGCTGCCCTTATTATTCTCTCTCTGCTACTTTAGAAAATTCTTGTATATTGTTATAGAAGACATTATGACTATTTCTGGGGACATTTTCTTACTCTTTTTCTTTTAAAAAAAATAGCCCTGGAGAATTCTCAGTAGGTTGAAATCAGGAAGCATAAAAACATGTGTAAAATAACTGCTCTTATGGCAGTGAGACACATCTAGGGCATTTGAGACAGGGAACAGGCCCTCTAGACACTGTAGAAGATCAAGGAACCTGGAGGGAGAAGGATAGATAAGGTACTTACCATTGGATCCAGGATATTGTACTAAAAAATAGAAACAAACAAATTAAACACACACACACACACACACACACACACACACACACACTTCTATTTTTTGAGACAGAGTCTCTCACTCTTTCGCCCAGGCTGGAGTGTGGTAGGGTGATCTTGGCTCACTGCAACCTCCACCTTCTGGGTTCAAGGGATTCTCGTGCCTCAGCCTCCTGAGTAGCAGGGATTACAGGTGCCCGCCACCATGCCTGGCTATTTTTTGTATTTTTAGTAGAGATGGGGTTTCACCATGTTGGCCAGGCTGGTCTCGAACTCCTGACCTCAGGTGATCCTTGGCCTCCCAAAGTGCTGGGATTACAGGTGTGAACCACTGCGCCTGGCCCCAAAACACCTCTATTAGTGATATTTTCCAAAGGCAAGCAGTGAAAATGATTTTCTCAGGAATTACTAAATCTAAGTATTCAGGATTAAATATTTTTCACTGCACTGCTGCTGTACTCTAGCCTCTCCATAAGAACCAGATCTTCTTTTAGGAGATTATTAACCCTGTTTTAGCATAACCACTTCATTCTTGCTTTTCATTATAGGTGTTGGAGATGAGATCCTTAATTGTATTCCTTTCCATATTCCCCCAGTGTTTTTCCTCAGATCACTCTGTTTCACTCTCAGCTATCTTTATGTTCTTGTTCATTTCTTATATTCTTTTCCAGATTCGATTACACCTTTGCCTTAGGAAGTTATTCTAATGATTACTGACAAGCCACTATAATCATTATTAGAACAATGCCTATCTATTATGAATTTTAAGGTAATGGAATTTCCATTTTCTAAAATATAATTGGTTGCCCAGAGAGATGGTTAGTGTTAATCCAAACTGCACCATTTTGTAAGCCTCCAGCAATTTGAAGACCTTGGTAAAAGTGAAACATTCCACGGGGGTTCGGGCTGTGAGAAACATTCTGCCTAACCACCTGAACACAAGGTGGACAAAGGGCCAACTAAAGAAACATCCCTGTCATATTCAGCTGGGAGAAAGTGCAAGGAACACTACATTCTGCAGGAACAAGGGCCAGAACCCCCTCATCATGGGAACATCTTATCAATATCCTGCCGGCCAGCAAGCCATACTACCCAGACCCCTCCCGCCTATACCTATAAGTACCCCCGCCTGTAAGCAGCAGTGGGCACTGGCATTAGGCTGGTTCCCCACTTCTGTAGGTCTTATGCTGGACATAAAGCCTACATTTGCTGTACAGCCGCCACTCTCTCTGTGTCTTTTCTTTAACCCTCGCCTTCCCTCCAAAACCTAACAGTTACGATATGGGGAAATGAAAGTCTAAGAAATATGATTTTCAGCTTCTTTAACCCAGATACTTAAACAGTTGGAGCCAGTCTCCTTCAGACATAGTAAGAAGCCAGTAGAGATAAGTTGATATATACAGGCAGCTTACCAATAGGTCCTAGAGTTTGCACTAAAAAGAAATTCAAATTGGCATATTAGTACAGTTATTTGGAGAGTGTATTTTTCACTAATTTTATCCTAGAAGTGAGGCTTTGAGAGGTAGAGCAGGGGAGAGGAAGTGATATCAGTTATGAGATCATTAGGGAGACTTAATCCAACTATATTAACTATAGAAAAAAGGAAAAAGGATATTTAGCATTTACTGCAATATTTCAGCCCAAGGTGAAGGTTTTTATAGGATCCTTGCCAACCTAAGGGATACTAGGGAAAGGCAAAACTTTGTTATTAGGTATTAACATTACTGATGGTAGGGAAAGGTGAAACACTTCCCGTCAGTAAGAGTAGAAGATATTTCTTTCTCAAGGGACTGTTCTTTCACTAAAATCTTTATTTCTGATCAACTAATATGTTCCAGAGGTAGACATTAGAATAGGAGGTAAGAATCTAGTTTCTTCTTCTCACAGCTTCCAGCTTATTGGAGAGTGATAGAGCAGTGACTGCTGCTTTGATTAGCTTTAGAGTCTGTGAGCAAAGAGTCAACAAAACCTTCTGTTTTTTTTTGTTTTGTTTTGTTTTGTTTTTTGAGATAAGGTCTCACTCTGTCACCCAGGCTGGAATGCAGTGGTGCAATCCTAGCTCACTACAGTCTCGACCTCCTGGGCTCAAGTGATCCTCCCACCTCAGCCTCTTGAGTAGCTAGGACTACAGCTGCATGCCACTATTCCTGGCTAATTAAAAAAATTTTTGTAGAGATGGGGTCTTGCTCTGTTGTTGCTCAGGCTGATCTTGAACTCCTGGTCTCAAGTGATCCTCCTGTCTTAGCCTCCCAAAGTGCAGAAATTACAGGTGTGAGCCCATGCCTGGCCAAAACCTTCAGTTTTTAATGAGAATTTGGCCTTCAGTTGATTTTCTAGCTCTGATCGCCTGGTGACCTGATAAATATCGAAAGCCTGTTATGTTTTTTTTGTTGTTGTTTTTTTTTTAGACGGAGTCTTACTCTGTCGCCCAGGCTGGAATGCAGTGGCATGATCTCGGCTCACTGCAACCTCTGCCTCCTGGGTTCAAGCGATTCTCCTGCCTTAGCCTCCTGAGTAGCTGGGACTGCAGGCGCACGACACCACACCCAGCTAATTTTTGTATTTTTTTAAGTAGAGATGGGGTTTCACCATATTGGCCAGGCTGGTCTCAAACTTCTGACCTTGTGATCCCCTGGTCTTAGCCTCCCAAAGTGCTGGGATTACTGCACCCAGCCGAAAGCCTGTTATGTTATTTAGCAACACTGCTTACATAAGAATGATCCTTGATGTTAGACTGCATCTGAACTGGGAGAATTGTAAATATGTATTAAGAAGCCATAACTTTGGGCTTCCCTGAGTGTAGTGACCCATGTATTTGGTCATATTCCTTACGGGATCCCTGCAGGTAATGTGTATGGGGTTCTTATAGGAGATTTTAGTTCCTGGTGGATCTGTGGGGTTTCTAAGCTAGGTCAGCTCCCAACTCAACTGACAGAAGGCCAAACAGAATAGGTCCTAGGTGGCTATGTGGACACCTGCATAGATCATGGCGAGTACTACTCCCACAGCAGAGGGATAGCTGTTAATGCCCTTGCTGGCAAACTGTGCTTCCTCCCTTAGGTCCTACTGAGTAGACTGTTCCCAGATGAGAGCTATGGTAATCTTCTAAGTCTGCGTGGTTAGTTGAATCTAAAAAGACCATATCTTCACCCAGTGGGCATTGCAGTTAATAATCCTTCACTTCAGTGTCACTCAGAATGAGAAATATCCACATTTTGATCAATAATCCTCGAACTTTTAACTCTGAATTTTTTTTTTCCTGTGTAAAACACCTGGAAGATGGCTTTCCAGATCTGGATACCCTTGGCTATGAGCAGTAAACCAGTTACACATTTAGATATTATGCTAACTTAATAGTTGCTTTGCCTGTATCTACAAATATGTATCTTTGATTCTGAAGTAGAAGTCTTATGATACCTGCCCTCTTGACATAAGTTACTAAATCCTTGGATAGGTGATCACTTCAAAATTTTGTTTCTTCAGTTTTTCTATATTTTCTTCCTTCCTTTCCAGTTTCAATTTGTGACTTTTTGTACCTTTATTTTTATTCTCTTTCTCAACATACTCATTTCCCTTCTTTATTCTCTTATGTGCCAATTCACTTACTCTTTCTGCTTCCAATTTTCTTCCTACTTTTGTTCTTTTTAAATTTTCTCCTATTTATCTCTCTCTAAACTGCATCTTCATTCTGTATCTGTTATTATTTGTTACTCATTCTCTCACTTTTTCTCCTCTAGGCCTTTACTACCCTTTAATCTCAATATTAGAACTTCATTTTATTCATTGTTAATAACCTGTTATAACACCCAAAAATGATAGTGGAAAGAATGAAGAGTTAGTAAAACTTCAGTCTTAATTTTATTAACTAACCCATCCTCTTATTTTTTTGAGAAATGACTCCTGACCCTCAGTTTCCTCATCTCTAAATATGGGGATAATAACTGCCTTACTCATTGCCATTTGAATGTTGTTTAGATGCAATAAAGTAATGTACGCGAGGGTTAAAAAAACAGTAGTAAGACATTATAGGGATCACTCAAAGAATGTGACTAGGTTGCTAAAAGTTGCTGAAAATAGAGCCTAACTCTTCTGGAGAGAACTTTTCAGGGCAATTAGAAAGGAAAGGAAGGCCAGGCGCAGTGGCTCACGCCTGTAATCCCAACACTTTGGGAGGCTGAGGCGGGCGGATCACGAGGTCAGGAGATCGAGACCATTCTGGCTAACAGAGTGAAACCCCATCTCTACTAAAAATACAAAAAAATTAGCCGGGCATGGTGGTGGGTGCCTGTAGTCCCAGCTACTCGGTAGGCTAAGACAGGAGAACGGCTTGAACCCACGAGGTGGAGCTTGCAGTGAGTGGAGATCATGCCACTGCACTCCAGCCCGGATGACAGAGCGAGACTCCATCTCAAAAAAAATAAAGAAAGGAAACTTAAAATTTGCATTATTTTACAAAGTGAAGATAATCTAATAATGGAAAAATTATTTGCATGGAAAGCACAGCAGGAAGTTTAGGTGCTGGGTTCTAAGTCTTTATTAAGTATTGGCTCTACAGAGCTAGATTATATGCTGAAGTGGAAACAGCTTAGGACCATCTCTAGCAGGATATTTTTCACTTTGCATTTCAGCTTCATAGTTAATATATTTTTATTGCAGAACCTGGATGAGTCCAATCTGGAGTACTGGGTGAGATTATGAGGTGGCAGAAGGACTTGATCCTTGAGTCCTTGGGCATGAATAATTGAAATAAAAATAGATTGATGTTCTAAGTAAAGTACTAAAAGGCATTATAATTGAGAATCAGATGACTTACCAATGGTTTTTTGAGAGAGCTCTAAAAAAAAAAGAGAAAAGAAATCAGTAGCTATATATATATTTTATATATACTTTTTATTTATATACTTTAATTTGTATACTTTCCCTAGTAGGAATCTGCATCACTATTGTCAAGTTCAGCTGCAGTTGAGTAGTAGAAATGGTGACTTTCTTGCTATGGCAAACTAGTACATATAAGGGCCTCCTCATCTAAAAATCCCTTGTGTGATGCTGAGAAGCCATTGGAAATCTGCAAGGGTTCATTCTCCACTTTGTAGTTTGTTTTTATTGGTGAGGTGTACATTCACACAGCTAATCATGACTTACTGAAATGCTAGGTTGAAGAAAAATAAGGGTTGAAGAAAATGTGAACTCCAAACCCTTGAAATCCCAACATGGAAACCAGGTAGCGATCCCTAAGATACTGCAGGAAAGTAAAATGCTCACTGTGGAGAATCAGAGAGCAAACTTACTGAAAGGTCCTGTAGCTCCGGCTGTGAGAGAGAAAGAGGGAGAAAGAAAAAGATATCAGTATGCTTCACCACTGTGAAGGAAATTTCCATTTCCCAACACTCGCTCTAGGGAGTATCATAAATAGAAACAACGGGAAGATCAAGAGTTGCTTGTATGGCGAGCCTCAGGCAGGCTCCCTGCACAATATAAGGGACCTACAGGAATGGAGGCCTCCTCCTGCTTTCAGTGATGGTTGAAAATCTTCAGAGGGTTGGGAAAGACTCACTCCATATTAATCTGTTATGCCTCTATTTTTCTTCTTACATTTTCTTGCCCCTTGCCCCTAGTTTCCTTAGAGACATGGTTTATTTGAAAGGTGTACCTTCCCTTGCTGATGGATCATTATGACTATTTCTAAGAGGGCTGTTTTGGTTTATATTTTTAAATGTTAGCCTGTGAGATTTCTTAACACTTCGTGCATGGCCTCTTTGGAAACTATGTAATAGGAATGCCAGGGGAGTTGAGAAAGACAGTGTTAAAAAAGCAAGTCACCCCTAAACCTCAGCATCACACAATATACCCATTAGCAAACCTGCATATGCACCACCGGAATCTAAAATAAAAGTTGAAATTATTTTTAAAAATGCAGGGCAGATCAGGCCCCAAGACCTTGTAGGTCAGATATCAAAGGGACCAGAGTGGAAAAACAAACTTGATACTTACGAATAGGGGCTGTGAATTGCACTGAAATACAAAAAGGAGGAAAGTGTGGTTTGACATTAATAGAATTTTCATTTTACCAGTATTGTTTCTAAAGAAACTATGAAGCAATTCAACCAGAGGAGAACAACTACTGTGGGACTGCAGATGATCTTAGCCTGGAAGCTGCATAACCCTCCTACCAGATCAAATCATTCAGCATCCATCTTAAATGAGAAATTTAAGTAACTAAAAATAATAAATATAAATAATTAAAATAAACTACAGTTTTAAACATGAATTATTTGGCTTTCCCTTGTCCTAAACTCAGTAGCAATTCAGGATATTGTGTCTGATTGCTTGGGCATCAGAAGGTGTCAGAAGATTTGAATACAATTAAGAAGTATGAGTGAGAAATCCTGCAGGGGTAGAAATGGTAACAGTTAGGATGTGGAGAGGACCCTATATCCTACAGAAGGCCAAAGAACATTAGAGGAAACAGAAAAGGAACTCACTTATAGGTCTAATAGTTCCAGTTAAAATATGGAAAAAACAAAATAGAACTAATGAGAAAATACTGTTTGCATTTAAATTCTTCCTGGGAAAACATCACAAATGTAGACACCAGGAGCAAAATTTCCACTTCAGTGGAGGAACAAATTAAGTTTATAAATGCTTCTTTCTTCATCTTGGAGGATCCCGGTTACTGGTGGAATCTGCCAGCTGGAACTGTGGAGACGCACATTTGGTCAGGCAGCGTTCCTTCCCCTTTCCCCACGGGTGTCCTGCTTGTATCTCAGGAGATTACACAGGCCATTGCCTGTCTTCCAGCTGGCTAATTTGAACTTGCTTAGCTAGAATCTATAGCCTCATCTGAAGGAGACAGTGGGAATTGCTGTCTCTGTAGTGATTTTGGCCCTTATTCAACAGAGTAACTTGGCCTGCCATGTAAAAGGGAATAGAAACTGCTAGGTTGACTTAAGACATTTATAGGTATGAGTGTTGGGCAAAGGAATTGAGACACTAGACCCACATACTTGTTAATAATGCAGTAACAGTCTTCTTCTTTATGACCACACACACACATACACATACACACACACACACCCCACCACACCTCTCTACACCTCATAGGCTATAAGTGATTCTCTCACCTTGGCCTCCCAAAGTGCTGGGGTTACATGTATGAGCCACTGTGCTTGGCCTAATATGTGCTTTTATGATACCTACCCAGTATTTGCTCTCAAAGTTTGACTTGATTATTTTAATAATGTTCCATTTGTGTAAATAATCCAAGAGGAGTAGACACAGGATGTGATATACCATGAGCTTTAATTATCAAATCACTTTTTTTCTCCTTCCTTCAGAGTTAGTCCTGTCTCAGGGGCTCAAGCTCTGAACATCCTCAAAAATGAAGGATAGAAATGTGTTAAGAAGTGAATGAAACCCTGATGAGTTTCATCTTTCTTGTCTTTGGCTTTAAGGTCACTCTTGGTGTGGGGAATCTGCAGGGCTGGAAAAGCTGGTTAAATTTGGACCAAGTGCATTCATCTTTTTATTTCCTCTCTCAGGGCAGAGAATTAAAATCCTGTAGAGCAATGGTTCTTAAACTTTGGTATGCACGCAAATCACCTGGGAATCTTATTAAAATGCAGAGTCTGATTTAGTAGGTCGGGGTGGGCAATAGGCTGAGACTCTGCATATCTAAAACTCCAGGGTGACGTTGATGCAGGCCCTTGGACCCACTTTAAGCATCAAGGCCATAAAGGGCTGGCAAAATCTCAGATCATATAAAAGTCATTGTTTCCATTTACCATTTTTTTTCCTTTTTAAATCAACTTCCTCTCACTTATTCCTTATTCTCTATTCCCAACCAGTGCTTCTTCCAGAGATATATGCTACAGTTTCATTTAAAATTCTATCTGGATACTTATTTCAGATTTATTCTTTGTTCATAACAGGGGATATACATCCCACACAAACATCAGTGACAGTCTGGGATCCTCGGTCAGTGAGCTGGGACTCACTGCATGTCACTGAAATTTTCTTGGTGGGTCTTAAGTAGAATGGCCACCATCAAGCCTCTTTCTTTGAGTGTTACTGGGTTTTCTCACAGGGGAATCTTTCTTCCTTTCACTTGACCATTTTTTGTTCTTCACTCTTTTCCCTTTGCTGTTGAATCTCAAGATTTCGGAAAAGTTAAAGGCAATAGTACTTTCTTACAGAGGCACCCCAGTTTATTAAGATAAGAATAGGGAATAAACAAGGGGAAAGGAATGGACAATTTGTGAAAGAAATAAAAAAATCTAGGAATATGAGTGTCTTACATATTCTAACAGTTTAGTAAAGCAAAGCACATGAGAATTAAAGGGCAGAAAAAGAACTTACTCATGGCTCCTGCAGTTCTGGCTAAAATACAAACAAAAAAGGTGAGTTTGAAGAGAGCATGACTCAAGGGTGTTTATCTCAGGGAGTTTCAGATCAAGCATTTACTACATATTTGATTTACATGGAAAGGCAGCAAGAAGGTAAGTAGGCATTTTCCTTTTTTCCTTAGGAGACTGTTAAAATCATACTCCCTGCAGTTATTTTTCTTATTCTTAATTTTCATTATCTTCCTGCTGTCAAATCCTTCTAAAGGTTATAGATAATTTTCCCTGGCCCCAGAATCTTTTTCACAATTTCATTAATTAATCTAGTTTTTATTATAAGAATTTCCACTTTGTTAAATGAAAAAATTAATCAGTCACTTAGAGGATCTTGAAATCAGTCTCAAATTCCTCACACTGGTAAAAGAGAGAACAGTAAAATTGCAAGTTTTTCTCCTTTCCTCCATCTTTATGTGCTTTCTCACCACCTTCCCCATTCCTCTGGTAGCAGGCACATTATAGAATATCAAAATCATTACACATGGTATGCATGTATCAAAATATCACATGTATCCCATAAATTTGTACAATTATTAGGTGTCAGTAAAAAAAGGACTGAGTTGTATATATGGGAAACTTACAAGGAGGTTCTTCAGTTGTTTGTAAACATTTTATACTACCTATAATAAAAATTGAAAAGTGTAACATTACTTAGATTTAGACTTTCAGAAGGCATGGAGATAGACAATCCCATTCCCTCCTCCCCCTCCTCAGGTGTGGTACAAACAGTCTTGAGATTAAAGAGCTGAGTCCGACTTTTGCTATTCTCTAGCTCTGTGATTTTGGGCAAGTCACTAAATGTTTTGAACATTAATTTCCTCATCTCTAAAACAGAAGTTGTGTCCTCTGTCTTACCTATATTGTGAAGTTGCAGTGAAAAATCAGGAGTAATAACAGAAGGGAAAGATGAAAAGTTGTATTAGAAATGTTATGGAAAGAAATATTCAGTAACTATAAATGAATGAAACACTTCGGCAAAGTAGTAAGCTACTTTATATTTTACTTTTTTCTGCTTTAATTTTTCCTCTTATTTCTGACTGTCCTTTGGAAAGTTCTGAGTCCTGACAGCAGAGTATTATAATGTGCACTTAATTCTGTTTTTATTTTTGATTTATTAATTTCTGTTATTTTAATCTTTAAAACAACCCTATCTTCTTGTGTACCTTAGTACCTTAATTATGTCATTTTAATCTCTGTTGCTTCTGTCTTGAGAAATAACCAATCATATTTTAAGATGTTGAAAATTTTGCAATTTTTTTTCTTAAAATAATTGAATAATTTGTTTCCTTCTTTGTGTATAATTATTTTTCGCTTATTTGTTACTTTGCTGTTTTGGGGAGGGAAATAGTAGCTTTCCCCAGAAATGACAGGATCTACCCTCAGCATTTGGGAAGAGATGTCTGTTTTTCTATGTGGTATTTTAGGCCGTCAATCACTGAACTGTCAGTTTCTTGAGAAGGTGAAGCCACTCCTACCACCAAATAAAGATAATTTTAAAAGGACAGTTTTCATATACTTAATTTTTTAAGATTTAAGATATTAACCTATGTTAGGAGTGACAAGTATACTTGAGTTATGCATATTTAATTTTGATCAATTATTAATGACTATCTGGAGATGACAAGAATTTTAGGATACATGTGAGCTGAGCAGGAAAGAGAATCATGATCAATTACTGATTTCTGCCACAGGCAAAGGCATGAGCAGAAATGTAACACAGGTCATATATATTCCATTCCTGACCTAAAGTAATATGGAATAATGAGGAGAAAGGAATTTTTCTTTCTTTTTTTTTTTGAGACAATCTCTCTCTGTCACCCAGACTGGAGTGCAGTGGCACAGTCTCGGCTCACTGCAACCTTCACCTCCTGGGTTGAAGTCATTCTTGTGCCTCAGCCTCCTGAGTAGCTGGGATTACAGGCATGTGCCACCACGCCCAGCTAATTTTTGTATTTTTAGTAGAGATGGGGTTTCGCCATGTTGGCCAGGCTGGTCTCAAACTCCTGGCCTTGAGTGATCCCCTCACCTCGGCCTCCCAAAGTGCTGGGATTACAGGTGTGAGCCTCCATACTGGGCCAAGAAAGGAAATTCTTGAACTGAGTATTTTGTGGCGTTTCCCAGCTGAAGACAAATAAGCAGGGCAGTGGAAGGTATTTACTTGTTGCCTTACAGAGTAAAGAAGAAGATAAAAAAAACTTACGATGTACATATCCTGCCAAAATACTGAATATTGTGTGTTTTGGATTAAGGACATTGTCTCTGTGGATATTCTTCCTAATGGGAGCATCAGAGTTAGTTCTTTTAGAGAGTACCACATTTTCCATACCAGACAGAATTCCTGATTATCTCTGTGGGGATCGATCACAAACTCAGTTGCATTAAGGGGCCCAGCAGGTCTCATGATTGTGAATCTGCTAGTTATAAGGGATAGAGATGGTGAAAAGTCCATGCCCTACCCAGAGGCATTCAAATTCAAAATTTAAAATAATACCATCCTGACCAAACAAAACACATCTATAGGTGGCACCGGGCTAGTGGTGGCTAATTTGGGAGCTCTGTTTTCAGATGAGAAGAGATTTAAGTGAGCACCATCTATACTTCAACAACAGTGCACTTTGAAATCAGTATCATATGGTTGTGGCCTGAGTTGGGATAGGGCAAGTGAATCCCTTCCTTTTCGTTACTTTAAGGATAGGTATTGGTTGGATCACATTTAATTAAAACCTGTGAGTAATAAACTTGTTCAGATTGTGAAGCATCTGGAAGTTTTGATACCTTTTAGAAAAAATAATGAAATATGATATATTTAATTCCATCTTTGAACAAGAAACAACTTTGCTAGTAGGAAATGTGACCCTAATATGCAACCACAAATGTAATAGTCAGTATGAAAACTTTTGTAGGAAAAGCACATAGATCAGAAAAAAAACCCTGTCCAGTCAGGATTATCTGTTTTGGATTTTTTGCCGATTTCCTCACTTCCCTCCTCCTCATTCCTGTCACAGTCTTCCCTTCATTTAGAAAATGTGTTCTTTTTTTTTTTTTTTGACAATCAATTGAAATCAGTTCCAGAAGGTTTATTTAAACTTTACCTCTTTGGTTTTCCTCCCTTCTCTATTCATTTTTTCCAGCTTCCCTCACTTCTCTGTTCTTTTTTTTTTTTTGAGATGGAGTCTCACTCTGTCACCCAGGTTGGATGGCAGTGTTGCGATCCTGGCTCACTGCAACCTCCTCTCCCAGGTTCAAGCAATTCTCCTGCCTCAGCCTCCCGAGTAGCTGGAATTACAGGAGCATACCACCACGCCCAGCTAATTTTGTATTTTGGGTAGAGACGGGGTTTCAGCAGGCTGGTCTCGAACTCCTGACCTCAGGTGATCCACCTGCCTCAGCCTCCTAAAATGTCATGATTACGGGCGTGAGCCATGGTGCCCAGCCTCTTCTCTGTTCTTTTATTTGATTAATTTTCAACTGGTTGTTGAAATTAGTTATGTAACGGACTTGAAATTTTAATGAGAGATTAAATAACTTGCCTATGTTCAAATAAATAGTAAGTAGGGAGCTGGGATACAACTCCAGTTAGCCTGGCTCTAGAGTCTGCATGCTTAACTGCTAGGCAATAGTCCTCTGTAAATTGAAAATAATTAACAAGCAAATTTATTTTAAAAGTGATTTTTTAGTAGGTCTTATTATATTATTCTCAATTCATGGAGAAATAGTGTATAGTTCAGATACGAAGTGAGCAATAACTTTTTCCTAAGCCTACAGTCAGAGTGTACAGCATAATTTCCTCCCTTGAAGGTAGGCTGTGATTAGAGAGGGACATAGTCAAGGGAGGATCTGTTTAAGATGGAAGAAAATCAAACCTGTTCTATACCTTAAGGAGAAGCAGTTAAAGGAAGGAAAATATTTAAAGATGTAGAAGAGAGAAGAAATGACTTCTGAAGAAATAAGGGGGTGAGAGGATGTGGTCAAAGGCAAGAATAAAATAATTTGCTTAAGCAAGGTGGGAGGTCTCCTTGTCTTAGAGAGGGGGAAATGTGAGAAAGGTGGGCATGATCCAGTTAAGACGGCTAATGAAGGACAAGGTGGAGAATTATGAGTCTTAAGCCCTTTCACCCTGACATAGCAGGAAACAGGAAATAGTTAAGACAGGGAGAAGTCCTCTGCCTAGCATAGGAGCCCAACAACACCAGAGTTTGAAACAAGAAGATAAACTTACTCATGGATCCTTGAGGTAAAGCTAAAGAACAATAACAATTATTCAAGTCAGTCTAAAGTTTCAATAATCCATCAATTTCCCAAAAGTCTTCCCAGAAATAGTGTCCTCCCTCAGGTTATTAGACTTTCCATTCCCCTGTAGGTAGGCTCATAAAGTGGCCACACTTGCAAGTGATCCCATGTCTTTTCCCCCTTAGACACTATGCAGGAGTGAAAGTTTCAGGGGAATATTCAGCTTTACTATATTTCCAATATTCTGATTTCATTCACCACCTTTCTCCTGTCTTTTCCGTTTCTCCCTCCCTCTTTCTTTCATCTTTTCAGTTTGGAGAGTCTTCTTTCCCTAATGTGATAGCCTCAAGAACCAAAGAAAGGCAATGTTACAAAGGTTCTAGTTTTATAAGAAAAGAAAACCGAGATTGAGAAAGGGAAGGGCTGTGCCTGAATATGCAAAAAATTAAAGGCAGTTTTAGCTTCCAGTTTGCTTGACTTTAAGTTCAGCACGTTTTCCTTCATATTCTTTACAATTTTCTCTTCTTTCTGAATATTCCTTAAACATTTTTTTCTTTAACGTACTGACCATCTTCCCTCTCCAACATTTTGTTTCTGTTCTTTTTGTTCAGCTCTAAAATGTTTCTCTTGTAAAATAACCTAAATTCTAGGGCAAGACTTGTAGAAGGTTTAATGATATTAACTTTGATAGTAATTTGTACAAGCTACCATAGAATGAACCCTCACTATATTCAGTGGAGAAAGTCTGGGCATTAGTCTTATTTGTCTTACATTGACTGTTAAATGACTATGCAAAGTTTGATAATTCTCACCATCTTTTGGAACTGCATTTATTTAATTTAATTTATTTATTTATTTTATTTTATTATTATTGTACTTTAAGTTTTAGGGTACATGTGCACAATGTGCAGGTTAGTTACATATGTATACATGTGCCATGCTGGTGTGCTGCATCCATTAACTCGTCATTTAGCATTAGGTATATTTCCTAATGCTATCCCTCCCCCCTCCCCCCACCCCCCACCCCACAACAGTCGATCAATGACAGGGTTTAATAATTTTTCTTCTGCTCAACTTTTATGATTCAATGAGGCTAAATTCACAAACTAAAGCCCTGTGTTCTTGGGCCTTTTAGCCTTAGGGTAAGTTTTGGTAGGAGAAGCAAAAAGGCTGACTTTCTAGAAATAGGGCCTGCCTAGAAAGAGGTAAATAAGGAGGACAAGGTCCCTAGACAAACAAGCGTTTATGGTACTGAAACAACCAAGAACTTGCTCAATTCCCTTGTAAATTGTGCTAGATACCCACATCTCTAAGTGCATGTCAATTGCTTAAAAGCATCAGCGTTAATCCCCCTTTGAAAAGAAGATCAGAAAAAAAATCCCTCACACTACCCTCACCAGGGAGCATCAAATCCTCTATGCCAGCTGTAGTGTGATTTTTTCATGGATTGTTTAGGCATCTTATATTTTGGTGGTGTGGCCGAGGCCCAGAATGACATGTAGGACTGATGATGAGCAGAGAAGGTGATTCCCTTTTCCTTTTCTTCTCAGCCTTTGTAAAGACTGAAACTGTTAAGGGAACTTGGAAGACCTTAGGTTTTTTTTGGGGGGCTGGGGTCGGGGGGACAGGGTTTCACTCTGTTGCCCAGGTTGAAGTTCAGTGGTTGCATAGCTCACTATAACCTCTCACTACTGGGCTCAAGTGATCCTCCCAACTCAGCCTCCCATGTAGCTAGGACTACAGGCATGCCACCATGCCCTACTAATTCTTTTAATTGTTCTGTAGAGACAGAGCCTCACTATGTTGTCCAGGCTGGTCTTGAGTTCCTGGCCTCCAGGATCCTCCTACTTCGGCCTCCCAAAGTGCTGGGATTACAGGTGTAAGCCACCATGCTTGGCCCTTAGTCTTTTTTTTTTTTTTTCTTTTTCCTCTACTTGCTTTTAGGAGGTGGAGGACCTTAGTCTTGATTAAACTTTCCTTAGTTTCCCTATGTGCTCCCTTCTTATTATCTGTTTGCTCTCATTTCTCTTTCCTAAATTGAGAAATAGAAAATAAACTGAAATATGGTTCCTGGAATTGGCACTGAGGAATAATAATAAAAATCCACATCAGTCTGAGTTAATTGGTTTATAAAGTATATAATTCTCACCGAAATCATTTTAGAAAGGGGACCCTTGATTAGGTCTCATTAAGTACAATGGGCCATCAACTACTAGAATGCTTGGGTTTGAATTCTGGTTCCTCTACTTACTAGCTGTGTTACTCTGCCTGTTTTTTTTTTTTTTATGCCTAAGTTTATTCATTTTAAAAATAGGATTTATAATATCTACTTTCTAGGATTATTATGAAGAAAAAATGTTTAGGACAGAGCCTGGAGCATAATGCTCAACACATATTATTATATCATCATTTCAGATTGCAGTCCTTATCTGTTTATACATGTATGGGTAATGGACCATAGTCTCCTCTATCTTGGGCACTACGCTAGTTCAAGATTTTCACGGAAATAATAGGATCAAGCCCTTTGAGGTCCTGGTTTGAGAGGCCCTTTCTCGAGTTATCACAGTCCAGTGAATTGCCTATGAGAATTATCTCTCAAGAGGGCCTCATCCATTCTGTAGGACCACACATCATCTTGAGCTTCAGGGATGAATAGCTTCCTGTGGCCCTATGCATCTTTCAGCTAAATACTCTACATAACTAATTACTCATCATCCTTTGAGATTAATCCCAAAATGTGTCATATCCTCATTTAATTTACTCACCATCCAAAGACAATTCCTCATCTTAAGGATGCTTATTATCATAATGCTTTTTATAATTCCTAATCGGGACGTTCCTTCCACCTCTCCTTACTCCCTAAAACACACCATGCTGTCTGAAATTCATATCAGCAAATTTTCCTGTATCTTTAACTTCTCCAAACGTTTTCTTCACCGTCTTGCTTTAATATTCCTGTATCTCAAGCCTGGGTGCGGTGTCTCATGCCTGTAACCCCAGCAATTTGGGAAGCCGGGGAGGGCAAATCACTTGAGGCCAGGAGTTCAAGACCAGCCTGGGCAAGATGGCAAAACCCTGTCTCTACTAAAAATACAAAAATTAGCTGGGTATTGTGGCACACGCCTGTAATCCCAGCTGCTTGGGTGGCTGAGGCACAAGAATCGCTTGAACCCGGGAGGTGGAGTTGCAGCGAGCCGAGGTTGCACCCTGCACTCCAGCCTGGGTAATGGAGTGAGATTCTATCTCAATTTTTTAAAAAAATACTGTATCTCAGATGTTGCTCAAAGCATACAAAATTGCAGTTAGATGGGAGGAATACTTTCAGGAGATCTATTGTATAACATGGTGATCGTAGTTAATAATGTGTTATACTTGACATTTGCTAAGAGAGTAGATTTTAAGTGTTCTTACCACAAAAAGTATGTGAGGAAATGGATATGTTAACAGCTTGATTTAGTCATTCTACAATGTATACATATATCAACACATTATGTTGTATACCATAAATATGTACAATTTTGTCAATTAAAAATTATAACATTTTTAAAAAACCATGTCTCTTACAGCCCTCTTAGATTTTTTTTTTTTGAGACAGGGTCTCACTCTGTCACCCAGGCTGGAGTGCAGTGGCGTAATCACAATTCACTGTAGCCTTGACCTCTTGGGCTCAAGTGATCCTCCCACCTCAGCCTTCCAAGTAGCTGGGACCACAGGTGCACACCACCATGCCGGCTAATTTTTTATTCATTGTAGAGACAGGGTCTCACTCTGTTGTTGAGGCTGTGATGTCTGGTTTTTTGTATGTTTGTTTTAGAAAAAATCCATACCCATATACATGCCTGAATGTAGGTAAATGTCATTTTTGCTCCCCATTGCTGTTTCCGAACAGTCTTCTCCAGTAGAAACTCCTGTTGTCTTTGAAGCACATATGAGACTTTACTCTGTACCTCTCTCCTTCTTGCCATCATAAATAAATATGATGGTCATTCTCTCCCATTTCATTCTCTACCAGAAGCCAGGGTTGCCTTTTTAAAGCATAAATGTGGCTTTATCCCTTCCCTGATGAAAACAATGGCTTATTGTGGTGCTCAGAATTGTTCTCCATATTTTATTCTAAAAGACTTTTTGTGATCTGGCCTCGCCCTACCTTTCAAACTCCTCCACGATCTTTCACAACTGGCCTTCCTGCAATCTCTCATACATGCTACTCTTCTTCCCCTCTCAGGAACTTGGTGTTCTTTCTGCCTGAGATACTCTTCCCTAAGATCCTCCTGTGGCTGCCACCTTTTCGCCATTCAGAGTCAGTTCAGATATCTCCTCAGGGAAATTTCTTCTAATCTCCTAGCTAAAGGCCCTCACTTCTTGGTCTTGCTCTATCATATTATCTTAATTTGTTTTCTCCGTAGAATTTACTATGATAGTCTAGTAATCATAGTAGGAATTATCTAGAAAGGGAAATCATTGTATTTGTTTGCTTATGTGTTTATTTTCTGTCTTACCTCACTAGAATCTATGCTGTCTGTGAAATACTTATGTTGTCTTAGGTATAGCAGCTGCAGTGCTCTAAATGATTTCCCCTTTGGAGGGTTTTTATGGCAAGCCTGTCTCACATGGGTCCTCTGCAGATTTTGCTGAAGAAACTGAAGATTTGAGTTTATTGTTTAGCATGTTTCAACTCCCAAATATTTTACCCTTTCCATAAGTTAGATGAAAACAAAGTAAAACTAGATAAAACATGTTTTAATTATAAAAGTAATAAAATATTGAGCTTGATAGCTTTCTAAGGGCACCTGTTCACAGTTGTATATACAACAAAACAGCCTTATTCATGGGATAAGGTTATGGCACAGTATTGGATTAGCACACTAATTCTGATATTTTATATTA
The DNA here is from genome assembly GCF_000001405.40 of Homo sapiens. Classification (NCBI taxonomy): domain Eukaryota; kingdom Metazoa; phylum Chordata; class Mammalia; order Primates; family Hominidae; genus Homo; species Homo sapiens. Next base: position 3,786,609 of record NT_113891.3, read on the forward strand.
ATTTACATTTTAAGATTTTCAAATTACATTTTAAAAATTGAAGTAATATATTTTCAACATATGCATGATTTTCTAAATTCCTTGGAACAAACATTTTATTTCCAAAGAATACTTTGGATTGGAAGAGTAAATACATTTAATGATGTCCTGGGGGTAGCTGGACAACCTCAGGACTTGGAGTCCAAAGGCCAGTGTTTAGAACCTCAGTTTTACTCTTTTGCTAGCTATATGCCTTGGGTCAAGTTAAATAATATCTTTAAATTTCATTTTTTCCTCATGTGTAATATCTGTAAATAGTCAAGAAAGATGACTTGCTTTAATTACAAACCTCTCCTTGTCCCCTACTTCCATTCCCTGGTCTCTTCACAAGCCTCTCTCTTCTTCCCTCCTATTCCTAAGTTAATGAATTTATTACTGTTTTGCTGAAACTATGATTGCCAGCTAAAACCATTTTAATCCTCTCTTTATTCTTTAATCGGTGGACTTCTCATTCTTCGAAGTTCTCATTAATTTTAGACAAAATGCTCAATGATGGGGAAGGAAAAGCAGGTGAGGGACAAAATCTCAGCAGGGTTAGGGAATGTTCCTTAGTTCTGTGACACACTAAAGAGACTTAGAATTTGGAAATATGAAATTTCCCTCCTTGCTCTCCTAAAAGTAAATATAAACAAAAAATTCATGTGGTTGTCTGGCTCAAAAACTATCCATTTCTTTCTTTTTTTTTTTTTTTTGCAGGGGACAGGGCAGGAATGAGTATCAGAACCAGGAACGCCTGGGAGCACCAAACCCTTAGTGTCAGTTGCAGCTCAGGGGGATAGGGAATTAGCCATCTCTTCCATTGCTGCCAGCCTGACTTGGGGATGCCTCAGGGAAGGCTGCCCTTTCGTGCTAGCCATGTAAAGCTTTAAAATTCTGAGGACACAGCTAATATCATTTATCCCTCATTCTATATTATCTTCATCCTCATTTTTCTTACTAACTTTTTGCTCTTATCCTTTATTTACTCTGTTTTTCCAACACTTCAGGTTTGGAAATTGCTCTCTTCATGTCATCATAATAAACCACTAGAAACTTGCATTTACTTTTGACTGATTATTGAAGTGTCTGGTTATGGAGAACAAAGAAATTGGAGAAATGTGAAGCTTAAGCTTCTGCTGTGCTGCAGCGAAGAAGTCTGGGAAGTTTAGGAAGATATCCTCTTGACTAAATGGGGCTAAATGTCAGCAGAATTGAAGAAAAGTAAAGGAACTTACCAATACTTGATCGAGACAGTGCTAAAATAAAACACATCAAAAGAAGAATGAGTTCTGTTTGTCCCAGGGAGAACTTAGATGCCATAGACACTATATTGCAGAAAGGTTGTGGAAAAGAAGATAGAAATGAGTCACAACTTATTTCCTGGTATCAATTGCAATGCAATGTGGTGAGCAGCTGGATATCTACATATGGATTCCAATACTTTTGTGGTAAGGTGGGACTACAAGATCTATGCAACCTGTCTTTCAATTTTGGTAAGAGAATAAAAATATTTTTGGAGATTGCTAGTTTCTCAATCTGAGGACATTTTTCTGTCCCTATAAGTCTTCTTTCATTGGCGATTCTGCTGCTCTGTTCTTTCCTTCTCTACCTTTCCTCCACCTCTTCCTCTCTCTCCTTAATTTTCTTTCTGTTTTCCCTTTGTTCGAAAAGATTTTTTGTTACACCAAACAGTTACCACCTAACTGCTTCAACAGGGGTTTCCACTTTCCAAAATTCACTTGTGCCCTATGGAGATGAAGAATAGCAAGAGACCAAATCAGGAAGTTCTTGAATAATATTAGAAGCTAAAGAGTCAAAGTAGTGAAAGTATTTAGAACCTCGGGGCTTACTGAAAGGGTGCTTGCTATTGAGGGGAATATTTCATCCTCTCCTTTAAGTGATTACTTTGAACATGGTATTTTTTAAAGTTTATAAAGTAGAGCTGAGCTTGAAAACTAAAAAGAGAAGTAATATATTCAAGAAAAATATATCAAGAAGGAACCCATATTCTTGGTAATGAATGAGAAGTTTTACCACCCATGTGATACCTTATTGGGGGACTGAGGCTTAAACACCTGATCACCAGCAGAAATCAAGGCCATAGGCCTCATGCATTGTAAGAACCTGGGATTATCTTCCTGTTTAATATGTTAGGTTACATGGAAAAAGGGAATTAATATTGCAGATGAAGTTAAAGTTGCTAATCAGCTGACCTTAAAATAGGATGATGATTTTGGTATATCTGAGTGGGCCTAATATAATCACAAAGATTTTTAAGAGTGGGAGAGGGAGATAAAAGAGAGTAAGAGAAAGAGGTACTACAGTGGAAGAAGGGCAGAATGGTGTGATGTGAGGACTTGATTCATTTTTGTTCACTTTGAAGATAGAAGAAGGGAGCCATGAACCAAGGAATGTGGCCAGCCTCTAGAAGCTGAAAAAGCAAGGAAACAGATTTGTTCCTAGAACCTCCAGAAAGAATGCAGTCTTGCTGACAACCTGATTGTTGTCCAGGGAGACATATATGACAGATTTATAACCTATGGAACTGATAGATAATAAATTTGTGTTGTTTTAAGCCATTAAGTTTGTGGTAATTTGTTAGAGCAGCTATAGAAAACTAATACAACGTGGTTGACTATTTCCCCAAAATTCCCTTGTAGTTAGGTGTGGCTATATGCTTGAGTTCTAGCCAATCTAATGTTGTTAGAAGTGATATGAAAGTCATCCAGGCTTGTTTGTAAAGTCATCCACTCATGATCTTCAAGCTTTTTTCTTTCTGTTCACTTAAGGTGGACTAACATGATGAACTTAGGAGCCATTATTTGAAGATGGTGGAGTCATTAGTTAAGATGAATTTGAGTGCCTAAGACACTGCTGAGAGAAGGGCCATCCGCCAATCTGGAATTCCTGTTTTGGACTTCTCATAAGTAAGAAATAAAATTCTATTAGGGAAAACCACTGAGATTTTAAGATCCGGGGCTAACTTAATCAGTGCAGATAAGAAATATAAAAGAGAAGTCACAAGATCTGAAAGATGGAAGGAAAATCTTTACATACATAGTAATTTTAGAAGTAGAGACTACAGTTTGTTGTTAGATATAGATATAAATATGGGCAAAATTCATAGCAATTAAAGTTAAATTTTTCTGTAATTAGAAAGATTGAGTCCACAGAATGGAAACTCTTGAATGTTTATGAGTGTGAGATTAACTTCATTTATCCTGCTCAGAGTAAATGGAAGCATTCAGGATTTTCCATTGTGGGTGTGAGATTCACTTCATTTATCCTGCTCAGGATAACCTCACACTCATAAAAAGTTAATCTCACACCTATAAACATTATAATTAAATGCAGAGCACAAAAATAAAGAGAATCTTGAAAATATATTTACTTAGGAACAAACATCAAACTAGTGATAGATTCTTATCAACAATAATAAATAATAAACAACAAGCAAATGGAATAAATCTTCAAAGTACAGAGGGAAAATAATGTTCAATTCTATACCTAGCTAAATTTTCATTTAAGGCTGAAGGTGAAGTAAAGCTATTTTCAGCCATATGAAGGCTTAGAAAATTTTTCACATACATGTAGAGTTTAAAGAACCAGTAAAGGATTGTATTTGGGCAAGAAATAGAAGAGAAAAGACACAGGATGTAGCAAATAATGTTAAGCAAAAACAATGCTGAAATATTGTTGTAAGTCTAAGTAATAATTAATTGTGAAAATAAATAATTATTTTGTCTTTAAAAAGAATACCACAAACAAGATGGAGAATTTGGAAAGAGTAGTTTGGAGGGAAGATGGTCAAATAAAAGTTATTATCTAGTCTTGGAAGAAGATACCGATTATCTTTAATTTTTAAAGAAAAATTAAATAGTACACATGTTACAAATATCAGGATACATAAAACAAAATCCAGAAAAACACTAAGTAAAACAAAAGAAACAAGGAATTCTAATATACCAGCAGAAGGTAGAAAAGAAGATTTAAAAATGAAAGAACAGAGCATAGTACTGTAAGTTGAAAACACAATATAAATTGGAAACATTTAGATAAACATATAACAATTCACAATATAAAATGAACTAAATTCATCTATTAGGAAACAGAAAATTTTACATTGTTAATATGAACAAAGTCAAGCAATATGCCATTTAAAAAAGACACAAGACAAAAACAAACTTTTAAGGTTCAAAATAAAAGGATGAAAAATAGGCAAATACTAATTAAAACAAAGGTGTTAGAACAATGCTAATATCAGAGTGTAGAATTGAAGTAAAAAAATAGTCATGAGGATATGAGTGGATATGAGGATATGAGTTTCAGCAGCATTTAGAAGTTACTTAGATACTTATATTAGAAAATAAGAGCGCCCACTTTGGCAGCATATATACTAAAATTGGAATGATACAGAGAAGATTAGCGTGGCCCGTGTGTAAGGATGGCATGAAAATTCATGGTGTCCCATATAAAAATAAAATAAAAAAAGAAGATGAGAAAGTCTGGAAATTGATTAAGAGTTTCATACAGCAAGCTAGAAAAAGGAACAAAAATAAAGCAAAAGTAAAGAGAAGGAATTTTACCCATAGATATACATAGCCCAAGCTATGACAAGAAAATGGTTTTAAGAATTGGAAAAGGAAACTCAAGATTATCAGATTTTGCAGATGACATGATTTTTTACATATAGAATTCAAAAGAATCTGAAAATTATTAGAACTCTAAGAGCACAGCAGGGTGGCTAGATACAAAATCTACTCTCAAATATACAACATATAACTTATATTCCAACAATAATTATTTGTAAAATCCATGTAGAGAGATAGTATTAACATCCGAAACAAAAAACAAGTATGTGTATAAGAATTAATGCAGCAAAAGACATGCAAGACCTTTCTGAAGAAAATTATATTACATTATTGAAGGGTATATGAGAAAATTTGAATAGTAGGCAACCATGTTAATGCATGGGAATAATTGATTTTACAAATTAATCTACAGGCTCAATGAAATTTCAATGAAATCCTAATATGACTCATAGATTTTGAGAAATTATGAAATTCTTGTGTAAGAGAAAAGGTCAAAGAATAGCCAACACATTTCTGAAAAAGAACAAAGATAATGTGCTATTTTTTGTAATGTTATAAAGTTTTAGTAGTGAAAGCAATGGAGTATTGGTTCAGTAAAAGACAAAAGATCACTGGAACAGAAAATAAAATCCACGGAAAAACGAAATATATAAGATGAAGATGGCATTACAAATCAGCAGAGAAAGAATGCACCAGTCAATAAATCTAGTTGGAACAAGATGAGACGAAATCCCTCTAGTTGGTTTTCCAGATGAAAGGAAAATTAGATCTCACCTGTATTATTACTAAAATCACTCACCAAAACCAAAAAACAATTAACAAAGCCCCATTTGGATTAAAGTTCTATATGTAGAAAGGGAAATTTCAAAACTATTAAGAGAAAGTATTAGATAAAATCTTTGTGATACCCAGATAAGGCCAAAGAAACTAAAAAGCAGAAACTCTAAAAGAAAACAAGAGATTGACAAATTTTATTACAATAAATTGTGTGGTGCTGGGGGAGAGTGAGTAGAGGCCTTCTAAAAGTCAAGAGACAGCATAAAAATTTAAAGCTAAGAGACAGAATTGGATGAGATAATTGCAGATATTTAACATAACATATAAAAGTTGATCTTTCATAATAATAAAGAATTACTACAGATCAATAACTAATAGATAAATGGGTAAAGTAAATGAACAAGCAATTTATATAGGGTGAAGCCTCACTAGCTAGTAAGCCTATGAGAAGATACTCAATTTCAGGAGTGAGCAGGGAATGCAGATTTTAAAAATTGTATACGTATTCAAGTGGCAATAATAGAAAAATATGACAAAATCTGGGATTGTTACTAATGCAGAGAAATTGGAAATATTTATTTATTTTTGTATGCCTCTATGTAACTACCAAGGAGCTTAATTAATAGCTACTAAAATTTAAAATATGCATAAATTACATAAATGCTCATATACAATGTGAACACTAATCCTACTTCAGGGTATGTACCCCGGATAAACTCTTTTCCATCTACTTAAGGATTGTCTTTGCAGCATTATTTGTGATAGCAGAAATTGGAAACATTGAGAATGCATCGGTAGTAGAAATAATAGAAAAATATTGTATATTCATAAGGTGGAATATTATTCAACAAAGTGTATAACCTGGATTTCAAAACTACATTTTGAGAGAAAAATGCAAATCGTAATGATACTATCAGACAGATGCCATTTTAGTAAAATTAAACATTAAAAAAAGATACTATATTTTGTTCAGTGATAGGTAGAGACTATAAATATATGTAAATAGACTTAAATATTTAAAATATATTAATAAGCCTTTGGGAAGAAGGGAGTGGAATATGTCTATGATAACTTGAGAAATATGACAAGAATATTATCAATTTGTCACATCTAAGGTGTGATATACAAGTGTTAATTATTTTTATACTTAATTTTAAAAACTTTCTTAAAAGAGAAAAAATACAGAAAAAATAGGGCTTGCAAACCAGATGACAGTAGAATTGAAAGAAAACCACAAAGCACTTACCTAGAGAGTTGGTTGATGGTGCTAAAATACACACACAGAAAACATGAGGTGAATCATGAGAGTTTGGATCCCTAATCTTTACATATCAGCTTCAGTTGCTGTCACCCCCTTCTCAGGAGTTAAAGTCTAGGCCCCGGGAGTCATCACTGATCTGGTGATGGGTACTGACAGCCACTCCCACCAGCTACTGCATATGCTTTCCATCTCTAAAAATGGGTTTAATTTTTAGTAGGCAGATGCCATTCCTACTGCCCTAATTCCTCCCTCCCTTTTTTCCCTCTCTATTTTCTTCTCTCTCTCCCTTTTATCTTTATTACTTTCCTTTTCTCTTGCTCATCACTTCTATTGTTTTCCTTTTCTCCCAGCCAGATCATTCTAAACCAGCACTAGAAAACTTTATCTATTGCTTAGTATTCATATGACTTGACATATGACAGGATTTCTCTTTCCTCCAAAGCATTTACAATCTAGGGAAATGTTACTAATAGGAAGCAAATTTTTGTTAAGAAGCAAGATAATACTTACTGTAATCTCTTTTGGATCTCTCTGAAAACATAAACAAAAGAAAGAAAAATCAATTTGGATATTCTATTTCTGTAGTTTTGGTATCACTACAGAGGATTACCCAGTCAACACCCTCAAATATCCAGTTAGGCAAGAAACTGGAGACAAAATCTCCTCATGGCTTAATTTATAAGTTTAATGACATTAAAAAAACAGGCAGAGTTTAATTAAGGTAAATACATGTAGTGAGAAGAAATAATAAACTATACATGCAAACATTGAAACAGAAGAATGTATAGTTATAAGGTAAGTTGAGGTCAAATAAAAGAAGGAATGGCAAAATATTTACTCAGCTGACTGAGAATTCAAGTTCAGTGACAATATGGCAAATTATAATGAATGCAAATGTGTATATTGATTGCGATTGAATGTGCATCCTATGATCTAAAACTTGTTTCTTAGTGATGTCATGGAAACAGACTTTCTAAAAGATCTGGAGACAAAGCAAATTACATGGAAAACTAGTCATGTTATCACTGTTGTTTTCATAAAAGTGTAAAAGTAAATAGTAATATTGATACTTTGTAGTTGATTTAAATTATGTTGAATCATAATATCATTTGCTATTTCACTAAAGTATAGTTAAAGATCTACTCAGAAATGTGAAGACAATAGTATTTTTTTTTCAGCTTCTTTTCTGAAAATGAGTGCTCTCCTTCCATACTTGGCAGTCATTGTGATGGGAATTAAGTACAAAACACATTCTCTGTTTTATAATAATGTTTCTTGTTTCTCATGGTTCTATGGGGATTTTAAAAACGGTGTCTCAAGCCTGTAGTCCCAGCACTTTGGGAGGCCGAAGTGGGTGTGTTACCTGAGGTCAGGAGTTCGAGACCAGCCTGGCCAACATGGTGAAACCCTGTCTCTAGTGAAAATACAAAAATTCTCTGGGCCTGGTGGTACACGCCTGTAATCCCAGCTACTCAGGAGGCTGAGGCAGGAGAATTGCCTGTGCCCGGGAGACGGAGATTGCAGTAAGCCGAGATAGTGCCACTGCACTCCAGCCTGGCCCACAGAGCAAGACTCTGTCTCAATGAAAAAAAAAAGGGAAAATACATCAAGATGTTAATAGAGTTGCCACAAAAATGGAAAATACCACTGAAATGCCGAACATTTTAATATGCTGCACTTGAAATTTGTTATAAAAACTTTCATGCGCTGCACTTAACATTTGCTAGAAAAATACTAAGAATAAATTTAATTTCAAAAAAATTTTGGAATAACCATGGCAGCTTTTATATGTGATATATTTAAGTTAAACTAAACTTTGAGTACTAAATTTCATGTACCTAAACTAACATAATGACCTTACCTAATATTAATATCTTCCTGCCAGAAGATTTCTATAGTCTCAAGTTGACCAGTACATTTATATTCCTATGTCTAGAAATAATGGAGGGAAGACTAGCAGGGCGTGGGAACCTAGAAACTTAGGATGACTGAGATTTATAGGTTATGTTAGGGGGACTGGAAAGTCAGAGAAATAGTCATTTGGGTTTATGAATTTTAAAGTATGACTTATTGAAACAACAATAAAATGTTTACTGATTCAAGTTTTTCCTTAAGAATGCAAGGGAGCCCAGATTAGAAAGATACTAAGATTGTAGGCTTGTACACTAAAGATCTGTAAACAGGAAATTAAAAATTAAGATATTACTAAATTACATAAGAATAAACTCTCTGACTGCCTAAAATTTGGAATTAGACAATTCTAAATTCCTATCCAGGTTGTCACTTCCAAGTCCTGTGGCCTTGGGCAAGTCATTAATGTTTTTTAAGCATAAGTTTCTCTTCTGTAAATTAGGGATAACAATAGTAAATTACTTTCTTCATTTAAGAGGTACTTATTAAGGATCTCCCTCGCTGTGGTGAGGTGAATAGACTATAAGAAGGCAAGAGGAGTATCAAGGAAACAAGGTAGGAGGCAAGAGATATTGGTGTTTGGGCAAGGATTGTCATGGTGGTGGAAGGTGGTTTGATTTGGAGTATAATTTGAAAGCATCAGAGATGGGATTTGATGGTGGATTGGATGAAGAGAGTAGGAAAGGAGTTAAATATCATTCCAAGGTAGATAGTCTGAGCAATTAGGTGAATACAAGTGCTAGCACCAGTGTGTAGAAGGGATTAGGGCTTGGGTTTTAGACATGCTAAGAGTGAGATGCCTTTCATATATCTTCAGGACACGTGTGCTATGATTATATAGGTTGGCTCACTGCACAAAGGGTTAAGGGAACTGAAATCCACAACAGTGTCTCTGGGGTGGGGCTGCATTCACTTGCAGGAAGGAACACCTTTTCCTAATATGCACCAAAGCAACCTGTAGGCTACTGGAGGCCTTGGACAGCCAGGGAGGGATTTTTGGGTAGCTCATCTTTGTGTGGTTGACAGGGTTGTTTGTAGATATTCAATATTAATAAAATGAAAAAATGCTCACCAGAATGACTAACATATAGTAGGTGCTGAGTACATGTTAATTCTCCTCCCTTCTTATAGTGTGTAGTTTTATTTTGCTTATCCGTGTACCCTTAAATTCCTAACACTGAGGTAGCTTCTTGCACTGGTTAAATCTGGTATTCTGGTAGACTGTTACTGGAGAGGTTTTTTCCCAAGAAATATGAGATGTAAATGACAACAGTAGACAACAGCAGTATTTCTTTGCACCCTTGGAATTTTATTGCACAAGTCATATCTTAATGTGATGAACTTTTAAGAATTTATTCCTTGATTTCTTTTTATTATTATTATACTTTAAGTTCTAGGGTATATGTGCACAACATGCAGGTTTGTTACATATGTATACATGTGCCATGTTGGTATGCTGCACCCATTAACTCGTCATTTACATTAGGTATATCTCCTAATGCTATCCCTCCCCACTCCCCTCACCCCACAACAGGCCCCGGTGTGTGATGTTCCCCTTCCTGTGTCCAAGTGTTCTCATTGTTCAATTCCCACCTGTGAGTGAGAACATGAGGTGTTTGATTTTTTGTCCTTGCGATAGTTTGCCGAGAATGATGGTTTCCAGCTTCATCCATCCATGTTCCTACAAAGGACACGAACTCATCCTTTTTTATTGCTGCATAGTATTCCATGGTGTATATGTGCCACATTTTCTTAATCCGGTGTATCATTGATGGACTTTTGGGTTGGTTCCAAGTCTTGGCTGTTGTGAATAGTGCCGCAATAAACATATGTGTGCATGTGTCTTTATAGCAGCATGATTTGTTTTATTATTATTATTATTATTATACTTTAAGTTTTAGGGTACATGTGCACAATGTGCAGGTTAGTTACATATGTATACATGTGCCATGCTGGTGCGCTGCACCCACTAACTCGTCATCTAGCATTAGGTATATCTCCCAATGCTATCCCTCCCCCCTCCCCCCACCCCACAGCAGTCCCCAGAGTGTGATGTTCCCCTTCCTGTGTCCATGTGTTCTCATTGTTCAATTCTCCTTTGGGTATATACCCAGTAATGGGATGGCTGGGTCAAATAGTATTTCTAGTTCTAGATCCCTGAGGAATAGCCACACTGACTTCCACAATGGTTGAACTAGTTTACAGCCCCACCAACAGTGTAAAAGTGTTCCTGTTTCTCCACATCCTCTCTAGCACCTGTTGTTTCCTGACTTTTTAATGATCGCCATTCTAACTGGTGTGAGATGGTATCTCATTGTGGTTTTGATTTGCATTTCTCTGATGGCCAGTGATGATGAGCATTTTTTCATGTGTCTTTTGGCTGCATAAATGTCTTCTTTTTAGAAGTCTCTGTTCATATCCTTCACCCACTTGTTGATGGGGTTGTTTGTTTTTTTCTTGTGAATTTGTTTGAGTTCTTTGTAGATTCTGGATATTAGCCCTTTGTCAGATGAGTAGATTGCAAAAATTTTCTCCCATTCTGTAGTTTGCCTGTTCACTCTGATGGTAGTTTCTTTTGCTGTGCAGAAGCTCTTTAGTTTAATTAGATCCCATTTGTCCATTTTGGCTTTTGTTGCCATTGCTTTTGGTGTTTTAGACATGAAGTCCTTGCCCATGCCTATGTCCTGAATGGTATTGCCTAGGTTTTCTTCTAGGGTTTTTATGGTTTCAGGTCTAACATTTAAGTCTTTAATCCATCTTGAATTAATTCAATGAGTAGTTAGCATTTGTGAGATCTGGGATGTTGAATTTCTCTTGACTACTCAGATTATTTTTTTCTTTTCTTTAGCTTTATTGAGGTATAATTATAAAAATTATATATATTTAAGGTATTACAGTGTGTGATTCTAATATATGTATACATTGTGAAATGATTGCCACAATCAAGCTAATTAATATATCTACCACTTCAAATACTTACTTCTATTTTTCATTTTGTGATGAGAATATGTAAAACCTACACTCTTAGTAAATTTCAAGTGTATAATACATTATAGTCACCATGCTGTACATTGGGTCTACATAACGTATTTGTCATAAAACTGCAAGTTTGTACCCTTTGGCCAACTTCTGCCCATTTCTTCCACCCCCTAACTTCTGGTAATCACCTTTCTGCTGAGTTCAACTTTTTAAGGTTCCATATATACATGAGATCATGTAGTATTTGTCTTTCTATGCGTGGCTAATTATACTTAGCCTAAGGTCTTCCAGGTTCATCCATGTTGTCACAAATGGCAAGATTTCTTTCTTTTCCTAAGGCTGTATAATATTTCATTGTGTGTGTGTGTGTGTATGTGTGTGTGTCTGTGTATCACATTTTCTTTATCCATTCATCCACTGATGGACACCTAGTTTATTCCTCTATCCCGGGTATTGTAAATAATGCTGCAATGAATATGGGAGTGCAAACATCTCTTCAGGATAATGATTTTTATTTCCTTTGAATATATGCCCAGAAGTAGCATTCCTGAATCATATGGTAGTTCTATTTTTAATTTATTGGAGGAACCACAATATTGTTTTCCATAATGGCTGTATTACTTTACATTCCTAACAACAGTGTACAAGGGTTCCCTTTTCTCCATATCCTTGCCAACACTTGTTATCCCTTGACATTTTGAATGCATCCTATCTGGTGTGAGGTGCATTTCCTTGATGATTAGTGATATTGTGCACCTTTATTTATTAGTTGGCTGTAAGTCTTCTCTGAAAAAATGTCTATTTAGGTCCTTAGTCCATTTTATTTTATTTTATTTTGTTTTTTTCTCTCTCTCTTTTTTTTTTATTATACTTTAAGTTCTAGGGTACATGTGCACAATGTGCAGGTTTGTTACATATATATACATGTGCCATGTTGGTGTGCTGCACCCATTAACTCGTCATTTACATTAGGTATTTCTCCTAATGCTATCCCTCCCTGCTTCCCCCACCCCGCAACAGGCCCCAGTGTGTGATGTTCCCCACCCTGTGTCCAAGTGTTCTCATTGTTCAGTTCCCACCTATGAGTGAAAACATGCAGTGTTTGGTTTTCTGTCCTTGCAATAGTTTGCTGAGAATGATGGTTTCCAGCTTCATCCACGTCCCTACAAAGGACATGAACTCATCATTTTTTATTGCTGCATAGTATTCCATGGTGTATATGTGCCACATATTCTTAATCTGGTGTATCATTGATGGACTTTTGGGTTGGTTCCAAGTCTTTGCTATTGTGAATAGTGCCACAATAAACACACGTGTGCATGTGTCTTTATAGTAGCATGATTTATAATCCTTTGGGTATATACCCAATAATGAGATGGCTGGGTCAAATGGTATTTCTAGTTCTAGATCCTTGAGGAATCACCACACTGTCTTCCACAATGGTTGAACTAGTTTACACTCCCACCAACATTGTAAAAACATTCCTATTTCTCCATATCCTCTCCAGCACCTGTTTCCTGACTTTTTAATGATTGCCATTCTAACTGGTGTGAGATGGTATCTCACTGTGGTTTTGATTTGCATTTCTCTGATGGCCAGTGATGATGAGCATTTTTTCATATGTCTGTTGGCTGCGTAAATGTCTTCTTTTAAGAATTGTCTGTTCATGGACTAAGGTTCATGAACAGATATGAACCTTAGTCCATTTTAAAATCAGCTTATTTGTTTCAGCTGTATTTTGAGTTGTATCTTGCTTTTGAGTTGTATGAGTTCCTTATATATTTTGGATATTGCTGTGGTTTTAATGTCCTCTCCGAAACTCATGTTGAAACTTAATCTTCAATGTGACAGCATTGAGAAGTGAGGCCTTAAAGAGGTGATTATATCATGAGGGTTCTACCCACATAAATGGATTAATCCACTAATGGATTAATGAGTTGTCAGGCAAGTGGAACTGGTGGCTTCATAAGAAGAGGAACGGGCCGGGCGCGGTGGCTCAAGCCTGTAATCCCAGCACTTTGGGAGGCCGAGGTGGGCGGATCACGAGGTCAGGAGATCAAGACCATCCTGGCTAACACGGTGAAACCCTGTCTCTACTAAAAATACAAAAATTAGCCGGGCGTAGTGGCAGGCGCCTGTAGTCCCAGCAACTCGGGAGGCTGAGGCAGGAGAATGGCGTGAACCCGGGAGGCAGAGCCTGCAGTGAGCCGAGATCGCGCCACTGCACTCCAGCCTGGGCAACAGAGCCAGACTCCGTCTCAAAAAAAAAAAAAAAAAAAAAAAGAAGAGGAACGACCTAAGCACAGCATGTTAGCCACCTTGCCATGTTATGCCCTGTACCACTTCAGGAATCTGCAGAGAGTCCCCACTAGCAAGAAGGCTCTCTTGCGCCACATGCGCCCCCTCAGCCTTGGACTTTCCATCCTCCATAACTGTAAGAAATAATAATACATTTCTTTTCTTTATAAATTACCCAGTTTCAGATATTCTGTTATAAGCAACAGAAACAGATTAAGACAAATATTAACCACTTATCAGATATATGGTTTGCAAATATTTTCTCCTATTCTGTGAGTTGGCTTTCATTTTGTTGATTGTTTCCTTTGTTGTCCAGAAACAATTTTGTTTGACGAGATACCACTTATTTTTGCTTTTGTTACTGTGTTTTTGGTGTCATATAAAACAACTTGCAAAGACCAATGTCATGGAACTTTTCACTGTTTTATTATAGGAGTTTTATAGTGGCAAGTCTTACATTAAAGTCTTCAATCCATTTTGAATTGATCTTTGTGTATGGTATATGATAAGGGCCAATTTCTTTTTGTTTTTGCATATGGATATCCGGTTTTCCCAATAACATTTATCCTTTCCCTATTGGGTATTCTTGGTAACTTTATTTTCTCCCTTGTTAATTTTCTGTGTGGATGCTCTATTCATTGTCAATAATGGGTTACTGAAGTCCGCTACGATTATTATATTGCTGTTTCTCCCTTCAGTTATGTAAATATTATATATTTAGGTGCTCTGACATTATGTGCATATGTACTTATAATTTTTATATCCTCTTGATGAATTAGCCCTTTATAATTATATAGTGAGCTCCTTTGTCTCTTGTTATAATTTTTGACTAAAAGTCTATTTTGCCTGATGTAAGTATAGCCACCCCTACCGTCTTTTGTTTTCCATTTGCATGGAGCATCTTCTTTTCATCCCTTTACTTTCATTCTATATGTATCCTTAGAGCTGGAGTGTGTCTGCTACAGGCAGCATAGATAGTTGCAACTTGTTTTTAAATACATTTAGCTACTCTGTGTCTTTTCATTAGAAAATTTAATCCATTTACGTTCAAGTAATTATTGATAGTTAAGGACTTAATATAGTTATTTTCTTGGTTGTTTTTTGGCTGTTTAGTATATCCTTTCTTCCTTTCTTCCTGTCTTTCTTTGTGATTTGCTGATTTTCTGTAGTGGTATGCTTTAATATCTTTCTGTTTTGTGTATCTAGTATAGGTTTTTGGTTTGTGGTTACCATAAGCTTACATAAAACATGGTTTCAACAGTCTATTTGAAGCTAATAATAACTTAGATTATTAAAATAGATTACATACAAAAACTCTACATATTATTCTCCCTACTTTTTACATTCTCAGTGTCAAAATTTACATTTAAAAAAATTGTATATTCATTAACAAATTATATACTTTTAATATTTTGTCTTTTAACTTTTATATTAGCATTAAAAGTTATTTATATACCATCATTACAGTATTAGAATATTCTGAATTGACTGTATATTTACCTTACCAGTGAATTTTATACTTGGATATGTTTTCATTTTACTAATTATTGGCCTTTCATTTCAGCTTGAAGAACATTCTCTAGCATTTCTTGTAAGGCAGATCTATTGGTGATAAACTCCCTCAGCTTTTGTTTGTCTGATAAAGACTATCTCTTTCTCAGATCTGAAAAACAGCTTTACGGGTAAAGAGTTATTGGTTGGCAGTTTTTTTCTTTCAGCAAATTGAATATATCATCCCACTATGTACTGGCCTAGAAAATGTCTGCATAGAAGTGCTAATATCCTTTTGATGTACCTTTAAATGTGATATGCTTCTTTCAAGATTCTCTCTTTAACTTTGATTATTGACAATTTGACATAATGTCTTGGAGAAGTCTTCTTTGGGTTAAATACAATTGGAGAGTTTTGAGTTTCATATATCGAGATGTCTATATCTCTTCACAGATTTGGAAAGTTTTTAGCAATTATGCCTTAAATAAGCATTTATTCTATTTTATTTCTCTTTTCCTCTGAGACTCCAATAATGCAAAAAGTTAGCTCCCTTGATGGTGTCCCATAAATCTTGTACATATTTCTTCATTTCTTTTCTTTGTGGTTTTTTTTTTTTTTGTACTCTGACTAGATAATTTTAAATGATTGGTCTTTGACTTCTCTTATTCTTTCTTATACTTGATCCATCATCTTGGAAGCTCTCTATTTCCTTTTTGTTTTAGTTTAGGCATTACACCCTTCAGCTCCAAAATTTGTATGGCTCTGTTTTGTTTTTTTTTCTCTTTGTTGAACTTCTACTTTTGTTCTTGTGTTGTTTTCCTGATGTCATTATATTGTTTGTGTTGTCTTGTAGCTCACTGAGCTTTCTTATAACAATTGTTTTGGATTTTTTTGTCAGGCAACTGGTGGATTGATTTTTAGGCAAACCTTCATTTTTGGGGGTTAGTTACTGAAATATTATTGTGTTCTTTTAGTGGTGTCATGTTTCCTTGATTTTTATGACCTTGAAGTCTTGTCTTGTGTTTTCACATTTGAAGAAACAGTCACCCTGTTCAATATTTGTTTGTGCCTACTTCACAGGTGGGATTTTTTCCCTTTTTTTGAGAGAAAATCTCACTCTGCTACCCAGAGTGGAGCAGTGGCATGATCGTGGCTCACTGCAGCATCAAACTCTTGAGCTCAAGCAATCCTCCCACCTCAGATTCCTGAGTAGCTGGGACTGCAGGTGTGCACCACCACATCCAACTGATTTTTTTTTTTTTTTTAGAGACGGAGTCTCACTATGTTGCCCAGGCCAGTCTCGAACTCCTAGTCTCAAGAAGTCCTCCTGCCTCGGCCTCCCAAAGTGCTGGGATTTCAGGCATGAACTACCACACCCAGGGTAGATGGGATTTCTAAGATTGTGCTTTCTCTCAATCCTGCAAAGCCAGTCCAGGTTCTGAGAGCCTTCCCTTTGTTTTCCCTAGGGTGGTGCTCTGGAATTCTCAAGTTTGTGTCCTTTTTTCCGATCCTACAAAGTCAAACTGACTGTGAGATGTTTCCTTTTGTTGTCCATGGTGGCTCATTTGGGGACTCAGCCTAGATGGGAGAGTGAAATGTGTGAAAGGCGTGCCTGTGGGTCAGTAGTGCAAGGAGCATAGGTCACGCATCTCAAATGGCAGGCTTTCTGATGAGGCTTTCTGATGAGTGGGTTCTGCAGTCTCTTTTCCCTGTTCCCAGCCTCTCCTAACCATTCAACTATGCTGATCATCTCAATGTTCTGGGTGGAGTGAGAAATAAGTGGGCTTATCGGACAGCATCCTGAATGGCTGGGGGATGTGGGCACTCATTAAATTCTGCACATTTTTTCTGTGGGAGAAATTGTGGGCCAAGTGGGTCTGTCTCAGCATTGAGCTGTGCCACCTTGGGGGAGGAGTGATGTGGGTAAAGTGAAACTGTTCTTCTTACCCTCTTTAATACATCTGTTCTAGGATTTTATAACCTGACAGCGTGCTGGAACTTCTCTGCTGGACTCCTGGACTCCCACAATGGTATTGTCTCATCTGTGGATAGTTGTCTAAATTGATGCTTCTGTGTGGGAAGAAAGCTCCTATTCTACTATTTTGCTGATGCCTTTCTCTCATATTACTTTTGTTAAATAATTAGGAGTTGGATAGGAGAGGAATTGCATAGCTTTGGGGAAAATGGTGCCTCATAGCGTGATGGTGAACATTTGTGAACATTTCTCAGAATATTCTGTACCTACTTTGATTTCTTCTTCTTCTTTTTTAAATTTTGGTCAGTTTTTATAGCCTTTTATGTTGTGGCAGGAAGAAGCCTGATTTTCCTTTAATTTTACAAAAATCTCTACATATACTTACCTCGGTTATCATATGAAGTGTCTAGAGAATTGAAGAAAAATTATAAGATTCTTAATTTCTCATAAACAGACTCCTATATTAATTTCTTAGCAATACAATAATTTACCACTTTGTGTTGAATATGCATGTCGGGATCCTAAAAGAGAAGATAAAAACATAATGAGATTTTACTTCAACAAGTGAGTCTATATTATTTTTTGTTAGATAGAAATCTGTTTACCTCTTCCTCTTTTAGATCTCTGAGAAGAAAAATCTTTTAGGAAAGAAAAAAACATATTAACTTTACCAACAGTTCATTAAAAAATAAGTTTATCGGGCCGGGCGTGGTGGCTCACGCCTATGTTCCCAGCACTTTGGGAGGCCGAGGCGGGTGGATCACGAGGTCAGGAGATCGAGACCATCCTGGCTAACACGGTGAAACCCCGTCTCTACTAAAAACACACAAAAAAATTGGCCGGGCGTGGTGGCAGGTGCCTGTGGTCACTGCTCAGAAGGCTGAGAGAGGAGAATGGCGTGAACCCGGGAGGCGGAGCTTGCAGTGAGCCGAGATTGCGCCACTGCACTCCAGCCTGGGCGACAGTGCGAGACTCCGTCTCAAAAAAAAAAAAAAAAAAAAAAAAAAAGTTTATCATTAGTCTCAATCCAACTACTAAAAGATTTGCTAGTTTCCCAGATATTCCCATTTTCTTTAGGTTCCATTTCAGAAAATAAAGAGGGAATGCCATGGCACTGTGCTCTTCACTCTTGTTGTTCATGATAGATGAATCATAGAGGTAAGAAGGAGAAGGATGGACCAAGAGTCCAAGTGTGGGGCATGGACAGCAAGCGAAGTGACTGAGTTACTTTCTCTTTTCTTTCCTCAACTCTCAGGGATCTATATGCTTGTAGCGTGTGTGTGTGTGTGTGTGTGTGTAATTATTTCCACATCCACAATCTCATAACCTTATAGTTCTGGTGTAGCTGGTGGGCCTGGTGTGGACAACTTTAGTGGCTTCCAGCAAGAATGAGAGGTAGCTCTAGTGGTTCTTGTTGAGTTCTGGAGATAGGACTAGTCAGAAAGAGAGAAAGAGGGAAGGAAAGAGAGAGAGAGAGAGAGAGAGAGAGAGAGAGAGAGAGAGAGAGAGAGAGAGACAGCCGAGGGAACATCTATAGGCAGCCCTGGTGAGTGGATACTGAAAGAGAACATTGAGTGTTGGGGCGTGAGGGTTAGGGATAGCCATGGTACATTGAAATTAGTGGTACTGGTGTGTCCCTTCAAAAAAGTAGACAGCGCATTGCCATCTTCTCATAACTCTCACGTTTCAAAACCTGAATTTGATATCCAGCTCCCTCCTCAGCTAGGTGAACTTGAGTAAGTCTCAATCTTTTGAGCATAAATTTCATCTTCTTAAATGGGGATAAGCTTTGTTTACCTCTTCTACTATATGGCTTTCAAAGTGTATTTTCACATATACTATTCCATTTCATATTCATTTTATCCACATTTTAAACATCCAGGAAATTGTTTCGGAGCGGTTCCTTAACCTTTCTAATATCTTGGAAGTAGACAGAAGATGGAAATGAATTCTTTTGATGGTCTTAAGAAGGAGAATTATTTACCTTTTCTGAGAAAAATGCACAATTTTTCTTGAGAAAGAGAGAGAGGAGTGATAAGCATTTGAATATTATAAAAACGAAAGATATGCTGACTCAACAAATCATGCTCAAATGGAGATGAGTTGATTCACACTCTAAAGAGTATATTCCTTCATTAACTGTCTAGTAGTTCCTAATCTATTTACCTCTACCATCCTCATAGTCCAGAAGTCTAGCACCTAGAAAAAAAGGGAGAGCACATGATTTTGCTTCTTGATTATTAATGAGGCTTTATTTAAGACTCTGAGAACTAATGTAAACATGAACTCCTAATGGTGAATAATGATGTGAATTAATTTACTTTGCAGGAACTAGGAATTGTGCATAAGCTACAAGAGCTGACGATGATAAGTGACTGTGTCAATCACCAATTTTATAATATTAGCCAGGCTAAATGATAGTCAGAAGGAGTTTCAGAGTTTCTTTTACCTCTTGATACTTCAGCAGCTAGTCTCCTGGTTTTTGCCTCATACCAATCCTGTGCTATCTTTCTTAACAACTTTGGCATCTCTCCAGACCTTTCCATGGAAAGTCTTCTTCAATTCTTCACATCCTGAAGTTGGTACTCTTCTCAATCATAATTACCCTAACTGTGTTCACTCTCATTATTCTAGGATACATTATATTTTTCGGTCCGGCCACTTCACTGAGGCCGTCTTCATGAATGGATTTAGGCTTTTTACTGAACCATCTGTTCCAGTGCCTGAACTGGAACAGTTCTCTGTTGCTGCTCTCAGACCACAGGAAGCATCTGAAGGGAGCCTCAGAATTATGCAGGCCTACCCAGTATTAATTAATTCTCCCCAAATCCAGTTTGGCATTCAGTACTGCTCAGAAATCTCTGGTAGATTTCTCCCACTCACTTAGAAGCAGTTCAGTTCATGCAATGGTGCACTATGCAAGGTTCTGGAAACACAACTGTAAACAAGACAGATTTCATTCCTGACTTGTGAAAATTCTATAAGTACTATATTTATTTTTCTCATGAGTATAAGTACTTACTTTGTTCTGAACTGTATCTGGAGATATACATTTCTGTGGAAGAATTAGGCAAAATGTTTTTATTAGTTACTTAGGAGAAGTGTTCTTCCTCTGATCAAACTCTTCTCACTCTAAGCTATGCTTCTTGCTTACCAAGGTGGTCCTCCTGATATAATGCATTGTTGTTCTCACCCATTTTCCACATCTCCCATCAGCCCTGTTTTACCTGTCTTTTCACACTACTTATGCTTTGAGGGCTCACAGGCATTGAGGATGGGAAACAGGGAGGGAATACAGCTGATTAGAAAGTTGTGGGAGAGAAACAGAAAAATCCAGGAAAGAGAGACCTTATGGCATAGAAATAGGTCTTAGCTTTTATGAGCTCCATCTCTATTTCATCGACAAGTACTACTCTGTATTTGTCTCTTCTTATCATCTCCCCAAATTAAGTCACTAAAAGTCTCCAATTCTTTTTATATAATACTAGATACTGGTGTTTAGCAACATACTGTCTTCTCACTTCTATCAGGTAATTTCCCTTGGAGCTCAGGTAATTTTCTTTTAAAATATTCTTATTACTTTTGCTAAACTCTGTGATTTTTTTTTTTTTTTTTTTTTTTTTTTTGAGATGGAGTCTTGCACTGTCACCCAGGCTGGAGTGCAATGGCGTGATCTCGGCTCACTGCAACCTCCGTCTCCTGGGTTCAAACAATTCTCCTGCCTCAGTCTCCCGAGCGGCTAGGCTTACAGTTACCTGCCACCATGCCCAGCTAATTTTTGTATTTTTAGAAGAGACAGGGTTTCACCATTTTGGTCAGGCTGGTCTTGAACTCCTGACCTTGTGATCCGCCCGCCTCGGCCTCCCAAAGTGCTGGGATTACAGGCGTGAGCCACCGCTCCCGGCCTATCTGTGACTTTTTCTTTGACATTATTGATAATGTAAACCTTGGGAGTTAAAAGTGCAGGGACAATCACTAATAGGTCAGAGATTCTTTGACTCAAGTATTGAAACAGATTCCCAGAATATTGGCAAAGTCTCTAGCTGTTTGATGAGTGAGATGAACTCAGACTGAATCTTGGCATCCCTCCCTCCATGGTTTTCACAGGAAATCTTCATTTTGACTCATTATTACTCACCACTTTGCTTACGTCGTGCCCATCTTGTTAACAAAATAGCCAGGATGGCAAGTCCCAGTAGAGTCAGGATGACAGCCAAAGTTATTTCTGAAAACAAAAACTCACCTGTAAACATGCTTATTTAGACCAGGAAATTACCAGAAACAACTTCTGATCACCTCTTACTATCCACCAGATAGACTTTTTTTTCTTTCCCCTTTCTGCTACTTCAACTCCTTTATTCTTTTATTTGCCGCATATTACTGTCCTCACATTCCCGCCCCTGCCCATTTTTAGTTCTTTGGTCGTATACTAAGAACCTCAGATGCTGTGTACCCTTGGTTTAGAGTTGGAAATCTGACAGATTTCCTCCTCAGTTGAACCCTTTACTCCCCAGGCAGGAAGAATGTTAAAGGGAATCAGTGGTCTACGAAGCTATCCACTGGGGTATGGGGAAAATATTAGAACTTCTATTTTCTGTGTAATTTTAACTCATACCTTTAAAGTTGCAAGATTTTCTGTATATATATATATATATATATGGCTATAAATAAGATTTATAAATATACTTTTATAGGCAATGCATACTCAAAACATTTTTATTAGTGAGTGATCAAAAAACTTTCAGCACCTTGACTGAAGGGTGCTGACTGAAGGTGGTTTTATTAATGAAAGCCACAGCAAAGGACAGAAATTTCTTGTCACAGAAAAACCTTTCAGTCATCACTTGCCAACCTCCTGATGATAAGATGGATATTTGCGAGGTTTGTTATTGTGGTTAGTAGGATAAAATATGCTGGGATTGCTTAACTTGTGTTTGTTTATGTGTCATTGATCTGCATTCAATTGATGTAAGATAGAGTCTTGCAGTCATAGGAGAGAAAAATCTTAGACAATATCATATGGTTATAAAGGGCAGTGGCTATGAAGGATCGGGGGAGAAAAAAAAAGAAAAGAGAGAGAGAGAGAGAGAGAAAGGAAAGAAGAAAAAAACAACCATAAAACTGCCTGTGAAAGTAAAAGCTCTGAAGAATATTGAGCTCTGAAAGACTAGGAAAGTAGATTACACCCACATTAAGACTACTTCAAACGAACAATAGGTGAATCCATCTCAAGATATAATAACACACCTCCAACCAGGGCAGATTAGGCATTTGTCTACTGAGTCTTCTAGGTGTTTGGTCCTGTGAGAAAATTCTCCTGCCAAATCAACTTTTGGAGATTTTCTTCTAATGTACCTCTAAAATGAACAGCAAGTAGTCAATATGCCCTCTATTATGTGAATTTTTTTTTCTAGTGTTAAATAACTCATCGGGGAGGAAAGGATAACTAGATGGTGTACTCAGTACTACTGTATATTCCTTTTCTTCCTTTAGTGTCTGAAATGCCCTGTCTATAGGGCGGTTAGAAGATGGTCCACCCTATTAATAGGGAAAATGAGAGGAAATCATTATTTCTGAGTTGAGGCAGATTATATAGAGTGACCATGCTACAGGAAGTGAGATAATGGGCTAAGGAATTTTTCCTAGTGCTACGGAGGATGGTTATTTTCTTTGTTCAGTTTAAACTCTAGAAACCAAAGGAGAAACCA
The DNA here is from genome assembly GCF_000001405.40 of Homo sapiens. Classification (NCBI taxonomy): domain Eukaryota; kingdom Metazoa; phylum Chordata; class Mammalia; order Primates; family Hominidae; genus Homo; species Homo sapiens. The sequence goes on from NT_113891.3 coordinate 3,809,619, forward strand.
GCACTATCAGCCTAGAGCTTAGTTAACTGTGGGTTGTTTCCCCCAGGCTTCCAGAGGAATCAATAAGAGTGAAAGAAAAAATATTGAATTTGAAAAGGAAGCAGGCAAGGAAGATAAAGCAGTTGTGTTAAAGTCCCTAAGTCCCTAAGAGGAGACTCCTGAACTACTAGAGTTGAGGAAGCCTCAAAGAGGGAGTTAGTCCATACCCAAGACTGTCATTTTCCATGTATTGTCTTCATCAGGTCTCGCATCATCTGGATTTCTTTGTCAGAGAGAGATCAAGATAAAACGAAAAACTCAAGTTCACTGTTTCTGAGCAATATGAACTTGGGTGTCAGGGAGGCCCTTGTAGGCAGAGATGCAGAGGATCACTGAGAAATTGCGTGGAGCAGATTGATCAGACCTAAGCAAATGATGGGAGTGTGGCCTGTGAAGGTTCTAGAATCTGTGTCATAACAGAGACTTAGAACATTAGTGAGGCAGGAGAAAAGGCAGAGGATCAAAAGGCTAGGAAGATTTAATAATGCTTTGGAGGACCTTGAACTTGTATAGGATACTGGAAGGGAACTCACTCTTTCTGGGCTTTAGAATTATTTCTAGTTTTTCAGAGATTTTTAAGGCCAGAGATTGTATATCATTAATCTTTGTAACTCTTTTTTTTAATTTTTTTTGAAGATAGAGTTTCACTCTTGTTGCCCAGGCTGGAGAGCAGTGGCACCATTTCGGCTCACTGCAACCTCCACTTCCTGGGTTTAAGCAATTCTCCTGCCTCAGCCTCCCAAGTAGCTGGGATTACAGGCATGTGTCACCACACCCAGCTAATTTTGTATTTTTAGTAGAGATGGGGTTTCTCCATGTCGGTCAGGCTGGTGTCAAACTCCCTACCTCAGGTGATCCACCCGCCTTGGCCTTCCAGAGTGCTGGGATTACAGGCGTGAGCCACCGTGCCCAGCCTAATGTTTGTAACTCTTGAGGCAGAGAACCTTCCACAGAATAAGCATTTTATAAATGTTTGATAATTAAAAATGAGAAAAATGACTATATTTAAAAAGAGGCAGACTGGATAAAGAAAATGTGGTAAATATACACCGTGGAATACTACACAACCATAAAAAATAATGAGATGATGTCCTTTGCAGCAACATGGATGGAGGTGGAGACCACTATTCTAAGCAAACTAAAGCAGGAACAGAAAACCAAATACCATATGTTCTCACTTATAAGTGGGAGCTAAACAACAAGAACACATGGACACTAAGAGGGGAACAACAGACACTGGGGCCTACTTAAGGGTGGAGGCTAGGAGGAGGGAGACAGCATATCTCTTGGGTTTTATGCTTATTACCCAGGTGACTAAAGAATCTGTACACCAAACCCCCACAACACACAGTTTACCCATATAACAAACAATTACATACATGTACCCTTAAAACTAAAAGTTAAAAAAAGAAGAGCCTTGAAACAAATGAAGGTGAACAAAGGAAGTCAAGTTGTTGGAGTTAGATAGCAAGAAGAAATCCAGTCCAGAGGTCTATGGTGCTAGGAAGAGTGAGCCAGTAAATGGGATCTCATAAGCCACTGTGGAGAACAAGGAAGAGTAATAACATGTTTTATTGAGTGTCTATTGACTACAAAGTTCTATAGTGGGTACCTTATAAGCACAAACTTGTTTAATCCCTAATAAACTGTACGATGAAATTCTTTGAGATGGAGAGAGACACTAGAAGTTACCCAGCCAACAAATGGCAGAGTTTCTGACTCCAAAGCCCACACTGTATTCACAAAGCCACATTTTGTTTCAGTCTTCTATGCATCCTGTGGTGGTGATTTCTAAGTTAAGAAGTCAGTCACTTGAAGAGGAAGGTGATGACTTCTAGTTTTAGGATGCTCCACCTGCCAAAAATAATCTCAAAATTGTTGAGATTATTTTTCCATAAGTGTTTTATGCATACTTATGGAACACCATCAAACATACAAATATATGAATTATGGAAGTACCAAAAGAAGAAAAAGAGGAAGGGGCAGTAAGCTTAATCAATGGAATATTATCTGAAAATTTTCCAAATCTTGAGAGGGATATGAACATCCGGATTGAAGACGATCAAAGCATCCCAAGCAAGTTCAATTCAAAAAAGACATACTCCAAGATATATTATAATCAAATTGTCAAAGGTCAAACACAAAGAGAGAATTCTGAAAGAAACATCATGTGTAAGAGATCTCCCATAAGTCCATTACCAGACTTCTCAACGGAAACCTTGCAAGTCAGTATTTTTAACCTGCAGAATTGCTATTTATTTCTATAATTTCTCCTTCTGATATTCTCAAATTGCTGAGACATCATTCTTATACTTTATTTTTTAGACATGTCTTATTCTGCTAATTACAATGTCTGGGCTTCTTCAGAAACAGTTTCTTTTTATTATTTTCTGTGCATGGGTCATGATTTCTTTTCTCTTTACATGCTTCATTATTTTTTGCTGAAATCTAGACATTTTGAATATTATAATGTTGCAATTTAGAAACCAGATTTCCTCCCTCTACAGAGTTTGCTGTTGTTGCATTTGTTGTATTACTACTTGTTTGTTTGTTTGTTTAAAGATTTTTCTGATCTAATTTTATAAAGTCTCCATTCTTTCCTGAATGTAACGTTTGATGTTTCTGCCCGGTTAGCTTAGTCATTAGCTAATGATTGAACAGAGACAATGCCTAGAACCAAAGCAAACACTATGCTAGTCTGTGCCAAGGAACTCTGTGTGTGTGTGTGTGTGTGTGTGTGTGTTGAGGTACACCTTCAACATTCAACCAGTCTCACTTTTGCCCCTCCAACAAATGCCCAGTGAATTTGCGCCCAGTAAGGTCCAGGTCACCTTCTTCCTACAGGATTTAAAGCAAACCAAGGGGGATCTTGGCAAGCTTTCAGATGACCCTTATAGATATATAGAGGTTTTCCAGACTTTCACCCATATATTTAAACTCTCCTGGAGAGATGTTATGCTACTTTTGAATCAGACCCTGATGGACACTGAGAAGCAGGCCGCTCTGCAAGCAGTAAAGAGATTTGGGAATGAGCTTTGTATCACATATGGCATCAGGGAAGGGAGCAAACATTATCCAACTGGAAGAGAAGCAGTAAAAGTGAATGACCCTAAGTGGGATCCCAATGACAGGTGGAAGACTGGAAGAGGAGACGCTTTCAGATGTGCATAATGGAAGGCTTTTGTAGGACTAAGACCAAGCCTCTCAATTATACTAAATTGTCCATGATCGACGAGGTATTTGATGAAAATCCTGCTGCCTTCCTGGAGAGACTAAGAGAGGCCTTGGTAAAGCATACCTGTCTATCTCCTGATTCAGTAGAGGGACAGCTAACCCTAAAGGATAAATTTATTACTCAGGCAGCTCCTGACCTCAGGAGGAAGTTGCAGAAACGGGCCCTGGGACCGGATAGTACATTAGAGGACCTTCTGAAAGTGGCCACCTTGGTCTTTTATAATACAGACAGGGAGGCCCAGGAAAGAGAGAGGAAATACAGGAAAGAGACAGAAGCTTTAATGGCCACCAGGCAAGCCCACAAACCCCAGAATTCCCAGGGTACACCTGTTAACTACTAAAGATATGGCCAGAACAGTTATCTCATTCTAAAAGTTTATCCACTCCCATACAAGGTTTAATTTCTTTCACCAGGGTGAAACATCTCAGGGTACAATGTTGTTGTTAGTATATTTCACTTCTTATCTCTGTAATCTTTGGCACTAATTTTTTTTCCTTGTATAATACACGTATTTATTATAGTATGTATAGTATGTATGTATGTAGTTACAGTGTGTATAACTTGGGTATACATACCCAAGTATATATAATCCATGCATACTTAACCTTATAAAACTTGTTTTTTCTCTCACACCTGGAAGCCATCAACCTCCAAATGGTCAGGGAACCGGAGCCTTGGATGGTGGCTCCCCTTTGCTAGGAACCCTTATATAGACCTCTGGGAAGAATCTGACTGCCGTTTTCCCCAAAACGATGCCCCTATCAGCAGGAAGCAGCTAAGACCCATCATCATCCATATTCGAACAGCAGTTAGACGTACCTCTTCAGACAGGGGAGGTGATATAGAAGAGGGGCAGGGAAGTGCTGGTAAGGGAAGGGCATGGTCCCTGGCTAAGGCTCCACCCCTGGGCCTGTGCCCACAGACCTAGGTAAGGACAGACACTCCTGCCTTCATGCCCAAATGTTGCATTTCCCAAGACCACCCTGGCCTGCCATGCCCCCATCCTGTGCCTGTAAAAATCCTGAGACCCTAGCAGGCAGGGACAGAAGCGGCTGGACGTCAAAAGGAACACATCAGTGGAAGAACACACAAGTGGCTGGATGTCAAGAGGGACACATCGGTTAAAGATCATGCCAACAGGAACCAGCAGATGCTGGCACGCTGGCAGGCCATTGACCAGCGGAACAAAATGGAGTTTGGCCAGGGCAGTTGGAGGGGAACCCAGCTGCTGAGCAGCCTGACTCCAGGGGAAAACCACCTTCCCACTCCATCTCCCTTCTGGCTCCCCCATCTGCTGAGAGCCACTTCCACTCAATAAGACCTTGCTCTCATTCTTCAAGCCCACATGTGATCTGATTTTTCTGGTACACCAAGGTAAGAACCTGGGATACAGAAAGCCCTCTGTCCTTGCAATAAGGCAGAGGGTCTAATTGAGCTAGTTAACACTAGCTGCCTATACATGGCAAAACTAAAAGAGCACACAGTAACACATGCCCACTGGGGCTTCAGGAACTGTAAACATACACCCCTAGATGCTGCCGTGAGGCCAGAGCCCCACATCCTGTCCGTCTGTATGCTCTCCCTAGAGGTTTGAGCAGCAGGGCACTGAAGAAGTGAGCCACTCCCGCTGTTGCAAGCCCTGTGAGGGGGACAAGAAGACCTTTCCCATTTCAGTATCTTAGAAGGTGGTAACTGCTGTGAAAAGTGAAAAAGCAAGTCAGTGAAAGAGAACTACTGGCAGCTGCAGTGGGATTTCGATTTAAATAGATTATCCTGGATATACCTCTGTGAGAAGGCAATACTTGGGGGAAGTAGGGTAGACATCTAAGTGGATTTCTGAGTGAAGAGTTTTCCAGGCAGAGAAGACAACTACAGCAAAGACCGTAAGATAGGAATGTGTCTGGTGTTTTCAAGGAATATGAAGTGGCCAGTGTCACTGGTATGAACTGATCCAGGAAAACAACAGTAGGAAAATAAGTTAGAAAGATAATGGATCAGCCAGGCATGGTGGCTCATGCCTGTAATCCCAGCACTTTGGGAGGCCAAGGTGGGAAGACCCCTTGAACCTAGGAATTCAAGACCAGCTGGGGAAAGATGGCAAGACCCCGTCTCTACAAAATAATAAAAAAATTAGCCAGGCATGGTGGCATGCACCTGTAGTCCAGTTACTCAGAAGACTGAGGCAGGGGAAGACCCTTTGATCCCAGGAGGTTGAGGCTGCAGTGAGCTATGATTGTTCCACTGTACTCCAGCCTGGGCAACAGAGCAAGACCCCGCCTCAAAAAAAATTGTAACATCTAGTGAGCTACTGACAGGACTTTGATTTTAACTTGAATGAAATAAAGAGATAAGATGGGTCATTATGTAGGCAAATGACACGTTTTTACCTATGTCTGCATAAAGACATAAAACAATTTTGCTGCTGTGTTAAGAAAAGACAGTAGTGGGAGGAAAAGAAGAAGCAAGGAGACTACTGTTAAGAGTTATCCAGGCAATCATTGACAGTACCTTTGTCTAGTTTGTGAACTACTAAAGTGGTGAAATGCATTTAAATTTGTAGCAGTATTTTCCCCACTGGGGATAAGGGAATGACTGCCAAAGATTGCCAATACCTAGGCATTAAGGAGAACATAAATATAAGTATGGAATTTCATGCAGACCAGGGTTAAAGGGTCTAAGGATACACCTGAGACAATGTCTGAAAACTAAGGAAGGGAAGAAAAGTGAACAGAAATAGAGTTAAGTGGGAGTAGTTGTCAGAAAAGAAAGTAATGTCTAATTATACAGCTGTTTATTGATTAACAGAGGGCTTCTAAAGGGCAGTTATTTAGATAAGAACTTCTTAGATGAGAGTGCAACTTCGCTGAGCGTAGTAGATTCTAATCTTAGGCCCTTTGCCATAGACATTTTCTTTCCCTGATGATTTTTTTAAATCCATATTTTATATCTGCAAACACATTTTTCTTTCCCTCAGGTTCCAGAATCTGTGTCTCAAGCCTACGTGGCTTAGATGGGATCTAACAAGAAAAGTCTGTCCCCTCTCTGGGTTACTGGGTCCAACCAGTTGGCAAGTTTTAGCTCTGATTTTGTTTCTTAACTTCTAGAATAACAGAAATATAGGGTATCTTAGTATTGCAATGACAAACTCTGACAAAAGGATATATATCAGAGGTGGGGACTTTCAACAAATATTGGACTAGAGCAAATAAAACTGTCATATGCAGTTGGCATTATTGTGTATTTAGAAATTGCAAGAAATACTACAGCTAAATTTTTGGAATTAATAAGTTTACCAAGGTTATTAAATACAAGAATAATATCCAAGAACCAACACATTTTTATAAGACAGAAATGAAGAGAACATACAATTTGAAAAGAAAATACAATTCACATTATCATCAAAATTACACACTACCTAGGAATACATCTTTTTAAAAAGTTCAAAATATGTGGATTAAATGTAAAAAAACTTTGTCTTATAGATATCCAGATATAGCTATAGCTCTCTATAAATAAAGAGGCATGTATAGTTTTTAGAGTAAAAATAAATACATATTTTATTTTATTTTATTTGCTTGCTGCAAAACTTTTGTGACATATTGGCTCCTTAAGCAATATTTGGAAACAGGGTAATACTGTTGAGAAAACAAACATATTACATTTAGAGATTCGAAATGAGAATATATACTTTACAAATTAAACCACATACTTTGACATTTTCTTTAAAAACTACATTTATAAATTGTATGGTAACACCAATGTTTATCTATTCCCTGGGCCAATCTACTAAATTATCATGATATGGATAATAATCCTCCATGGCAATGTCAAAGATGGTATTTAAATAGACATTTGATAGATAGATAGATAGATAGATAGATGATAGACACACACATAAAATTTGTTTGATTTTTATTATTTCTATACCTGGAGTCAAGGGGTTAACTGAGCTAGGTGCAATCTGATTCTTTTTATTCTAAGTAAAATAGCCAGGCACAGAAAGACAAATACTGTGATCTCACTTATACATGGAATCTAAAAAGTCAGACTCATAGGAGTGGAGAGCAGAATGGTGATTACAGGCTGGGGAAGTGGGGCGAATATGGGGAAGATGAGAAGATGTTGGTCAAAGAGTACAAGGTTTCAGTTACACAAGAGCAATATGTTTTTGAAATATATTGCTAATAATAATGTATATTTTACAAATTACGAAGAGGAAATTTCAGTCTGTTAACCAAAAAAAATTGATAAGCATGTGAAGTGATGATTATGTTAATCAGTTTAATTCAATCATTCACTATATAGCTTAATTTAATAATTCCACTATATATAATATATAGATTTATTTTTATACTTTTATATATTTGTATATAGTTATATATATCTATGAATATGTAGTTATATATTATTTATATATAGTTACATATTAGTATATATATTTATAGTCTATAAATATATGTAATATATAATATACATTATGTTGTACATAATATATATGCTGTGTATGAAATATATAAATAGTTTTGAGGTACATATATCTGTCAAAACTTGATATTATGCCTCATAAATATATATATTATTTTCTATTATAAAAGAAAATATTAAATATAAATCAAATTTATTTATATACCAGTAAAGCATATAAAATTATATAAATATTGAAAACAAACCTATGTAAATATAGATATACCTCTTTATTTAAAAGACTTCCTACAGCCATGGATTGGAAAACTTAATATTACTAAGGTGACAATATTATCCAATGTGATAGGGAGATTCAATGTAATTCCTTACCAAAATCTTAATGGCATTATTTTTTGGATAGAAATAGAAAAATCTCTCTTAAAATTCATGTGGAACATAAAAGGACCTCAAGTAACCAAAACAATCTTGAAAAACAAGAAACAAATTTGCAGGACTCTCACTCCCCAGTTTCAAAACTTAATACAAAGTTACAGTAATCAAGAGCACATGCAGCACTGGTATAAAGAAAAATACAGAGACAAATGGAGAAGCATTGAGAGGCCAGAAGTGAACTCTCAATTCATTTACCACGGGTGCCAAGACCATTCAATGGGGAAACGGTGGTCTTTGACAAATGGTGTTGGGAAAATTAGACACCCACATGCAGGAAGAATGAAGTTGGATTCTTACTTTAAGCCATGTGCAAATTCAATCAAATTGAACCAAAGACCTAAATTTAAGTGATAAAACTGTAAAACTCTTAAAAGAGAACAAGGGAAAAATCTTCATGACTTTGGATTAGGTAATGGCTTCTTTAAAATGACACCAAAAGCACAGACCACAAAAGAAAAATTACATAAATTGGGCTTCGTAAAAATTAAAAACTTTTGTGCATCAAAATACACTTATCAAGAGAGTGAAAAGAAAACCTACAGAATTGTTTGCACAGATGCAAAGATTCTAATTAAAACAGTAAGATAAATCTAGTAAAAAATACATATAATTAAGTGTAGTTTAATCTTAAAAATATAAATTTTGTAATACATTAATACAATTATGAAATTATATACCTAATATAAAGCAAAAACAAAATTAAAAACAAGAAAATAAAAACTATATAATCTTAGATGGCACAAACATTTTAAAATAAAAGTTAATATCCACTCATGATTTTAAAAATAAAACAACAGCAGCAACAATATCCTCTAGCAATGTAAGAATAGAAGAAAATTTTCTGAGTCTACTAAATAGTGCCAGGGAAGAATCAAAAGCTAACATCAAAAACAGTAGTGTTGTATTGCTCACTTTACCCCTAAAATCGAGAACAAGAAAAGAATGTCCTCTATTAGTACTTCCAGTAGTGAGGAGGACCTGGCCAGAAGAATAAAGCAAAATAATTAATTAATTAAAAGTAATAAAGATTGGAAAGAAAGAACACAGTATTGTCATTCACACATAATGTGCTTAAGTACTTAGATAATCGAATGGAATCTATAAAACCACCAAACTTCTAGAATAATTAATCAGGGATTTTAGCAAGGTCTCAGTGTACAAAATTAATAATGAAAATAAATTTTATTTCCATACATTAGTAATTAACATTTGGAAAATGAATATATCACTTACAATAGAATCAAATAGTATAAAATTCTTAAGAATATAGTTAACAAAGTATATGCAAGATACCTACACTGAAAACTGCAAAACCCTTCAGATAAAAATTTAAAAATACCTACATAAAGGAAGAGACCTAACAAAAGTGTTGTATCTAGACTATTTGAAGAATTTCTTCAACTTCATAAAAATATTAAATAATGCAACAAAATAGAACAAAGATTTGAATGAATATTTCATAAATGAAGATAGATGACTAAAGAATTCAACATAATCATCAGGAAAATGCAAACCAAAATGAGTTATTACTTTACACTCACTGACCTGGATATAATTTAAAAGGCTGAAAATATCAATTATTGGTTATGTGGAGTCACTGAAACTCTCATACATTGCTTATTTGAATGTAAAATAGTGCAGCCACTTTGGAAAACTGATTTGTAGTATTTTATAAAATTAAACACATACCTACTCTTTGACCCAGACATTGTATATGGAATGAAAAGTATAAAAGAAATGAAATATGTGTCCACAATAGACTTGAAAGAGAATGTTCATAGCAATTTTATTAATAATAGCCCAAACCTAGAAACATCCAGGTATCCATCAGCAGAAAAATGAGTGGAAAAAACTGAAGCATATTCATAAAATGAAATTCAACTTAAAATATTAAAAGAACATACACAGCAATATACATGATCTCAACATTATATTGAATGAAAAAAATTAGATACAACAGAGCAAATAGTGTATTATTACCATATGAAGTTAATGAAAAGGCAAAACTAAACTTTGATGATGGGAATCAGACTACTGGTTGCCTGTGAAAAATTAATGTTCTTTGTTTGGATTAAGGTATGAATTACTTGGGTGTATTCAATTGTTAATACTTATAATCTGTGCTTGTAAAAATACTTGTCTGTAAATTATACTTCAATCATTTAAAAAAGAGAGATTACAAAATTTTGAGTTTGAGAGTAGAAATTCAAGCCTAATCTTCTTGAGCCTTTTAAGACTACTGGGTTGAAAGGGAGACAGACCCTAGCTTACTTTATAACACTGATGATATAGATTTGAGGTGAGAGAAAAAAAATATTTTTCATCATCCTAATGAAATTTATGTCTTCTCACATCCACAATTTTTTTCAATCTCATGTCTTTGGAAAATCCTGCTTCGCAAATATGGAAGAGAAAGCTATACCCTCCCCTCTAGGAATCAGAGGTTGTCCTAACGTCCTCTTTCACATCATTCTCTTCTATAAACCCAGTGTCCTTAAAATTAGTTAGGCCTATAGTCAAGTAAGCCTGTAATAATAAATATAGTAAGTGGAACTGCCAACCCTGTCTTTCCTAATCTTTTGAATTAGCAAAATATCCTTTATCCAAAGGGAAGAAAAGAAATCCTGTGTCAGGAGGACATAATTGCTATCTCTCCAGAAAAGAATGCCAATCCATGTATCTCTCTTTTTGTTTTTTTAGAGAGAGAGACAGGGTCTCTCTCTGTCACCCAGGCTGGAGTGCAGTGGTACAGACATGGCTAACTGCAGCCTCTATCTCCCAGGCTCAAGCAATCCTTGTCCTCCTGCTTCAGCCTCCTGAGTAGCTGGGACTACAGGCATGTGCCACCAAACTCAGCTAATTTTTTGATGTGTGTAGAAATGGGGCCTCACTATGTTGCCCAGGCTGGTCTCAAATTCCTGTCCTTAAGCTACCCTCCCATCTTGGCCTTCGAAAGTGCTCGGCTGTTGGGATTACAGGCTTGAGTCACCACACCAGCCTCCCTCTATCTAGAAACAGAATAAAGGTGAGGGGGTAGGTAGGCAGGATTAAACAAACAAAAAACACTGTCCTCTGTGAATGATCGATTCAACCAAATTAAAGACCATGTATCAAAACCCTGCACCATTCTCTCTACTGACAATCACACTCTTGCATAGTCCCTCACACTATAGCAGGAGTGGTCTGTATGACCAGTTGACAACAGCAGAAATTATGGTATGTTACTTCCTATATTAGGTCATGAAAACATTAAAGTCTTCCTTCTTCTCCCCCACTTCCCTCCCCTCTTCTCTCTCTCTCATCATCTGTTCTGGGGGAAGTCAGCTGCCAAATCTTAAAGACACTCAGGTGGCTCGGTGGAGAGGCCTATTGGTGAGGAACTGAAGCCTTCAGTCAACAGCCATGTAATGAGCCTTCTTGTAAAGAGACCCCCAACCCCAGTCAAGGATTCAGATGGCTGCAGCCCCAGCCAATGGCTTCACTGCAACCTATGAGAGACTGAGCCAGAGCTACCCAGCTAAGCTGCTCCAAAATTCCTGACCTGTAAGATAATATGCAATTGTTGTTTTAAGCCACTAAGTTTCCAGGTAATTTGTTACCAGTAATAAATAATTAATTCACTAAGAATCTGTCATAAGTGTGGCTTCTCTCTGGATTATGATTACTCACTTACTACAGTGGTTCCCAAAATGCAAGCCTAAGCTGAATCCTAGTAGTTCTTCTTTGAATGCAGCAGCTTTGCCCTTGATACATGACTTTCTCTCAGTTCAATTGTATTAAATATTTGAAACACAGAAATGCCTGCCTGGACCCTCACCATGAATCCCCATCCCTTCTGATACCGGAATCTGGTTGCTATTTCTAGAACATTTCTCATCAAGACATTATCCTAACTTATGGTTTCATTGCTAATTCATAGACACTTGTCCCATTATAGAGATCTAGTGATTTCCATGTGAGATTTTTGCCCTCACACATGCCAATTCCCCTTGTTCTACCTGTTTACCTAACATCAATCAGATGTCAATAATGGAAAAGAAAAAAATCAAGAAGTAGGAGCTTAAGACACTGTGTACTGGCAGGGCTATTGCTTATTTCTGCCGTACCCCTCTTTCTTGTCATCTCTTAGTTCAGATGCCTTGGCCCTGTGCATAGTGTGCTCTATCTCATGAATCTGAAGTAAAGAGAATCAAAAGGATGAAGAGCTTTAAATCTTTTGACAACATTTAAGAGAGAACAGGAAATTTTCCTCCCTTTTCCTGGAAGTCTTTGCTGATGAATGAAAAATTGGGTTTCCTTTATGTAACCTGTCGATGGGGAGGCAAAACTTGTCCAGAAAAAATAAAAATGTTCTCACTGTGCTATGTTACTAGAATTGTGATCTGAAGCCTGGAGCAGAACTTACCTATGCTACTCATCTCAATCCTTTTAGGCAGTGGCACTAGGAGCCTTACTCTGTTCAAATTTGGTGCCTTCCTACCGTTATGGAAGGAAGCTCTGTATTCTCCTTACTTTCTCAACCTTTGATCCTAACAGAGGCAGTTTCTTTTTCTTTTTTTTTTTAATTGATCATTCTTGGGTGTTTCTCGCAGAGGGGGATTTGGCAGGGTCACAGGACAATAGTGGAGGGAAGGTCAGCAGATAAACAAGTGAACAAAGGTCTCTGGTTTTCCTAGGCAGAGGACCCTGCGGCCTTCCGCAGTGTTTGTGTCCCTGGGTACTTGAGATTAGGGAGTGGTGATGACTCTTAACGAGCATGCTGCCTTCAAGCATCTGTTTAACAAAGCACATCTTGCACCGCCCTTAATCCATTCAACCCTGAGTGGACACAGCACATGTCTCAGAGAGCACAGGGTTGGGGGTAAGGTCACAGATCAACAGGATCCCAAGGCAGAATTTTTCTTAGTACAGAACAAAATGAAAAGTCTCCCATGTCTACTTCTTTCTACACAGACGCGGCAACCATCCGATTTCTCAATCTTTTCCCCACCTTTCCCCTCTTTCTATTCCACAAAACCGCCATTGTCATCATGGCCCGTTCTCAATGAGCTGTTGGGTACACCTCCCAGACGGGGTGGTGGCCGGGCAGAGGGGCTCCTCACTTCCCAGTAGGGGCGACCGGGCAGAGGCGCCCCTCACCTCCCGGACGGCGCGGCTGGCCGGGCGGGGGGCTGACCCCCCACCTCCCTCCCGGATGGGGCAGCTGGCCGGGCGGGGGACTGACCCCCCCACCTCCCTCCCGGACGGGGCGGCTGGCCGGGCAGAGGGGCTCCTCACTTCCCAGTAGGGGCGGCCAGGCAGAGGCGCCCCTCAGCTCCCGGACCGGGTGGCTGGCCGGGCGGGGGGCTGACCCCCCCACCTCCCTCCTGGACGGGGCGGCTGGCCGGGCGGGGGGCTGACCCCCCACCTCCCTCCCGGACGGGGCGTCTCGCCTGGCGGGGGGCTGACCCCCCCACCTCCCTCCCGGACTGAGCGGCTGGCCAGGCGGGGGGCTGACTCCCCCACCTCCCTCCCGGACGGGGCGGCTGGCCGGGCGGGGGGCTGACCCCCCCACCTCCCTCCCGGACGGGGCGGCTGGCCGGGCAGAGGGGCTCCTCACTTCCCAGTAGGGGCGGCCGGGCAGAGGCGCCCCTCACCTCCCGGACGGGGTGGCTGGCCGGGAGGGGGCTGACCCCCCCACCTCCCTTCCGGATGGGGTGGCTGCCGGGCGGAGACGCTCCTCACTTCCCAGACGGGGTGGCAGCCGGGCGGAGGGGTTCCTCACTTCTCAGATGGGGCGGCCGGGCAGAGACGCTCCTCACCTCCCAGACGGGGCGGCGGGGCAGAGGCGCTCCCCACATCTCAGACGATGGGCGGCCGGGCAGAGACGCTCCTCACTTCCTAGATGGGATGGTGGCCGGGAAGAGGCGCTCCTCACTTCCTAGGTGGGATGGCGGCCGGGCAGAGACGCTCCTCATTTTCCAGACTGGGCAGCCAGGCAGAGGGGCTCCTCACATCCCAGACGATGGGCGGCCAGGCAGAGACGCACCTCACTTCCCAGACGGGGTAGCGGCCGGGCAGAGGCTGCAATCTCGGCACTTTGGGGGGCCAAGGCAGGCGGCTGGGAGGTGGAGGTTGTAGCCAGCCGAGATCACGCCACTGCACTCCAGCCTGGGCACCATTGAGCACTAAGTTAACGAGACTCCGTCTGCAATCCCGGCACCTCGGGAGGCCGAGGCTGGCGGATCACTCGCGGTTAGGAGCTGGAGACCAGCCCGGCCAACACAGCGAAACTCCGTCTCCACCAAAAAAATACGAAAACCCGTCAGGCGTGGCGGCGCGCGCCTGCAATGGCAGGCACTGGGCAGGCTGAGGCAGGAGAATCAGGCAGGGAGGTTGCAGTGAGCCGAGATGGCAGCAGCACAGTCCAGAGGGAGACTGTGGAAAGGGGAGAGGGAGAGGGAAGAGAGGGAGAGGGGGAGGGGGAGGGGGAGGGGGAGGGGGAGGGGGAGAGGGAGAGGGAGAGGGAGAGGAGAGGGAGAGGTCTAATTTACAAATACAAATTCTTATGAGAAAAATTTTAATTACTGAGGATGTTTGGTTTGAAAAGAAGATTAGTTACTACCAGTATTAGTACTATTGCTACTATCACCTCTGCTATTAGTGTTACTATAAATATTGGAAGCTAAAATGAACCAAGTGTTCATCACAGAGAAGTCATAGTATTAAGTTCCCTATACGCTATCTCATTTATTTCTCACAATAGTCCTGTGCTGAATGCCATAATTATTTGCATTATTATGAGAGTTAGGTGTGCCTGAAAGAAGCAAGGTAACGTCACCAAGATCAGAGCTACTAAAGAAAGAGCAATTATCAAGATTCAGATCTTTTTGACTACAAGGCCTGGGATTTCAATCACTAGAAATAAAGGTGTATGAGAAGTGGATGGCCCAGTTATTACATAAACCCACAGAAAATGAAAATGAAGAGGCTTAAATGAAAGTGGACACACCATGACTGGAAATACTATAGGACTTAATTTTAAGAACAAGCAATAACGTAACAGGCGTTTGAAGAATAGGCAGGACCCCATCCTGAAAACCTTACCCTGGAACACTTTCAGGTGTGACAGCCATCCTGGCTAGACAGTCCTAGCCTGGCTGGAATAGATGGTTACTGAAGATCTTGCCCAACCCTAGCCTTCTAGGACTTACACATCGTGTATCTCCTAGGACGGAACACAGTTTTACCTAACCTTCCAGTTTTCTCCCTCTTGTTTTTCTCCATTCTGCCTTCCCAGTATTTGCAGCTTTCCTCCTTTTTTTTTTTTTTTTTTCCAACTATACATGCAGTGGCTGTTTCTCTGGATCCAGATGCAGCTCATCCCAACCTCATCCGATCTGAGGGTAGAAGATACACTTCTTCAACGGAGAATGTTCCCCGAACTGGGATGCCCCCACACACCAAGGACAAGGGGAATCCAAAACCATCTTCAGTGTTCTGGGTTTACCACAGGGGAGACATTACTTTACCACAGGGGAGACAGACATTACTGGGAGGTAGAAGTAAATAATGGGGACAGAAGTTGGACCAGGAACGAGATGAGCTCTGGGTGTTTGTTCAGCACAATGAAGAGAGAGTGGTGGTTTGTAGAAAGTCCAGAGAAGAATTTCTGCATGGTGACATGTGAAGAAGGAAGGGTCATGGCTCTCACTTCCTGCCCAGAGACTCTGTCAGGAGCCTCCCTGTCCCCCTAGAAGGTTTCCAGGACAGCAAGGCTGGAGACGTGTCTTTTCACAACGAGGTCGATTAGTCCCACATCTATTCTCTTACTGGAATCACCTTCTGTGGGATTTTCCATCCTTATTCTAGCCTTCAGAGTGCTGGCACATCTGTGACCTTCTGCTTAGATCATCATGAAAATTGTCCTGATTCTTTTCCAGTTACCCCTGTAACTTCTTTAACGAGTTGTGATAGAGATGTTGCCCAGGAAGCTAATGTTCTATTAGCATAATAAGCAGCGAAGTGTTGGCACCTCTGCTGTCTCCACTGGAGCATCTTCTAGGTACATTCACCAGGAAAGCTGTCCTTGGATGGTGAGTAGGTCAGTTTCACTAGGTGTGATTTCACTTTCTGTCAAAGAGGAAGAGGCAGAAAGTGAAGTGAGAGAACTGGAAAATGTCCAGGGAGATTTCCTCCGGTGCTGCTATTGGGGAAATACAGTCTCTTTGTGGGCAGCAACTATTTCTCACAAGAAAACTCCAAACAAGTTCATGGATTTCTCATCTGTTTTCATGCTGAGTGTGTGTTGAAGTATATAATTTTAAAGCTACATTTACAGGGAAATCTCTTCTTACTATTTTTGTTATCAAATATGGAGGAGGGGAGGCGTTTGAAGGGAAGTATTGCAGTAGAGTGAATTCTCACTTCCATTACCACTGTTGGAGATGCATAGGAATCTGTCCAAGTCCTTTAATAGCTCAGCGTGTTTGCTCTTCAGGCTCTAGTGTACAATCAACTGCTAATCTTGGACTTTGACAAGGGACGGAGAAGGCTCATGAATAATTGTAAATAATTGGAGGAGGAGCCCAAGCCTTCTGGAAGGAAAGAGCCCTTTTCTTTAATAAGTTCTCACTGGTCAGCAAGTCCAGAATTGTGTCCTATGTGAGAATGTGAATGAAAGAGGAGTCAATGTTGCAGTTTATACTTTAGGAGAGAAAGCAGTAAAGTAGAAATAAAGAAACATCTGTACCAAGAGTCATTGCTAACATTAACATTCTTTTTCTTCCTGACCTGTTCTGCCCACTGTTGAGGGTTTCCCTTGTCCTTGCTGCATGTAAGACTTCTCCAGCTGTTTATCATCAAGTTGTCTTCAAGGATATAGAATATGAGCTTCTCCTGCTTTTTGTTTGTTTGTGTATTTTTGTTTGTTTGTTTGTTTTTTCTTTGACGGAGTCTCGCTCTGTCACCAGGCTGGAGTGCTGTGGCACCATCTCTGCTCACTGTAACCTGCACCTCCCAGGTTCAAGCGATTCTCCTGCCTCAGCCTCCTGAGTAGCTGGGACTATAGGCATGTACCACCACGCCCAGCTAATTTTTGTATTTTTTTTAATACTTTAAGTTCTAGGGTACATGTGCACAACGTGCAGGTTTGTTACACATGTATACATGTGCCATGTTGGTTTGCTGCACCCATCAACTCATCATTTAAATTAGGTATTTCTCCTAATGCTATCCCTCCCCGCTCCTCCCACCCCACGACAGACCCTGGTGTGTGATGTTCCCCGCCCTGTGTCCAGGTGTTCTCATTGTTCAATTCCCACGCAGCCATAAAAAAGGATGAGTTCATATCCTTTGTAGGGACATGGATGAACCTGGAAACCACAATTTTTGTATTTTTAGTATAAGAGAGAGGGTTTCACCGTGTTGGCCCAGATGGTCTCCATCTCTTTACCTTGTGATCCACCCGCCTTGTCCTCAGAAAGTGTTGGGATTACAGGCGTGAGCCACCGCACCTGGCCGAGCTTCTTCTGTTAAATGAACCCTTTCTTCCTGATGATGGAAGAGATCCCCTTAGTTTTTCTTCTACAGTATTTGCAGATCTGTAAACCACAAGTGCCTCTAACAATCTGTCCTGTAGATGTATCTCCTTGGTGAAATTTCACGTCACACACTAAGTGGCAAAGACAGTATTCGAAGCCAGGAAGAATCAAGCCAGAGCCTAGTCCTAATTTCACTGACCCTAAAGGGAGGCTTACATATTTCATCAAGAAATAATCAAGGCAGGACAGAGGTAAATAAATGGTGATAAAATATTAATAGTTATAATCAAATGGACATGGTGGATGAGAAGGGATTTCTGGACATGCGAGCCCTAAACATGGGGGTAACAACAAAACAGGAACAAATGGGGTGGAACTGTGGTATAGAACACGAAATGTAACAGGTTCAGCCTTAGACATTTTACTTTTTTATACACTTAGGACATTCAGCATGAGGTTCAAGAGGAGTTTTTACTATCTCTTTTTCAGAGTCTAAATTCATATTTTTTCTACAACAAGATTCTTAAACTTGTCACTTCTTTACTCATTTTAATGGGTGTTTGTCCTTCTAAGCTTAGAGATTGGGGAGCAGTGGCTGCAGGTGGACATGGTAGAAAACGTGAAGGTGGATGGTTGATTGGACTCAGAGCTTTAGACCTGTCAGGGATAACAGTGTCCATCTTATTTTCATTTGTAGCTTTGAGTAAATCAATAAGTAGTGCAGGGTCTCCAAGTAGCCTATCCTTTCTGGAAAAGTGAATTCACCACCTGGCTACATCAATTAATTCTTTATTGCTGGACTACTCTGGCACTCCCATTTTTAGTAAAGTTTATGAAGGTATAATAAGACATTCCAAAAACAGAGTGACTCCACTGCAAAAAAGAAAGACCTGAGGGCAGGAATTATGTCTTATTAAGGATTGTATCTCTAGGCCTTAGCATAGTACATTCAACAGGTAAGATATTCAATAAATATCACTTTATGAGACAATTCATGCATTTTACAAATGTTTATTGATAATCAATGTATGTCATTTTTACAGGTTGTGGGGCTAGACAAGAAGGAAAAAAATCACTGTCCTCATGGAAGTTAAATTGTACTGACAAAGGAGGAAAATGTCAGGGAGTTAACAATTCAGTCTCTGTGGCTTCCTCCTGTCCTCTCCCTGAAACTGAGATCCAGCCAATCTGCACATTTATTCTGAGAGTGGCCCCACTTTAATGACTACACCCAGCTGTCTACACACCAGGAGCGGAGGGAACTGTATCCTGAGGCACCAACCCGATTACCCACCCAACAGCCACAGGGACTTCCAGTGACTAGGGCATCATCCTCAACGCCACCAACCCCTCTCCTTCCTGTGGCTTTTCTAACTGGAACTGGAACTCAGAAAGTACATTAATCACCAATTTGGGAAGCTATAGGAAAGTATGTTTTCTAATATACAGTGAGAGAATGTGACTGATAAAACCAATTTTCTTGAGACTTTCTCCCTGGAAAGTGAATATATGTATTCATAGGGCCTTCACAAGCACAGACTAACAAGCAAAGAGCTACATTCACTAGGAAGGAAGACTCAAAAGTAAGTGAAAAATAATAGTTAACCTTTAGATGTTGTGCAATAAATTATTTTTAATTACATTAAATCAAAATAGTGTTAAAATATTTTCAGGTAAACCTAGTATATTTACTAATAAATTTAAGTCTTCATAAATATAAAGATAGATCAATGTAAATGTAGAAATCATTTGTTAAACTCCAGAGATTATATAAACAAAAGGTGAACCTAATGTAAAACTGTGGACTTTAGTTGAAAATAATGTGTCACTATTCTTTCATGGGTTGTAACAAATGTGCCACACTAATGTAAGATGTTAATAATAGCAGAAATAGGGGGGAGAGAGGAGGGATCTAGGAGCTCTCTGGATTTTCCATTTTATTTTGTTATAAATCTAAAACTGTTCTTAAAAATAATGTCTGTTAATTTTTTTTTTAAAAAGGAAAGAAGCACTGATACATGCTATGACATGGAAGAACTCTAAAAATATTAGGCTAAGGGAAAGAAGCCACATACACATACACATACACAGATAGTTTATGGTTCCATTTATATAAAATATTCAGAATAGAAAAGTTCATAGGGACAGAAAGTAGATTACCTGGGGAGTAGGGGGTGAAAAATGGGTAGTAACTGCTTAATGGGTATGAAGTTTCGTTTAGGGCGATGAAAATATTCTGGAACTAGAAAGTGATGATGATGGTCACACAGCAATGTCACATATACAATACCACAGAACTGTACACTTTAAAATGGTTAAAGGGTTTTATTTTATGTTATGTATTTTACCACAATTGAAAAAAATGTTTATTAAAATTAATGTGTAAACATTTGTGGAAGAATAATGTGTAGTTTCTAACATTTATGTGTTTAAATTTATGAGTTTAAAAATAGAAAAAAAAATGATGGCCCAGAAGAGCAAGTTCAGAGTGCTGTTCATGAGTGATCCGCATGGGACCGCGATGCCTCTGACGTCTGCCATCCTGGAGAGCAGCAGAGCGTCACTAGCAGGTCCTCGTCTTCTCACTTCATAACATTCTTTCCAAAAGTCTTGTTGACATTCTTCTGTCTTCCACATATAGTTTATCTTCTTGAACTCATTATAACTTTAAAATATTTTTACTGTGTTACATGTACTGCTTATATTTGTTTATTTTATAATTATTAATTTTAAATTGTGCACTTTATTTTGCTCTAACAATAAAATTGACATGTTCGTATAGATGATACATAATTTTTCGCTTGGATCGGAAAGTCTAAAATTTTTTTCCTGACTCAATTTCCTGTATCAACTTTCTCAAAAAGTCTGGAGGAGGGATTTTACAACACTTCATAAGATTTTCAAGATTATATTTTAGTGATCAGATTTTTCTCCCCCTTATGCAGCTGTATTTTCTTTCACTTTTTTTTAACTGTATATATATATTTTTTATTTTCTCAGTTCCACCTATGTGGACAATTAATTGTCACCATCTTAAATAAACTGATCAGGCCAGGTGTGGTGGCTCATGCCTGTAATTCCAGCACTTTGGGAGGCCGAGGCGAGTGGATCATTTGAGGCCAGAAGTTTGAGACCAGCCTGGCCAACAAAGTGAAACCCCATCTCTACTAAAAATACAAAAATAGGCTGGGCATGGTGGCACATGCCTGTAATCCCAGCTACTCATGAGACTGAGGCAAGAGAATTGCTTGAACCCGGGAGGCAGAGGTTGCAGTCAGCTGAGATCATGCCACTGCACTCCAGCCTGGGTGACAGAGTGAGACTTTGTCTCAGAAAAAAAAAAAAAAAAAGAAAAGAAAAAAAAAAAAAAAGAAACTGACCAAATCCTTGATTATTCCTTTCATTTCTTCCTGTAGGCTAAATTGTATTTCCCATGGGATTTTCTAAGGGTCCTTGATTATCAGATGTCAGATTGTGATTGATAGGCCGGATCTCAGAGAACCTGGAACAGGATAGGTCTCTGAAAAGATCAGTCTCCAGCAGATTTTCCTGAGTAGAATTAAAACACCTTGAGTTAGTACTTCAATGATCATGGCAGCCCCCTTCAAGCAGTTAGAGAAATGAGAAATGATCAGGACTCAGAATATCATTCTGGTTTCCAGAATCCCAGATTGTTATTTTCCTGATACGTTGGAGATGTTCTTGTGGGTACAGAAAAAATGTCCAGAGAACCTACATTAGGGAACCAAAGAATGAAGCGGGGTGCAGAGTCCCAGAGAAGGAAGTTTTGGGGAAGGTGTAGATAGGGCACTTGCCAATCATGTTATAAGAGGAGAGGTATTCAGAGGCACGGTCAGGGGGATTCTGACTTGTTCAGGGGCCACCTTCAAGGGGATGGGGCTTGGAAGAGAGGGGATGGCCCAGAACTCATTTCTTTTGCAATCCATTGCCTAAAACTCACTGTCAGGTGACACAGAGATGACTCTTTCTTTGCAACATGTGCTTGGCAACCTCCGGGACCCATCGCGCCCTGTTCCCAGTCTCCACCTCTCAGTACCAGCTCCCTGACAGGAGTTCCCTCTGGCCCATAGAGCAGATAGTCAGATCTCTGTGGGATATCTGGCTGCCTGAATGTCCATGGATCACACGCTTGTTCTGTTCAGAAGAAATCAGTCTCAGGTGAGCTGTGTTTGAAGCCAATGTCACATTCACTGTAAAGAAAGAGAATCCATTCTGATAATTAATCAATATAATTTCATTCTATTAACAGCCAAACAGGAAGACAAGTGTTTCACGGACATAAGAAATTTAAAGTGGAAGCACTTTCTAGAGCACACAAAACAGCCTCCCTAACACATGAGAAGTCACCAGCAACACAGAAATCACCAACAAGTAGGTCACCACATTTTTAAAGATCATAGGAAATTGTTCACGCCAACAAATCTCAGTGAACCTCAGCTCTCAGCCTTGAAAACAAGGATGGCTGTACTACTCACTTTTTTCTTCTTCTTCCCTAACCAGATCACTGGGGAATGGGCAGCAGGAAATCAAATCATTATCTTTTAATCATTTTGCTTCTATTACAAGTGGAAACACTGACCTCATGCATCACTGAGCCTGGATTGCATGATAAGCCCTGGGCTTTCCTGTTTCTCATGTTTCCTTAGTTACTGGATATTCACTGACTGCCTCCCATAGGTGACTTGTGAAAAGGGAGGCTCGGGGAAGTACGCAGTACGGTTCCCACTGCAGTGTGCTCCGCTGTTTCTGTTTCCCTGACTTACCTCTTTTCAGCTCCTCTTCCTGGGCAGGCCTACAGCCACAGCAAGAAGCAATCCCCAAACAAGCAGTGTTTTCCACAAAAATGTCATCCTGGACTCTAAAATGGAAACCCAAGAATCCCTTGAAACTGTGAAACTGGGACAATATTAAGATTGTACTTTTCATCTGAGCAGCTTCTAGGCTGGAGAGAAGGGAGAGAATTTGGCCTCCCAGGAAGCAGTTGGCCTGCTCCTCCCTGCTCTGGAGATGCAGAGGAGAGAATGCAAGTATTTCATGTTTGCTCGTCTCAGAAATGTACACATGCACAGACAAGTTTTCCCTTCTCTCTTCCAACTATATCACACAATCACTGGAATGACTTGAGGAGGAAAGGATAAAATTACTCAAGCCGCAACCATGAAGATGGTATTAATAAAAATCAGTTTCTAATCCAGAAGAAAATCCTCCATGAGGGGGAAAACACAAAGTTCTGTAATTTAATTGTTTTCACATCAGAAGAAGAGAATTTAAAGAGAGAGAGTGAAAACAGGGTCAATTACGAGAATTTAGTGTGTATCCAATGATAAAAATAATTGCAGGGCGCTAGTTGAGGGTGTCAGAGAGAAACTCAGAGGAGTAGAATCCCTGGGTGTCCTGAAAACCAGCTTTGCAGAGGATAGCAGGAGACCTCGTCAGAGAGCAGCAAATAAAAATCACAAAGGAAGAAGAGCAATACAATGAGTAAGTCTGAGTTGGTCTTCATATTTATTTTCCAAACCTGAAGGAACATAAGGAATCACCAACCTGAGAGAGAAAAAGTTGCGATTTTCTCCTCGCCCAAAAAGGGGATGCTGATGGAACAAGTGACGTCCACAGCGGAGATGTTTGTGACCCTTAGCAATGTCTGCACGTGGAACAGCCCGTGGCTGCCTTGAGTCAGGGCCTGGGAAGATGATGGTATCGTCTTTCCTTCCATGTCCCTCCATGGCACGTGGGGCTGTGGGAACCACCCATCTGAAGAGCACATCGGCTGCATTTCTCCATCTTCTTGCCCCTCCACAGTGATCAGTGGGGAAGAACCCAGACCTGGGGCAGAGAAAGCAACCAAAGCCTGGGGTCCTTTCAAGTGGATGAGTGGGCAGCAATTTCACTGGGAGGAAAGAAGGGGATGTGGAGGGCTTGGGGAAGGGAGAAAAGCTTAAGGGGGATTGCACTCCACTTAGGGATGAGGCTGGCTGGAGCATTTTCTTATTTTGTTTGTTTGCTTATTTTTATTCTTTGTATTCCTAAATCATTCTGGGATGATTAAGAGGTAAGGTAAATGTTCAAATCCAACATTTATTCTGTCCCTGAGAACAAAATAACTTCGGCCAGGGCATGGGTCACATGGACAGGATTAACATACGGAGTAGGAGGATATTCTCAAAAATCGAAACCTTATAAATATCTACGTCCAATGGCAGAAAATACGAGGCTCATGAAACTTCTCAACATGCGCCCCCATGGCTAAACGTGTTTATTAATTTAGAATCAAAATCCGTGGGAGAAACACGTAGCATATCCAAGACTTGGGCCTATATGTACTCAATGGCATCTGCTAACCTTGGACGTTTCAATTCTCACACACACGGACAGTGGGAAATGATGCTGCAGGGAGTGATTTCATCTTTTCTCCCCTGTCCCTGCCAAAACTGTCAATATTTATAATTTTGGTTTACACAGTGGATCCAGTTTAGTCTTCAGATGATTACAGTTTCTAGAATTTTATTGCATTTCTCAGAATTCTAATAACACACTGTGAAACAATGAGCCTTTTGTAAAATATGTAGTAAGATACTCAGATTTCCTTAAAGATATGGTCAATTTTTGAAGATACTGGAAAAGATACAAGTTATATGCCCAAATAATTAAATTTCATCCATTTGAGTTTGTGGATTTTAAGTAACTATGACAGTTTCACACACTGGAGGATTTGATATAAATTTGATGATGAATAAGCATTAAGAAAATTTCAAATGTCAGAGAAATTGTCCAGGAACTAGCATATTAAAGTGGCAGGAGCAGGTATTGAATACAAAATATCTATCTAGAATTCTTACTTACCACCTTCAGATCCAAACTGGCCTCCTGGTAGACATCATCTTTTTCAAAAAGGCAGCGGTACTGCCCGTCGTCCGAAGGTCTGGCACTGAGTATCTGCAGGGTCAGTCTGCCCTCGTCAATGGCGTCACTCACCAGTACAGTCCTCCCTCTGTACTCTGCCATCTGCTCTCCAGCCACATGGTCCCCATCCATATACACATGCACAGCAGGGTAACGGTGGGATCGGTCCCACCTCACCTCCATGCTCTGTGCATTCGCCTTGGGGGACAGGTAACAGGTTAGCTGTATATCTTCTCCCACTCTGACGAGGATGGGCTGGGAAGGTCCATTCACTTTTAAAGAAGCTGTTAAATAGAGTGGACAAAACACAATGAAAGAATCAAAATGGAACCAATAATGTCATCTCTAAGAACAGCTCCATTGGAGTTTAGAAACCATGAGCATCCCAGGGTTGCTGTGAGGCTCAGGGTCATCCTTAGGTGAGGTGGGGGTTTCATGGACTCAGAATAGAGGTTGCTCTTCTTTAAGGAGGAATCATTCCATGATGTGTGTCAGTCTGAGTAAAACAGTAATTGAATCCCTACCTGCTTCTACCTGTATTTTTTTCAGTTTACAGACCAATAATAAAATAATTTTGCAATTAAAACTCCCAGATAGGCTGGGTGTGGTGGCTCAAGTCTATAATCCCAGCACTTTGGGAGGCCGAAGCGGGTGGATCACCAGAGGTCAGGAGTTCAAGACCAGCCTGGCCAACATGGTGAAACCCCGTCTCTACAGAAATACAAAAATTAGTCGGGCATGATGGTGGGTGCCTGTAATCCCAGCTACTCAGGAGGCTGAGGTGGAAGAATTGCTCGAACCCGGGAGGCAGAGGTTGCAGTGAGCTGAGATCATGCCACTGCACTCCAGGCTGGGTGACAAAGCGAGACTTTAAAAACAAACAAACAAAAAACACCCAGAATAAAGTGAACAGTTTATAAATTTGGCCCCAGATGCCTCTGTACCTGACTCCTTATGTAACAAACTGCAATTTAACTTAGTACGTCAACTACTGAAAGCCTAACTTAGGTTGCAGTTTGTTACATAAGCACTCAGGTACAGAGGCATCCTGGGGCCAAATTTATAAATTGCTCATTTTATTCTGAGAGTTTTAATTGCAAAATTATTTTATGAATAAGCCTAACTTAGGAGCTAAGGCTAACTTAGGAGTACACTTTTGTAATAAATAGCTGAGTAGCAGCTGCTGCACTTCTGTTAGTTGCAGGCAGCCAACTGTTGAAACCCTGTTCAAATCGGCAAACGCCAGGCTGCAACCAATAGAGCTGTCTCTGTACCTCACTTCTGTTTTCTGTACCTCATTTCCATTTTCTGTCCATAAATGCTGTCTGACCAAATTGCTGCTTTGAATTCTCTGAAACCGTTCTGATTCTGAGGGATGGCTTGTTTATGAGTCATCCTTTTCTCAGTTAGACTCTGCTAAATTTAGTCTGTCTAAAGTTTTTCTTCTAACACTTCAATTCTGTATGATTTTAAACTACTTCTTAATCTGTCTTAAACTACTTCTTAATGCCTCAGTTTCTTAAACTGTAAATTTGCTATACAACTACCAAAATCATAATGTTTCAGAGTTGAACAAAATAGTTTGCATTAAGTGCCTGGAAGACCCTGCAGCGTGAGCAGAGGTGCACAGACCTGTGAGACTTGAAGGCGTTGGAGCCATCCCCACCCTCTGACGTGGTAATAGGGAGGGGTTTAAAAACGTGTCTCATGTGGACTTTTGGTAATGATATTTGAAGAAGCTTTCCTCTAGGTGGACTTTATAGTACCTTGTAAGTCTGGTCCAGCCGCTATATTTTATTTCCCCAATGCTCCACATAGGTGGAGTTATAGACACACACCAGTTGAATGTCCTCAAATAATTTTGAAAATTAAAATTAACATTTTAAGATCAATAATTGGGGAAGTCGGCAAAGTACAAATTGTGAAACAATGATGAATGTAAAAAAGGGGTCTAATTCTCCCACTGTGCAAAGTGGGGAAAGATGTTCTCTGAGGGCTTTCCTGGGCCCAAGCTATATTACATTTTCCATTCTCATCAGGCCCTGCCCGTGCCATTTTTTCTCTATTCTAAATTAAGTGTCGTCCTTTTCTGTTAAATGATAAGAATGGTTTTGCATAAGGTGTGATCATTTATAATAGAAACACAAGCATAAAATTGTTGGTTCTCTGCATAGAGTCACTGGCCAAAGGCGTTAACATCCCATTATGTCATTGGCCGAAAACTGCCAGCTACCTTTGTAGAGAGGAAAGTCCCTGTCAACACAATTTGAATTTTCAGATTATTACCTTCCATTCCAGGTAACAGTTGACTCCCAGTTATTTCCAGCATTTTGTTTGCTTTGTCCTGTAATTTTACCTAAAACAATATTATTTTCCTCTCCTATGTATCTATTAAAGTCTGAAGACAAGAATCAGAAAAAATGGACTAGGGATTAGTTTGGGGCTGTTTCTGCATCCACATGGCTTACGGTAAATTACTTAATAAAACAGACTGTTTCCTCATCTCCTTTATCCATATGAGGATTTTATTCCCTGTCCGTGTGTGACCTGTGCACATATTAGATCTTAAACTGGCTTGCCCTGCCTGACATAGGTAATTAAGAGCTAAAATTGACTTCAATGGAGACTGAAGGAAGCAAAATGTAAGTATGGAGATTCAATTAATTTGATGCATTACAGATACAGACAAAACTCCTTTTGTCCAGAATCCAAGTAAAACTAAAGTTTAAAGTGCTAAAAAAATCATGCAGCCCTGTTTGTTAATAATTGATGTTCTACTAGAATACAAGCTCCTTGGGAGCCACTATGCCTAACCCACTTTTTTTTTCTTTCAATTTTAAGTTCCGGGGTACATGTGCAGGATGTGCAGGTTTGTTACATAGGTAAACATGTGCCATGGTGGCTTACTGCACAGGTCATCCCATCACCCAGGTGTTAAGCCCAGCATCCATTAGCTGTTCTTCCTGATGCTCTCCCTCCCCCATCCCCCAACAGGTGTCCAGTGTGTGTTGTTCCCTGCCATGCATCCATGTGTTCTCACCAATCAGCTCCCCCTTATAAGTGTGAACATGCAGTAGTTAACCTCCTTTTTCTATACGGTTTTGTACACAGCCTTCCAGACAATTTTGTGCTGAAATATATTGCTTTGTTTTGTTTTGGTTATTGTTTGTATGTTCTGAATGCCTTCTGAATATCCACTGAAAAATTAATTCCCTTCTGGAGCGTGAAGTACACTGAATTATACACTGATTCCTTGAAACCTGATAATCTCATCATCATACCACATAATCCTCTTTCAATCAGCATATTCAATTAATGCACTATCTCATTTCTCAAATATGCTAAGTTATATCTAATCTCTTAGAACTGGACACTACATTAGAGATTAAATTCAACCTGTTCACTTTAAAGATGAGAAAAATAGAGATGAATGAGCTGACAAAGTCACACATAAGTAATTAAGGACTTGCACTGTTAAGTTAGATAGATGTAGATTAGAAGGTAAACATCACCATTTCTTCCTGATTTTTGGCAAACCATGTATGTCTCTAAGATTGTTTCTTAGCTGTAATATGAGGATAAAGCAATTAAACTTTATAATTATTGTAAGAAAAAATGAAATAATTCCCATAACATATTCAGCATCGTGCCTGGCATACAATTAATATTTTTAAAAACTATTATTTTTATAAATGAAAAACATTATTTGTAAGACTACAAGCAGTGATTTCAGTCTTAGGACTTCCATAGAGAGCTGGGTGTCCCATCATTAGAGCTCACCTGCAAAGCTTCCGTGCCCAGAGCCCTCCTCTCCCACCTGACAGGAAGCAAAGGGAAGCTCCATCTTTCCGTGTTGGTTAATTGTGGCCCCGGAGGTTACCATGACTTAGGAACAACAGGACATGGGGTCGTATTGTGTGTGCTGGGTCTCCAGTGGGTCTCAGAGAACTCAGAGGAGTGACTCTTCTCCTAAAACCTTCTTGAGAGACAGACTTGTGTCAACCTGCCCCAAACACTGGCTTTACTTCCTGATCTCAGAAGGGTAAGATACACAGGTGTGTGTCTCTCCTCAGATTGTGGAGTTACTTTGCGCCTTCCAGGGACCCTTCCCTTTATGTTTATGGCCTAATGGGGTTGAAGGTGCCATAGTAGACTCTGGTAGAGATTGGGTTGTGTTTGTTACCCTGATTTTCCTCAAAAACTCTTTTGTGGGCTGAAAGGTGTGCTTAAGCTCACCTAAAGCACACACATGGATACACATTCCTGGAGCAGGTGACTTGATGGAGAGCAAGGAATTGATGGAAAGAGCACATAAGGGATCCACGTTCTATGCACCTAGGCAGGGAGGCAGGCTGGTTGCCTTGGGCTGGGAGAAGAGGCCATAAAAAGGAGGGAGCTAGTAAGGAGGTAAAGGGGAAACTCAAAGGGGCTCAGCCATCGGCTGGTTATGTTTTAAACCACTTATCTCAGGTGCAGCAAAATAATACCCTCAGTCCAACTCCGAGATTTAAAAAACAAAAATTAGGCTGGGTGCAGTGGCTCATGCCTGTAATCCCAGCACCTTTGGGAGGCCAAGGCCGGCAGATCATGAGGTCAGGAGATCGAGACCATCCTGGCCAACATGGTGAAACCCCGTCTCTACTAAAAAAAAAAAAAAAAAATTAGCTGGGTGTGGTGGCGCATGCCTGTAGTCCCAGTTACTCAGGAGGCTGAGGCAGGAGAATAGCTTGAATCCAGGAGATGGAGGTTGCAGTGAGCCAAGATGGCGCCATTGCACTCCAGCTTGGGCAACAGAGCGAGACTCCGTCTCAAAAAAAAAAAAAAAATGCCCGGCGTGGTGGCTCACGCCTGTAATCCCAGCACTTTGGGAGGCTGAGGTGGGGGGATCACGAGATCAGGAGATCGAGACCATCCTGGCTAACACGGTGAAATCTCGTCTCTACTAAAAATACAAAAAATTAGCCGGGCGTGGTGGCGGTTGCCTGTAGTCCCAGCTACTTGGGAGGCTGAGGCAGGAGAATGGCCTGAACCTGGGAGGCGGAGCTTGCAGTGAGCCAAGATCGCGCCACTGCACTCCAGCCTGGGCGACAGAGCAAGACTCCGTCTCAAAAAAAAAAAAAAAAAAAATTGCTACACTCACAGTATCCCAGGTTGCACTCAGAAAGTAACAGCTCCCTCCCAATAGTGATTAGCTTAGGGGTGTACTGGGGTGAGGAGCAGGTGCAGGACCCCATAGCAGAGTTGAGCAGGGAGGTGCTGGGTGCAACCCAGGTTGTCATAATGATGCTGCCCTTGTTCACACTTGAAATGTTTTCAAAGGGCCTCCAGGCCCCGGCCAGCTGTCTGCTGTCATCCCCCACACATTCTGAGGCAGCTCCCTTTCCCCTCAACACATAGAACAGAGATGATGCCATGCTTCCTATAGGTGTCCATCTGATGCTCACTGGAATCTCCATGAGCCCCCAAAGTGTCAGGTAACACAGCTGCAACCTCCTTGAATGAGGCCATTACTTTGCTGGTCTCCTCTGGTATTTAATGAACATAGGACCTGGTAAAATCGTGCCTCAGTTTTTCCTCTGGGTCACATGGTCTCGTGGTAGCTCCCCTCCCTCTGCTGGGGAGGGCAGAGGCTCCCTCCACAGGTGTGTGCCAGCACCTCGTACTTACCCAGCTCAGTCTGGAGTTTCTCTGGAAAAAGAACAAGAATAACATATTAAGGAATTTGGTGTAAGGGAAAGGAGAGAAACTATTTTTTAAAAAAGAAAGCAATTTATACATTATATAGGGAAGCTCAATTCATTAAAAAAATGAAATGCAGAAAAATACTGATTCTTTCCCACAGATTACCCAATGATACAGCTTTTTTTCCTTTTCTCTGCACAACAAAAATGCTGTCACTTCTATCTCCCCATGATTCTGTTGGTTTCTTCTGATATTTACAGCATAAATACTTAGCTATCAGCATGAAAATAACATATGTTCCTTTTATAGATACACAGAAAGTACAAAATTATATGGACATAAACAGTATCACCTAAATTACAAAGTAGAGAGACGAATTATATGTAATATACAATCAGCTTCATTTAAAATTAAAATGTAACATTAACTTTAAAGTTTTTTTAATCTATCCATTTATATGAATAACTGTATACTTATATCCAAATGTGGAGGGTATCCTGAAAGTTTTAGTGCAGTTATAAGTTATTTAAGGCCAGTAACTTTTATGTGATTGGAAATGTCAATTTATAGGTAGATGTCATGTTTATCATTGAATAGTGCATCATGAGGATTTTTTTCAACCATTAAAATTATTTAAAAATATCTTTTTATTAATGCTATAATGTATAGTAAGACAAGATTCCACACTGTACTGTTGTATTGGGGGGTTGGTTGTTTTTGCTGCTATTTATAAATAAGGCCATAATTAATATTCTATTATGCAAATAGTTGTCTACATCTCTGATTATCTTCATATGATAGATTTCTAGAAGTAATCAGCACAAGACAGCATAGGAAAACATTTCAGTTGAAGAAATATAGCTTTATTTTCTTTACAATGCAATGAATACTTGTGAGTAAAAACAATCAATGCAGAAGAAGGAAAGGTAGAACTCAAAAATAACGCAGGCGCCATAACAGCTATTCAAGTAAAATGTAGTGCGTATATTTCCAGTCATAAATGTTTTATGGCTTTCAATACATATTGCTATATGATAGATAATGTCTCTTGATAAAAATACGAGGTGCTATGGTGCAGTCCCTGGGACCTCTCCTGCTGATCTGAGCATGTGGGTCCTAGAGGCAGAGCACTGACCTGGGAGGCTGATGACCGACCCCTTCTCCTCAGTGAGGACGGGGTTGTGGACCAAGCAGGACACAGACTCTGCAGAGGCGTTCCTGACCACCAGGGTGGCTTCCGCATAGAACAGGCCATCTTTATCTTGGATGCGATGCTCAGACACGGCCAGCAGCTTCTCTCCCCGGATGTCTTCCCAATACACCTGGGGCTCTGGGAACCAGCCCCTTGCAGTGCACACAAGCTGGACTCCACTCTCCCCAGGTCCCTCCATGTGGATGCTAGGGGCAGACCCCAGACCTGCAGAGGGAAGCCACAGCTCTGACACCCAGAGCCCACAGAGGCAGAAATCACAGAGGCTGAGATCCCAGTGACGTTGCTCACAGGGAGGTGGCCGGAGTTCAGGAGTCTGAGGAGCAGAAAGTCGACCTCAGTCTCCCCATTCAAATGTGAGTTCAGATACACTTTATTTGTTCCCCAGTCTGGGTCTTTACATTTTAGCATCTGACCAGTACTTTTCTCCAGATCCAGAAAGGGGAATCGGAGAAGGGGGACATCATGACATTTTGCAACGCCTCTAGCACTGCAAACAGAGATGAGCTGTAATTTATTCATTAATTCCTCTGTGCCATGAACTCTGCCTTTTTCATCTTAAAATTATCTGTATTGGGCACATTGTCTGGTATTTTAGATGATGTCTTGAACTCCAATTTGATTGAAGATTTAACACAAAGTCAGAAATCACTCCCCAGGGGCCTGTTCTTCCTGCATCTTTTGCTGGTGGCTGTGATCTTCGGAAGCAAGTGGATAAACGGGAGCATGTGAAATGCGAATCTCCACGAGGCGTTATTTGTAGCTAAATATTCTATTCAATGGGTAAGATGGTTTTGAGAAATCCTAGTTTACAACAGTTTATGAAATCATGAATTTTTTTTCTCTATTTAACGTGAAACTCCCACACCCAAACTAAGGGGACTATATTTTCCATAAATGGGAATTCTGTCTTAATCACTTGCTGGTAAAAGAGAGATCCACTCCCTTCCCTTGGACCCTTAGAAAATGTGTGACTTATTTGTAAATGTTCCTGATATTGAAATACATCAGTACGTTCCCTGTCCCCCCATGTCAGAAATATATGTATTCCTCCATCCATTTTGAATCACCTTGAACACAGTAACAGTAATGGATGTTAAGAAAAAAAAAGGTATTAGGAAACAGCCTCCCAGGGAAGTAAAGAAGGAAGCAGTATCAGCTGGAGACGTTAACATCTCCAGAGAACTATTTTCCCCATTTGCCTTAGTAATTGGATTTACTTGATTTTCTCTTTAGAGCATGGAGAAGTTAGCCCTGTCAGGGAATCATATGATAGTTTACTTTTCATAAGACAGATCCATTCTTCAGTTGTCCCCTTCTTCCCTACTCCTTCCTGCTTAGCTAATACAACAGCAATATGAAGAACCTTCCCATTCACAGAGGGTGTGTCCAAAAGCATCTGTGAGTCCCCAATTCATTGAACACTAGTATATAACAATCTCCAAAGCACGACATTCTTAGCCTTTTCAGTCTTGTTGATAGCTTTCTAACTGAGGGCATTTCACAAGGAAAGAACATTTTCACGTCTCAGTTTCTGCATAGATGGGATTGGGTAGAGAAAAACCAATGCCCTGAGATACAGATGCCGGACGTCAGCTGGGCTCATTCATGCAGCAATTGGTTTGCTCTTGCGCACCAGCCTTAGGTAGCACAAATGTGTGTCTCAGCAAAATTGCTAAAGACTGCATGTCATGGATTCCAAATAATCCTCAAGAACAGTCAAAACTGTGCAAATTAAATTTGGGAAAATATTTTAACACTAAGCTTGAAGACTCCAGAACCACTTATTTTTAAATCAATCAGGGTAGAGGACTAAGCATTAGGAATTACCTTGATGATTCAAAAGGATTTCCTCAACTGTCACAAAGCTTACCACAAATTAATATATCTCTGCCTCTTGAGACCCTGTGTCTTTCCCCAGATATTCACCTGCTACTTTGAGCAGCAAGCTTGTTTCTCCACAGTAGTTCCCATCCTGGAAATGGCACCAGTATTGTCCATTGTCGGAGGGCTGGATGTTGTGTATCTTCAGTGCCACATTTCCCTTTGCAATGCCATTCTCTATCCACTCTACCCAGCCTCTGTACTCCTCCATCTGCATCTCAGTCACCTCCACTCCATCCCTGTGCACAAACACAGGTGTGCTGGGCTCTGAGCGGTACCACCTCACCTCCACGTGCATTGTGGTCCTCTTGGGGAGTAGCTGGCAGGTTAACAGGGCATCTTCCCCAACCCCGGCCAGGATAGGATGAGCAGGGCCAATGACTCTAAAGTCTTCTATAAAATAAGTGAAAAAGAGGAACGAGGAAATGCCAATCAGAAAATCATATGCATGCTTTGGGGTGTCCAGCCTGTCAAAATGGAGGCAACTAGAAGAGGGAGAGATATATGTTTAATGTTTTAGAGAAATCCAGCATGATGATTTGCACATCTGTTTGTTACAGAGTCAATTTTGTGTACTGAAAACAAATGCAGTTCAAAAATGTGGGTGAGGTTGCTGTCTGTCACCTACCAGCTATGTGATTCGGTGGCAAATCTATTACTCTTGGTAAGATTTTGAGATTTGAAGTCCTAATTTCTTCATCTTCAAGATATTAATACCAGCATACCTGGGTTGTTTTTATTCTCAAGTAAATTATTTATTCCTTGAGTCATTTATTCTCATGTAAATTGACTTTTTAAATTGGAAACCTTATTCTTGTTATTAACATTTTATTTTCCTGAAGTTTAGATAATAAATCCATTTATTAGCTTTTTTTAGCCTTTCAGGATTCCTCTTCTCTTAGATATAAAAACTGTTTTTTTTTTTGTTTTTTTTTTGTTTGTTTTTTTCCCGTCTGGAGTTGGCAGGAGGCCAATTACTGGGACTATGTACAATGCAGTTTTCACAAGGACATTTTGTGCTGGATTAAGGACACTGGTTTGTCTAGAGATTTTTGGGTCTTCCAAACAAATTCTAAGACATGTCTGATCTCTTCCTTGTTATCTGCAAATTGAAGAGATGTTTAACAGTTATGTATGTTATTATGTTTGATCATTTTATGTCATGTATGATATGTTCTTTCTCATTCTAAATGCTCCGGGGCCATTTGCTCTTTCTCTGTGCAGATCCAATCCTGCTAGGAAGAACCTCACCCTACTTAGCTGCTGCTGGGTATCAAATAGATGCTGCTCAAAAGGTGGCTAAAGAGCCTAAGTGGAGATCTGCTTGTATTCTTCATTGATGAAGTCTAAATATGAAGCTAGAACTGAAGACATTCCATCAGATTGACTGTTACAGGGTAGGGAGCTGCAGCACAAGCACAGAGAAGCCAGCAGCTTCATCACATCACACCAGCTCTGCAGCGCCAAGGCAGACACACCAGCTCTGCGGCACCGAGGCAGACACACCAGCTCTGCGGTGCCGAGGCAGAGCCTGCGCCCTCTGATGCTCTGTGTCGTGTTTTTTCCCACTTCGCCATGCTGCATTTTCCTTAGGGCTCTGACATCTCCTTCTGACACTGATTTTTTTTTTTTGACACTGAATTTTTAAATAATTATTTTTCAAGGTGCAACATTTTGACGTCAAAATTCAGCTAGTGAGATTTCCAAAGTCCCTTTCTTCTAATTTCTTATTTCCAAGTATTTTTTTTAATTGCAGCTTAATTTATGATAAGAAGCAGCTGCATTTCTTGACCCCAAAGTACTAGAGTGAATTAATAATTTAACGTGGTGCAACCACTGATTCAAGTGCTTTTAATGTCTCATTTAATCCTAAAGCCTGTGCTGGCCTCTGAGATGTAGTTACTGCTGTTATTCTCATTAAAAAGGTGAAAGAACTAAGGTATGAGGTGCTCAAGTAACTTTCCAAAGGTGACTCAGCTAGGAGTGGAGGAGCTCCTGGGAGTGGAGGAGCTCCTCAAAAGTGAGGAGTTCCTTTTTGGATACAGGTGGCTTGGCCCCAGACTTACACTCTTAGATGTTGTTCTCGACCTTTGGACCCAGACTAGCTCACTGGGACATTAGACTATACAGTAAAGGGAGAAGGGAATCCTACCTGACTGCTTCATTGTCAGCAGGATGAATAGGAAGGAGGCGACTGCACCAGACAGATTGTAGCCTGGAAAATCCACCATCCTCCCTGGAACAAAGACAAGGAAACGCTGTGCCTAAGTGAGGCTGTGACACACCCGGCACACTCCATGGCTTCCATTGGTTATGCAGTCTTAGCAGAGAATCCACATCAACCCCTGCACAGTCAGTGAAATGGGCTTGGCTCCATTTCTCTGCAATTACTGATCACATCCAACCCTTTACCTAACGTGTTATATTGTGAGACAATGTAGCAAATGTAAGAAGCCTTGCTTGCTCATTTCGGCTTGCTAGCATACTTTCACAAAGCCCCTGCTGTGATGACCTGCAGTTCTCCAGAAAGATGCTTCAAAGACAAAACAAGATTGAGCACACGGCCTCCCATCTCTCTTGCCTGAGTCACTCTACTCCTTAAAAGATAAGCAATAATAGTCCTTGCCTTTTCCTACACATAAGATAACGTCTGATTGAAGGATACCTCTGTAACCTATAACCAGATCTGCTCATACACCCAAACGTTGATGTAGTTCGGCTTCAATGTAGCTTCTGAGCTAATTTGATGTAGTGGTTAATATGTAACCTCCTGACATCGAAAAGGATATGGATTTGTTTCTGAATCATAAAGTTTTACTGATTGTTTTGTGCATGAAATATTTTAGTCTATATATTGTCATCTGTGTCCAATGATTGTAACCTCTGTATTGTACCCTCCAGTGAAAAAAGACAACTCCAATATGAAGAGCCCCTTTCTTTCTGCCTGAACTTCCTTACAAAAGCCTTCCAACTTGTAACAGACTTTGGACCACCCTCAACTTCGTTGGTGTGTCTTCCTACATCAGTCCTGACATTTGCCTTCCAATAGAACTTTATGAAATTATTCCTGCCTCAGCAACCCTAATTTCATGAGACAATATTTTAAGCAATTTTTTAGGTGTAAGGTAGTCTTGTGACTGAAATGAAAAAACACTTGAGGTAAAGGAACAATAATATTAAAAAAACCCCAAACCAAACCAAAGCAAACAAAACTCCTTAGGTTCATCTGTTGTGAGCTTGCAAAACTTATAGAGCAAGATTCAAATATTTTTTCCTGTCCTCCTCCCAACTCCTCCTGCAAAGCCTTTCTTTACCACTGTTTTCTACACATGGAGGAAAGGGCAGGAAGGCTCTGCGTCTCCACACTGCAGCCAGAAAGCCAACATTCAGTGCTAGCGCTCAGAGAACCCGGGACACAGAGATGCCGTGGAAAGTGAAAGAAAGAGTAGTAGAAAGATAGTCGGGAAAATATCTGTAAGTGGCCTTTTAGAATAGACTTAAAAACACGAATGAATTAAAAAAACAAAAAGCCCAACTGGCAGAAACTGGCAAACCCAGCAACCCCACTGTCCCAGCTGAACAAAAATACTTCACACAGCTAAAAACTTTAAAACTTACCAGGACAAGGATAGAAGGCTAGTTTTACCATTGAAAAATACAAACTTCAGAGTGAAAGAAGTCTAAGACTTATTATATGTGATGTGTCAAGTATTTTATTGAAAGAAAACTTGCTTCACACAAAGTAGAGAAACCAGCTCAGGAGCAATGTCAAGTCAATTACAGTTTCCCCCTTTCCAAGAAACTACTGCTAGTAAGATTTTATGGGACAGGGGTAAAAATCAACATTCTGAAATGGAGATTTAACAATCAAATGAGTCAGGAGATTGTTGTTACACAAATATTGCCCATTTGCTTTATAAAAAATATGTACTTTCATATAAGATATCTCTAAGGAAACTTATATGAGCCCATTCACAATACCTAGATCGAAAAGGGCAGTATGATATTTA
The DNA here is from genome assembly GCF_000001405.40 of Homo sapiens. NCBI lineage: Eukaryota > Metazoa > Chordata > Mammalia > Primates > Hominidae > Homo > Homo sapiens. Next base: position 3,846,981 of record NT_113891.3, read on the forward strand.
TGTGAAAATGGGGTTGGGTGTTAGAAGACAGTGCAGACCATGAGCACCTTGCCACCTGAAACTTACCAGTCACCTCCCCTTAGACTGAAGGGTGTTGCTGATGCCTCCCTGACTCCTTTTGTGAAAAGCAGGAACATTTTTTTCCACCAAGTAAGAGTAAAGAAAGCCCCACAACATCCATACCAAGCATGATTTCTCAGCCTTGTGAACTAAAATGAACTCACACTTGCTACAGACCACTTCAGAGGCTTGCGTTCCTGTAGGTCTTTCATGTCAAAGCGGTGGGAGGGAAAATCTACAAGTGAACTCTCAAAAAAATTGCTCAAATCAATGAAGCTTTCGAAGAATGTTGGGAGAATCCATCTCCAGTGCTCAGATAGACTGTGAGAGAATATATCAGGGAGGATAACCACCTTGGACCAGGGTTCTTAATGGGCAAAGAGGCTGTTTTGCCCTTAGAGGACATTTGGCAATGTCTGGGAACATTTTCAGTTGTCACGACTGGGGGAGGGGACATATATTGAGTAGAAACCAGGGGTGTTGCTAAACATTCTATGAGGCACGTGGCAGCCCCCACAACAAAGAGTCATCCAGCCCAGAAGGCCGGTGGTGCCGAGGAAATGCCCTGCCACAGGGTTTGCTGTCAGGATGCTGAAAAGCTTTGGCACATTTTTTGAAAATAGATAACTAGACTTAAATTGCCATCTTTAAGTAAAAACCTTTTAAAATGATAAGCTTTTGACCCCTCCGTTTTACTATTTGGATGTAATGCAAGAATCTTCTGAAACTGCTGTTCCTATTAAATATAGTAAATTTTGGTGTTGTCAAGATATATGATCTAATATGCAAATGTATCATCAAATTCTCAAAAACCCATGTTTAATTTAATTTAATTTTCTGGATAAAGTTTAAGTGTTAAATTGTAATAATAAGTGGTAGCTTATGTTTAGGCATTAGATGATGAACAATTCTGAATTTCAAGGCCTATCCTGCACTGCTAAAACTCATATCAAAGAAAATTGCAAATTACTACGTATCATGGGTCATTAGAACTTTTTTCAGTAAAAGCCTCAAATGTTGCTCCTCAAAATGCCAAGCAGCCATAGTAACTGACTGGTAAGAATAAATTAACTTAGTTCAGGAAGTTGAAAGCTTATGTATCTTAGTTCACGAAGTTGAAAGCTTATGTATCTATGTAGACATTAAAAACAGCTATAGTTTGTTTTTTTCTTGTAAATTTGTTTGAGTTCATTGTAGATTCTGGATATTAGCCCTTTGTCAGATGAGTAGGTTGCGAAAATTTTCTCCCATGTTGTAGGTTGCCTGTTCACTCTGATGGTAGTTTCTTTTGCTGTGCAGAAGCTCTTTAGTTTAATTAGATCCCATTTGTCAATTTTGTCTTTTGTTGCCATTGCTTTTGGTGTTTTGGACATGAAGTCCTTGCCCACGCCTATGTCCTGAATGGTAATGCCTAGGTTTTCTTCTAGGGTTTTTATGGTTTTAGGTTTAACGTTTAAATCTTTAATCCATCTTGAATTGATTTTTGTATAAGGTGTAAGGAAGGGATAGACTGGATTAAGAAAATGTGGCACATATACACCATGGAATACTATGCAGCCATAAAAAATGATGAGTTCATATCCTTTGTAGGGACATGGATGAAATTGGAAACCATCATTCTCAGTAAACTATCGCAAGAACAAAAAACCAAACACCGCATATTCTCACTCATAGGTGGGAATTGAACAATGAGATCACATGGACACAGGAAGGGGAATATCACACTCTGGGGACTGTGGTGGGGTCGGGGGAGGGGGGAAGGATAGCATTGGGAGATATACCTAATGCTAGATGACACATTAGTGGGTGCAGCGCACCAGCATGGCACATGTATACATATGTAACTAACCTGCACAATGTGCACATGTACCCTAAAACTTAGAGTATAATAAAAAAAAAAATTAAAAAAAAAAAAACAGCTATAGTTTATCATATGTTAAAACAATACATTTTTATAGAGAAAGCTAAAATAAGATTTCTAGGAGACAAAGTGAATTGGGTTTTTGTGTGTGTGTGTGTGACCTTGGACATCTTTCTTTACTTTTTTGAGCCTGTATTTTCTCTGCTGTGTGGTGGAGACAATCATCCTAATGTTTTCCAAGCTGTGTCATGACCATGTGACATAAGAAGACGTCAAGGCTCAGGGACACATGCCCCACATCATCCATGACAAATGAAAATGTGATCCTGGTTTTCTTGTTTTTAATTTCGTGCTTCTTCCTCACTCAGCCTGCTTCACAAGAACACTGTGAGGGTCAAATGGGCTACAATCGCACTTTGAAGACTGCGCAGTGGGATATAAATGTAAGTGGGAGGCAGTGTAACAGGTGGCAGCATTTCCCTAAAGGACATTGATTCTGTCCGTATGTCCTACTCTGTAATCTGAGACAATGTCCCCAGCTTCCCGTGGCCATCCTTCACCAGGGAATCCAAACCACTCACGTGTCTCCCTCTCTCCTTTGGGGCGAAACCTGGTGCTACTGGGTCTTCTCACTTAGCCCCAGATGTATCTTCATCCACATAGCAGGTGGTCAGAAACAGGTCAGAGCCCTGGGGTGTGCTGATCAAAGACAGAACTGTGGGAGAGCCAGAGAGTGTGGAGGCCTCCTCCAGGACTTTGGGTGAAGGAGGATTTAAGCCATCTCACCCCAGTTGAAGGCAGAGCCAAATCCCGGAGGCCCTGTGAAAATGAGATTGCATTCTGAAAATCAGAATAGCACATTCACCTCCTAACAGCTATAATCCTCTCAACAGTGAAACTCCGGGGACAAGTGGACTTTGGCTGGGTTCAGTTGTGAATTCTGCAGACGTGCACACAAAATCATGACACTGGCAATTCTCACCTTCCCCAGAAAGCCAAGGCCTTCATGGAGGCCTCATCTGCAACCCCCCAGTTAGGTCCTCACACAGACCCCACCGTCCCACACATCAGCGGGTGCTATCCACCCTTCCCTCCACCTTGCCACACATCAAAGATTCCCAACTAGTGCCAAGTCTCCACCAGAGCATGGCACTCATCGGGCTGGAGTTGGAAGCAAAACTGAATATCAAACGTGCCATCCCTCATTCCACTGATGAGAAAACAGAGACCCAGAGAAAGGAACTGCCCTCTCCAGGATCAGAGCTCTGGGCCAAGGTCCCTTGTGGGCTACTTTATTGCTCTTTTTACTCAGGTACTTTATCTCCCTTTGCTGAGTAATAAAAGGTTTAATTACTCTCAGATGTTTACCAAAGAAATGTAATAACCTTCTCAGCATAATATTTGGGCATGAAGAGTATAATGATAGGCATATTTTGTGTGTGTTTTTGTTTCTGCCAGATTTTCCTTTACGTTCCCCTTAAGTCTGTGTTCCTTGAGCTAGAGGGGGTCTCAGATATAGTCTCAGGATTTCAAGAGTTCTCCAGAACAATTTTTAATTTAATTGCAGATTTTCATGTCAATGTAATGATAAAAGCATATGCAGCGTTATGATGTTACAAGGTTTGAGCCGATTTTTTCCTTAAGTTTCTTTCCCTCCCATTATGAGCAGCCCATAATTGGGTCCCCTGACTTACGGTTACGATTCTTAATGTAAGGGTTTCCCCCTCCATCCTTCAGTCTAGACAAAGACCCTCCCCTCACTGTAGAGGATGAGAGATTTGGAGAGAAGAGAAACAATTAAACATGGACGAGGATAGGAGGGTCTCTTTACCCTGGTTCTCTCTCAATTGGAGTAGAGGGGAATGAACCCCACTTCACCTCCGGTTCCCAGAATGGTAGCGATGCCCACAGATGTCCCTCTCAGAGTGGCAGCAAAGGAAAAGTTCTCCAAGGCAAGAAGTGGCAGACTCTGGAAGGCTCCAACAGTGGGATGAAAGTTTGCTGCCTAAAATGCTGGGATGGAATGTTCCAGCAAGAGGAGAGTGGCATCAAGGACATAACAGTGATCGTCACCACTGTGGGAAGGACAGTGACGACCAGGAAACACGACGGGATAGTGACATATTGTGGGAGCTGATGATGCAAATGTGAGGAGAGACTTCTACACCAGCCCTGCTCCGCCTCCCACCTCAGAACTTAGAAATCACACGGCAGGTGAAGGAGACGCTGCTATTAAATTAATTGTGTGAAAGCCCCTGAATTTATCTGGAAATTACCAGATGAACTCCTCTGTCAGAAGACATAATAATGCTTGGCATACAAATTAAAATCCGTAATAGGAAAATATAGAAATTTACTTTATACACCTGAATGTGTGAAAAGATGCCGCTCATTGCATGCATTCTGTAGTATCATCTCTATGGTACCAAATGCTGCAATTATTTGAATTTTTTATGGTCAGTCACATCAGCGCCAACTCACCGCGTAAAGAAGCTCCGTTTACACTCGCGTGTGTGTGTTCTCACAAATCATCTGCATACACTTTCTCAGAGGTCTGCCTGTGCTGAGAACTGTGTCCTAAATTATGCTACATATTATGGGAGGTCATTTTGTGCAGGAAGATGTTGGTGTGTGGGAGAGAAAAAAAGGAGTCACAATCTCTGCATTCTGACTACAGTCCACCTCCAGGAGAAGCGGGAAAACAAGGCATAAGCTGCTAGAACTGAGGAGAGGGAAAAACAAGCATCCGGCGAGGGCAGGAGGAACAGGAGAGGGGAGTCATGGATCTGCCTGGCCACCAGAGGGCAGCAGAGACGGGCTCACTGTCGGCTTCAAGGATGTTCCGCAAGTCGATTTACTTACAGACCCTTCTTCAAATGCGGCGGTCACCTGTGACCCACATTCATAACTCCCTCAGCCACTAGACGACAAAAGAAGCCCTGAGTTTAGGCTGACTGAGATTTTCATTCTAGCTTTGCTATACATTTGGGCAAGCTTTACTTTGGGTAAGTCTGTTCTTTCCAGGGGTCTCAATTTTCTTAGTTTTTACACAGGGATAGTATGTGGGTGGCTCACATTAAAGTATCGTTGTAAGGATAAAGTAAGAATATAATCATGATACAAAATCCCTTTATAGCTATTAGGTGTCATTACTGGGAATGGAAGGTCTTGGAAAGAAGGTGGATAGAAAAATAGAGGAGATTAGAAATGAAGATAAGAAATCAAGGTCAATCCAAGAAATGTCAGGAGTGTTGCTATGAATATGGAGAAGTTCAGGCGACGCCATCAGCTGTTTCTTGGGGACCTGGTTGAAAGATGTTTTGAGAGCTCTCAGATCAACTCACCAGAAAGATGATTACTTTGTGGAGTCTCCCAGCAGTGAGACTTATACAGGTATCGTTTCCTCAGGGAAAGGAAAGAAAAATCAGCAGCTCTCATCTCCTGGAGGCACAGTGGCTTGTCCTCCACAGTCCCCTCGGTTTGCTGACTGACTGGAGGAGAGAGAGCACCTGCAGAAGCCCTGCGACTCCTCCCCCAGATGTGAGTGGGGGGCCTGGGATTCCCGAGGCCAGTGAGGGGAGGGTGGTGCTCACAGGACGGAGGCCTTTCCTCACAGCGTGGCCACGGTTCAATCTGCACCTCTGGCCATTTTTCTTGATTGGCAAAAAGAAGGAAAGAAGGAAAGAAGAAAGGAAGAAAGGGAGGAAGGGAGGGAGGGGGGAGGAAGGAGGGAGGGAAAGAAAAGAAAAGAAAAAAGAAGAAAAAAAGAAAAGAGAAGAAAGGAGGAAGGGCAGGCAGTAGAACTTCTGAATAGGAAAATGCCCAAACATTTAGGGATGGAGGACTGAGGTATTCTTAGTTCTGGCTGACCTACAGTCTAAGTTGAGCTCTTTACATACATGGCTGTCATATACTTTACAAAAAGTGTCTGACAAACCAGTTCCTCTAAAACTTTTAATTTTAAAAAATTTAGGTTGGGTGTGGTGGCTCACACCTGTAATTTCAGCAGTTTGGGAGGCCGAGGCATGTGAATCACCCGAGGTCAGGAGTTTGAGACCAGCCTGGGCAACATGGTGAAACCCCGTTTTTACTAAAAATACAAAAATTAGCTGGGCGTGGTGGTGCACGCCTGTAATCCCAGCTACTCCGGAGGCTAAGGTAGGAGAATCACTTGAACCTGGGAGGCGGAGGTTGCAGTGAGCTGAAATTGCGCCATTGCACTCCAGCCTGGGCAACAGAGTGAGACTCTGTCTCAAAAAATAAATAAATAAAATAAAATAAAATAAATTTTTACTTTTAAATTTACTTTTATGAAAGAGTTACAGAAGTTTAAGACAATCACAATGATCATCTATTATTTTTTGAAAATGATGAAATTACCTAAAATTGATTCTACTGCAGGTGGGAGCCTATAAGACTAAAGTTCCCAGGAAGAGATGTAAGCTTCGGTGAAGCCCACCTCAGTTGACTCCAAAACTAATGCAGATGCCCCCTTGGGGAATTGCGGGGAGAGGGTGTACAGAATGTGTTAATACCATCACACTCCTCCCAGGACCCCAAAGAAGCTGCACTCACAGAGATATCCGGGCATGTCTCACACTGGAAATAGGGTACCCTTCCAAATATCGGGAGAAAGAAGGCAAAGAAAAGCACACCGATCTACTAAGCCTCCTGCATTTGCACCCATCCAGCCTGCCATTCATCCTGGGTGCTTTTACTTGGTCCTCTTGGGGCCTCTGAGAGGCTCTCCATCTCTGCGAAGTACATTCCCCACCGGGCTGTTGCAGTTCCACACATGGCCAGTAGATGACAGTTTTGTTCAAGAACCGCCTCCAAGATTTTACGACTGCACCGCGATTTCAGAGTGGCGGGAAGGACTGAGAGTCCCATTAAGAAACTTCCCAAATCTTAACTGCCAATATCTTTCTTTCTAAAATTGTGTTTTTGTATTTCGTGGTAAACTCAGTTCAAAGCCGCGGATGGGGGCAGGAATAGGAAAACTGCTGCTGCTGCTGAATATGCTTCTCTCTCTTAAACGTCCCAGCAGAATTCTGCCACTGAACCACCCTGGGAGAATGCGGGGGAAAGAGAGGAGGAGAGAAGGACAGAGAGAGAGAGAGAGCCAGAGAGGATATGAGGGAGATAGGGAGAGAGGACTGCTTCATTGTCTTAAATTCGTTGTAATCACGTCGCAATACCAGGCACTCATTCTTAAGGTAGCAAAGCAGAAAATATTATAAATTCAGTTATTAATGTCATTTTCACTTTTGAGAGTAGAGAACATAGGCACTAATATTATAATAATTCAATAACTATGAAGGAATCAAGACAATCTTCAGGGAGGATGTGGTGCATGGAATGGAATGTAAGGAATCGTTCATACTTCATGTAGGTTTAGCATTTCTTGATTACAAGCTAAATAAGGGGTGGATTACTCATGAGTTTTCCGGGAAGGTGGTGGGCAATTCCTGGACTAAGGGTTTCTCTCCTTTTTAGACCATATAGGGTAATTTTGGATGTTGCCATGGCATCTGTAAACTGTCATGGCGCTGGTGGGAGTGTCTTTTAGCATGCTAATACTTTATAATTAGCATATAATGAGCAGTGAGGATGACCAGAGGTCACTCTTGTGGCCATGTTGGTTTTGGTGGGTTTTGGCCCGTTTCTTAACTGCAACCTGTTTTATCAGCAAGGTCTTCATGACCTGTATCCTGTGCAGACCTCCTATCTCATCCTGTGACTGAAAATGCCTTAACCTCCTGGGAATGCAGCCCAGTAGCTCTCAGCCTCATTGTACCCAGCCCCTATTCAAGATGGAGTTGCTCCGGCTCAAACACCTCTGACATTTGTGGACACGTAGAAAAGGATAATTAATGGGTTAGCAGGATGAAAGGAAAACTATATCCCAAAGGATAGCCTAGCCATTGAAATTGATATGAACTGGAATATGAAAATAATTGGGGACAATTTAGTTTCATGACCATATATAAAACATTTAACTATGTCTGGTTGTATTTTAACATAAAATTGGGCATGGGAAACTATTTTTAAAATATTCTTTATTTTTTAAATTGACCTGGCTTTTTCTTTCAACTTTTATTATTTTAAAAATTAGTTTAAGCCTAGCAGATTTCACATAATTTCAGACTCCTTTTGGCAAACAGTAAACATTACAGCCTGGAAAGCTTGATTGCTTATATATAAAACCCTAAGAGAGCTATTGAAAATGCCTAGAATGTGTGAATTTAACAATGGTAAAATACAAAAACAAATTGTAATTCTATACACCACAGCAGAATATCACATATAAAATTTAAAAATCACTTCATTATGACAGCAATAAAAACATAAAATACTTAGACATAAACTGAACCGAAAGATGTGTGATGTGAAACTATAAAATACTGATGAGAGAAACTGATAAAATTCTAAATGTGTAAAGAGATATAATATATTTTGATTTGGGAAGAATTGATATTTTTGAAATAACAGTTCTCAACACAATCTTGATCAATATTCCCACTGGGTTTCTTTGTGGCAATAGACAATTCTAAAATTTATATGAAAATACAAAGGATCTACAATAGCCAAAACTTATTTGAAAAAGGACAGAAGAAATATGCAAAGCTTGGTTTCAAGTCATGCTTCAAAGCTATGGGCAACATGTCAAGGCTAGTAATGTAAGTTAGAGAAACTTCAACAAAGAATTGTGCTTAGTTGTGGGAATCCATGGGAGATTCTGGAATGAAGATGCATAGGAAACAAATGCAAGAGATGAGTCCTGGGCCCTCAGTCATTTAGAGGTTGGGAAGATGGGAGACTTGGCAAGGCAGGCTGAGATCTGGCTGTTATTCTCGTGTGATGAGAATCTCAGGACAGTGAGGTTTAGTAACAAGTCAAGAAAATACATCAATGATGCAGTAGTGGTTAACTACATAAAATGCTTCTGATATGATGAATAAAATGACATCCTAGAAATGACCATTGGATTTGGCAACATGGAGCTAAAACATGTCAGTGACAAGGAGTTCAGTTAAAGATGTGGACTGTAGCCTGGTCTGTGAAGAGTGGAAGAAGAATGGGGAGGAATGGAAATAACAGGTGCAGCCCAATATTTTTAAGAGTTTCCTTCAGATTAGAAGTAAAAATTCATTAGCAGAGTTGGATTTAGGGAAAAGGAAATGCAGTGGCATGTTTATATGCTGATTGGAATCACTCACTAGAGAGAGGAAATTTTTTTGGTAAACTGGATAAAGATACTTACAACATATTAAACTATGAAAAGGATTAGTACCCAGAACATAGAAAGGCCTCCTACAAATCAATTAGTAAAGGACTATATTTTTCTGAGAAAAAAAATGGTAAAGGCAAGAAGAAACATTTTATAGTAACATGTATAAATGACATGTGAATATGTGAAAAAATTTCAAACTCTTCATTATAAGTCAGAGAAATGTAAATAAATGCCACACTGAAAAAACAATAAAAATATCAAAACCTAGCAAGGATGTGGGTCAATGTTTCTACCAACAGACTTCTGAAGGAAATAGAAATTGTTAGGATCATTTTGGAAAACAAGTCAGCATAACATAGTAAGGTTGAAAATATATATACATTATCATACTACATTACTACTACAATGCTACTCTAGAACATACATCAAGAACTATTGCAAGTTCATTACAACTTCATTCCTAATAGCAAAACATCAAAACAACTTAAGTATCCATTAACAACTGAATAACTTTATATATTTTCATATCAATTATAGTTATTTATACTATATGGTTATTTATAGTTAAATTCATAAATGGAAATAGCTTTTTTTTTTTGAGACGGAGTCTTGCTCTGTTGCCCAGGCTGGAGTGCAGTGGCGTGATCTCGGCTCACTGCAAGCTCCGCCTTCCGGGCTCACACCATTCTCCTGCCTCAGCCTTCCCAGTAGCTGGGACTACAGGCGCCCGCCACCACGCCCGGCTAATTTTTTGTATTTTTAGTAGAGACGAGGTTTCACCATGTTAGCCAGGGTGGTCTCGATCTCCTGACCACGTGATCCTCCCGCCTTGGCCTCCCAAAGTGCTGGGATTACAGGCGTGAGCCACCGCGCCCGGCCAGAAATAGCTTTTTTAGGGCTGGTAAAATGGCCTTCATCTAGATTTTCTCATGCTTGTTTGTGAATTGGCTCCCCTCTCGATGAGCTGGTGCACTATCATTATGAGTTTTGTGCAACATTGAGTTCTTGCTTGGCAAGTTTTGTAGAATTTCTTTCCTGGGTTTTGCATGCTGAAAACATGGCTTCATTGGGCATTGGTAAATCAAACGGAGAGGAGGCAGTGCGGCAAGTACAAAGACCATAGTTACAATACTCTAAACCAAAAATATCTGAGACAGATCTCAATCAATTTAGAAGTTTATTTTGCTAGGGTTTAAGACAATGCCCAGAAGACAAGTCTGTGGCTTTCTCCAAAGATGATTTAGAAGCCTTCAATATTTAAAGGTGAAAAGCAGACTGGAGGGAGAATTGAATAGCTCCAATAGTGTACTTTCCTTGGTAATTTTCACTCTTCCTTGGACTATCACATAGGTTGAAACTCTGATATATGTCAAGGTTGTAAACCAAAAAGTATCTGAGACAGGTCTTAAGCAATTTAGAAGTTTATTTTCCCAAGGTTAGGGACATGCAGGAAAGAAAAAATCATCAAATGACACAGGCAATCTGGTCTGTGTCTTTCTCCAAAGATGATTTCAATATTTAAAGGGGAAAAGTGGGCTGACAGGGAAAGAGAGAAGGTATGGCAATCCACATGTTGCAAGGAAAAAGGGGCAGGTAGGGGAAAAGTCAGTTATGTATTCATCTTGCTCTCAGTAAATCATCGCTTTGCATATGATTAGGTGAACATAGAGTAGCTACCGGTGGGGATATTTTTAACCTTTTATCTGTAGCTATCTGCTTGGAAACCAAAGGAAAGGCAATTTCTTGCGTGACTCAGCTTTCACCTTAATTCTTTCCTTTTGACATGGTGAATTGGGGTGCCAAATTTTTAGTTTCCTTTCACAATTTATACAAAACACAACTCAACAGACATCCTCATATCCCAGTGTATGTGGCGGCTCTGGATTCTATTCCTGCTCACCTGGACCTGATTGATCTGATATCGGCAGCTTGGAAACTACTTAGGTAGATTGTGGGGAGGGAAACGTTCCAGCTAACCATGAGCAAGTAAAATACAACTTCACATCCATCATTATCCAGCCCCAAATCATTCAACATCTAGATAATTCCTTAGAGTAAGGGAACAAGATAATGGCCACAACCAAGTAGGAAAGAATCACGTATACAGACGATTTTCATTCCCAAAGATCAGAAGATGTAAATGCAAAGAGAAAAAGTGCTTCCTACGATGCCAGCTCCAGCTTGATAAGAATATATGCTATTTATTATGTGAGGGGGAAACATGTTCAATACAGCTAGCTGCTTCAGCTTCCATGTGGTGTTTGATACCTGTGTTCCTTTTCATTTGGCTCAACTTCCATTAAGCACAAAAACCTCACAAAATGTTCAAAGGGCTAGAGGGACAAATTTGGATTTCATGCCTCACAAATAAAGGAAGGACTCCATAAGATAAAAATACGCTTTCCATAGAAACCTTGGAAGTCTAATATGTGGAATAAGGTGAAATAGAAACAGATCATCCTTCATAGGAACTGAATCTTGAGTTCTAACTAACTAATCCTAGACTAGATTTGGGTGATTTGAGATATTAATGACCTTAGCCTCATAGCCTCATTGCCTGACACAAGCAAAACTAAATAACCTCTAGAGAAATATAATATTTCCTGGAGCCTCAAATTATCACTCATATTTTTCTTCTGCATGGCATCAATTAAAAAATATATAAGAAAACAAAAAATAATAAAATCCAAGAAAAACATAACAGAACATAAATATACGACTTTGACTTCTCTGTGGGATACTGCCAGATTAACTCAACACTCCCAGTACACCAGCTAGAAAAGTTAAAAATTTAAAACACAAAATTCGTACTTTAAAGGAAAAGGAGAGCTGTGGAAGCAACATGCACTAGATGAAATACAATTGCAGAGAATAGGTGACCCTTTTGAGGTGAGCTGACAATCACAGCTCTTCCCCTGCCACCCATGGGGCATTTGCCAATTCATTGTTCATACAGAAGAGGTGTCATGGGCTCAGGAGGGAATCTGCTGGAGAAAGGGAAACCAAGCAAGGGACACAGGGACAGACTAAGAAATTAGATATTTGAGGTTCTCAAATTCTCAAATTCATGGCGTGATTTCCCCACAAGATATTTCTTGAGCTGTGGTGCAGCACTGAGCTATGAGCCAGGCCCCAAACTCCAAAGGCAGAATGAGGACTCCTCCATGTTGCTTGTGTTCAGGACACGGAGAACTGCCTTCAGCCTGGGTCTGTCGAGCACAAGGTGGGTCTCCCCGTTTTCACATGTGCCTGCTCCTGAAGCCACCTGAGAAGGAGGCCAGGGAGCTGGGCCAGCAAGTACTGAAGTTCAGGGCTGAATCTCTCACTGACATTTGTAGGAACAGAGACCTACCTGGGTCTTAATTAAAAGCTCTGGAAGGAGAGTCATGGCCTCTGGTATTGACGGAGTAGTTTGTATTGAAATAACCCTCTTGCTGGTAACAATGATAAATTCTGGACCACCTTCATTTTCCAATTTATTTCATTGTGTTGTGATAAGAACACCTTACATGAAATATACCCTCTTTACAAGTTTTTAACTACAACACAGTATTGTTAACTATAGGCACAATGTTGTATAGTAGATCTCTAGAACTTATTCATCTTGCATAACTAAAATGTTATATTGGTTGAACAGTAACTCCCCCATTTACCTTGCCCCCAGTCTCTGGCAACCACCAACCTATTCTCTGTTTCTATGAGATTGGCTACCTAGGCACCTCATATAAGTGGGATTGAAGCAGCCTCGTTTGTCTGGGGTGACCTGAGGTTTGTTGTCTCGTGGCCATAGAGATCAAGGATGCAGACACACAAAAAGTGAGGCTAAGAGTGGAAATTTAAAGAATGTCTTTATTCCTGTCTTCGTTTTGTTATTTACCCAGTAGTCATTCAGGAGCAGGTTGTTCAGTTTGCATGTAGTTGTGTGGTTTTGAGTGACTTTCATAATCCTGAGTTCTAATTTGATTGCACTGTGGTCTGAGAAACTGTTATGATTTCCATTCTTTTGCATTTGCTGAGGAGTGTTTTACTTCCAATTATGTGGTCAATTTTAGAACAAGTGCGATGTGGTGCTGAGAAGTATGTATATTCTGTTGATTTGGGGTGGAGAGTTCTGTAGATGTCTATTAGGTCTGCTTGGTCCAGAGCTAAGTTCAAGTCCTGAATATCTTTGTTAATTTTCTGTCTTGTTGATCTGTCTAATATTGACAGTGGAGTGTTGAAGTCTCCCACTATTATTATGTGGGAGTCTAAGTCTCTTTGTAGATCTCTAAGAACTTGCTTTATGAATCTGGGTGCTCCTGTATTGGGTGCATATATATTTAGGATAGTTAGCTCTTTTTGTTGAATTAATCCCTTTACCATTGTGCAATGCCCTCTTTTGTCTCTTTTGATTTTTGCTGGTTTAAAGTCTGTTCTATCAGAGGTGTTTATAGTATTCTCTGATGGTAGTTTGTATTTCTGTGGGATCAGTGGTGATATCCCCTTTATCATTTTTATTGCATTTATTTGATTCTTCTCTCATTTCTTCTTTATTAGTCTGGTTAGCGGTCTATCTATTGATCTTTTTTTACAAAAAAAAAAAAAAAAAAAACCAGCTCCTGGATTCATTGATTTTTTGAAGGGTTTTTCATGTCTCTATCTCCTTCAGTTATGCTCTGATCTTAGTTATTTCTTGCCTTCTGCTAGCTTTTGAATTTGTTTGCCCTTCTCTAGTTCTTTTAATTGTGATGTTAGGATGTTGATTTTAGATCTTTCCTGCTTTCTCTTGTGGGCATTTAGTGCTATAAATTTCCCTCTACACACTGCTTTAAATGTGTCCCAGAAATTCTGGTATGTTGTGTCTTTGTTCTCACTGCCTGAAAGGAATTTAACCCATAAGGAGGCCAAGTCAATGCTAGCTTTCAAGGCTTTTAAGTACAGATAATGGTCTTGCTTGAGGGCAATGTTGCAGGCTACAAATTAAAGCCCTTTGTGATCCAGCAAGGTGAAAACCCCAGGACCTTCCTTTAAGAATATAAAAAGAGGCCAGATACGGTGGCTCACGCCTGTAATCCCAGCACTTTGGGAGGCCGAGGTGGGCGGATCACGAGGTCAGGAGATCAAGACCATCTTGGCTAACACAGTGAAACCCTGTCTCTACTAAAAATACAAAAAGTTAGCCGGGTGTGGTGGTGGGCACCTGTAGTCCCAGCTACTCAGGAGGCTGAGGCAGGAGAATGGTGTGAATCTGGGAGGTGGAGCTTGCAGTGAGCCGAGATCATGCCACTGCATTCCAGTCTGGAAGACAGAGCTAGATTCCATAAAAAAAAAAAAAAAAAAAATATATATATATATATATATATATATATATATATATATATATATATATAAAGTATACCCTGCCAGTACACTACAGGTGTAATAAAACATCATGGATGACCCATCTCCTCTTCCATGATTACATCCTAAATTGCTATGCCAGAGAAATAGAGAGGCATTGTCTGAAAAATACCATCTTTCAAGATTTTGTTTATGGTTATTTGTTCTCCTGCACATCCTCCTGTTATTAATGATCTTTATCCCAATATCGAAGTGGTGCTTCTCCCTCTTTAATCCAACCAATGGATCAAGGAATTATAGCAGCTTTTAAGGTTTACTATCTGAAGAGGGCCTTTGCCCATGTTATTATGGTAACTCAGGAAGACACTGAGAAGACAGTAATGCAATTCTGGAAGGATAACAACAGCTATGGCTACATCAAGAACCTTGCTTGGGATGGGGATGATGTCACCGAGGAGTGTGTGAATGGCATCTGGAAGAAGACACTCAGGAGGTTTGTCTGTGAGTTCAAAGGGTTTGCCAAGGATGAGGAGATTGCAAAAATCTACAAGGCTTTGGTTGAGATGGCAAACAACTTTAAACTGAGTACGGATGAGGATGGCATTAGGAGCTCCTAGAGGTAGTTCCTTGGAATTGACTAATGAGGAGTTGTTGGAACTGAGACAGGAATGCATAGTTGAAGTAGTGGTCAGAAAAAAAGGAAACTGAAGGAGAAGAAGAAGAAGAACCCCAAATAAAATTCCCTGTGCAGGGTTTAGCAGGAGCTTTTGCAGACCTCAACAAGCTCCTTAAAAATTTGAAAACATGAACCCCAGCACAACAAGGTTTTCATTAATAAAGAGGAATGTTCACGGTGAATCATCTGCTTATAAGCAAATCTATGATGAAAAAAGGAAACCAAGCAAACCATCATGGACCTGTTTCTGAAGAGTGACACCTCCTCAAGAAGAGCCTCAAGCAGGTCCTTCAGGAGGAATTCCAGAAGAAAGTGTAGTTATCATAGGAGATGGCCTCTCCATGTGTGCTATGGCCCCTGAAGACATTTTGGTAGGACAAGATGTGGAAGTGGGAAACAGTGATATTGATGATCCTGACTCTGAGTAGGCCTAGGCTAATGTGTGTGTTTCTTAGATTTTTTTTTTAAGTTTAAAAAGTAAAAAAAAAAAAAAAAAAAAAAAAAATTAAGTAGAAAAAAGCTCATAGTATAAGGATATAAAGAAAATATTTTTGTATAGTGTTTGTGTTTTAAGCTGTGCTATTACAAAACAGTCAAAAAGTTAAAAAATTAAGTATATAAAGTTTAAAAAGTTAGAGTAAGCTAAGGTTAATTATTGTAGAAAAACATTTTTCATAAATTTAATGTTGTCTTAGTTACAGTATTTATAAAGTCTACAGTAATGTATAGTAATGCCTTAGGCCCTCGCATTCACTCACCACTCACTCACTGACTCATCAGGGCAACTTCCAGTCCTGCAAGCTCCATTCATGGTAAGTGTCCTAGAAAGATCTACCATTTAAAAATCTTTCATATGGTATTTTCACCACACCTTTTGTATGTTTAGATACATAAACAGTTAGCATTGTGTTACAATTACCAATAGTATTCAATACAGTCACATGCTGTACAGGTTTGTCGCCTAGGGGTAATAGGGTGTACCATATAGCCTAAATGTATAGTAGGCTATAACATCTAGTTTGCGTAAGGACACTCTGTGATGTTCACACAAAGATGAAATCACCTAATGACACATTTCTTAGAGCTTGTCCCTTTAGCTAAGTGATGCATGACTTCAGTTTTGCCCCATTTCTAGAGCATAGTCCTCAATGACTTTCAATGAAAAACCCGATAGCTTTCATCTTCTCAATCCTGAAGAGCTGAAGGAGATTTAGGCTGAACTTAAAGAAATTTTCAGCTTAGCTCATTAGTCTTCTACTCCATACATCTTCAACATTTAACAAGTGTTTTGAAAAAGACACCTACAAAGTGCTTGAAGTCATCAACTCTCAAATCTTGTCATTGCAGCACCACGTCAAATGACAAAACACTTGCTATTTTCTTAGTCCACTGGAGGAGCCTATTGTCAGAGGCCAAACCTGGATTATTAGCTCCAAACAAGCACTCAGATCAGTAAGTGTCCTCAGGTGATAAGTGGTTGTTGCTACTTGGCATCAATTCACCAGTTCTTCTGAAACTTACGTCTGTTTTGTTTTAGGGCCCTTATCAATGGTAGGTCTTTGTTTCCTCAACACCACTGGACAGTGAAAGATTTTGCACTGCCTTTCAGAAGTTGACACTTTAGTTTTTTGTTTTACCTTCTACCGTAGCATCAGAAGTTAACCAACGTGTTTTGAAGAAACCAGAGTGTTTGAGATGCCTCAGTTTTCTAGTTACATCACACTGGCCCCATAATTGCTGCTGATTTCTTTCTTACAGCAGAAAACTGTAGGAAAATTGTAGCAGAAAACTTTTCTACAGCAGAAAACGGTAGCAGAAAAATGGCACTAAAACGCAGCGTACACTTGCAAACAGCAAATGCTACCAAGAGAAACAGTGATGTCCAAACGTCAGCTTACATTTGCATGGTTCTTCTTTGGAATTTTTATTCATCTAGTCCTATTTACTTTCTTAGCTAAACAATGCTTTTTAAAAATATACCTTTAAAATTTTATCCTATTTTTGTAGTTGTTGCCAGTGGGACAATTTGTCCTACTGTGACCCTAATGCATCTTATACTGTGGTGGAAAAAAGAATAAGATTTTAAATTGTGCTTTCTGAAAAACTGGATATAGAAACAGACAATGGCCAGACCATATATAAAAATAGGCCTGGCTGGGCACGGTGGCTCACGCCTGTAATCCCAGCACTTTGGGAGGCCAAGGCGGATGGATCATGAGGTCAAGAGATCGAGACCATCCTGGCCAACATGGTGAAACCCCTGCCTCTACTAAAAATACAAATTTAGCTGGGCATGGTGGCGCGCAGCTGTAGTCCCAGCTACTCGGGAGGCTGAGGCAGGAAAATCACTTGAGCCCAGGAGGTGGAGGTTGCAGTGAGCTGAGATCGTGCCACTGCACTCCAGCCTGGCGACAGAGCAAGACTCCATCTAAGAAAAAAAAAAAAAAAATAGACCTTTGACCCACAGCCTACAGCAGCCTGCCTGGGGAACCAATTCCCTTATCTTCAATAAACAATCCAGCAAGGTAGTCTGCTTAAGTCCGACTTGCAGGAAGTCAGATTGCTGTCTCTAGTAACAATCCAGGAGGCTAAATAATAACTTTTATAACAATTGTTTTAAAATGGCCAGGACTTGATTAATAACTGACAGTTCCCCCAATATTTGTGCCTGCTTCCAACTTAGGACCAACCAGGGAAAGCTAAATATGCATCCTACCCAATTACATAGGATACTCCACTTCTAGTTACCCCTTAAGCATTCCCCATGCCAACAGCCTCCAATCAGGTCCTTTTTAACCACTATAAAGTTTCCTACTTCTTTGCCTGTCTTTGAGTCTCTGCCAAAATGCAAAAGATGGTGGCTGACTCCTTTGTTATAGCAATTTGTGAATAATTTTTGCTCTTTTCATTTGGTTGATCTTCATGTATTTTCACATTATTAAGCTTTATATAAATTAAAATCCAAGAGGCTAACATTTAATTAATGACATTTAAGATCTTCTATATCGGATAATGCTATACATTATATTAGGTTTAATATTTCTATTAAATATAGATTTAGTAAATTACTAAAAATGCTAAAAATTCATCAAATATATATGTAAGTACAAATAAGGAAAATGCAAAGAGAGATATTAGAAAGGGGTAATATATTCAGGAATAAATATTCAAGATATTTTAAGTTGGAGATATTGTCTGTTGGTACTAAATCAATTTCCCCCTGTTTTGTGCTTTTTTCCATATCACTTGGGGTTGAAGCCTGGACACCACTTCTTCCAGAGTCCCTTTCTTAGGAAGGCACTCACTTGCGATTAGAAGGCAGTGGAAAATTGCTGTCATTCTGCTTCTGACAGCAAGTAGCAGCAGCTGCCAGGAGTGTGGGTTTGTTTAGTGCTGCAGGGCCAATAGTAGCTTCCTGCAGTTCCTGACCTTTGGAAGCACAATTTTGCTTTTTCTGTCCTTACAAAACTTTTGCAATGCACTTCACTGTATTACATCTCTCTGGGCTTAAAATACCTTGAGTGTGTTTTTTCCCCCTTGTAAATCTGGGCTAGACTGAATAATCTTGTAAGTATGTAAATATAAGCAACTATTTTAAAATAACCTGGGTTTTTAAATGTAATACAGATGCTCTTCAACTTATGATGGGGTTAACTCCCAATAAATCCAGTGTAAATTGAAAATATTGTGAGTTGAAAGTGTAGAGTATAAGTTGTTCACCTTCATGATCATGTGGCTGAGGCTGCCTGGCATTGTGAAAGAGTATCTTACTGAGTATCGCTGGTCTGGAATAAGATCAAAATTTAAAGTATGGTTTATACAGAATGGATATTGCTTTTACACCATTGAAAAGTCAAAAATTCCTAAGTCAAACCATCTTAAGTCAGGTGTGTCTGTAGTTTTAAAAAAATTACAAATAAAGAATATCCAGTGTTGTTGGGAGTGCAGAGAAGATTTACAAGGTAAACATTGATTTGTTTAAAGTTTGAGAGAAAAAATTAGATAATATGCTTTATGATTTTTAAATGTTAATTTCAAAGTAATTATACATTCACAGGAGTTGATGAAAATAGTACAGAGAGGTCCCTTGTACCCTTCACCCAGTTTCCCCCAATGGTTACATCATACATAACTATAGCACAATATCGAAACAAGGAAATCGACACTGATACAATGTATTTGCAGTTTTCTACTTTATCACATGTGTAGATTCATGTAACCACCACTGTGATCAAAATACAGAACTATATTCCATCACCACAAAGATCTTCCTCATGCCACTCGCCCTCCTTAAGAGTCACACCATTCCCCCACCCCCACCATCCCTACACTGTGCCAACCACTAATTTGATTTTCATCTGTATAATTTTATCATTTAGAAAATGTTATATAAATGGAATTATACTATATGTGACCTTCCGAGACTGGCATTTTGTACTCAGAATAATGCCCTTGGGATCTGTATTAGGTGCTCCAGAGCGGTTGTACTAACAGGATATGTATATATAGAAAGATATTTCTTTTAAAGAATTTGCTCACATGATTGTGGAAGCTTACTGAGTCCAAATTCTGATGGAAGAGGCCAGCAGTGGAGGAGACTGGGACAGAGTTGCAGTTTGAGCCCAAAGGTAGTCTGCTGTGGAACCAGGAAGAGCCAGGATTGCAGATGGAGTCTGAGGCAATCTGTTGGAGAGTTCCCTCTTATGCTAGTCAGGCATTCAACTGATTAAATGAGGGGAACCCAGTTATGGAGGGCAATGTACTTTACTTAAAATCTACTGACTTAAATATGTAACTCTCACCCCAAAACTGCCAGATTATGTGAAATTCCATGTCCTCTACTTGGCTCCATTGACACTCAGATGGAGTAGATTAAACAACAGACATTTACTGAAAGTCCTCACTTAACATCATCAATAGGTTCTTAGAAGCTGTGACTTTAAGCAAAATGACATATAATAAAACTAATTTGACCATAGGCTAATTCAGCGATCCCCAACATTTTTGGCACCAGGGACTGGTTTTGTGGAAGAAAATTTTGCCATGGATGGGGGTTGGGGACTAGCGGTGGCAGGGAGTGGGATGGCACAACCTAGATCCCTCGCATGGGCAGTCCACAATACAGTTCACAAAGGTTTGCACTCCTGTGAGAATCCAATGCCTCTGCCGATCTGACAGCAGGCCATTAGTGGTCTGTGGCCCAGGGGTTGGGAACCCCTGGGCTAATTGATGCGAACAAGATTTAAGTTCCTATGGCTTATTTCTGGTCACAAACACATCACCAAACTCCTAAATAAAGACTCAGAACACTTCTAATATTAAACATTAAAATAAATGGGAACTATATATACATTTAAGGTAGGTTTATAATAACAAGTAAGATAATTAATTATCCAGTTTTTGGTGAATTAGTGAGTGATGGTGGTCACAGTGGTGGTGGGTTACATTAAGGAACAAATGTTTGTAAAATGAAAATGGTAAGGAGCACCTCCTGCCACCACACAGCTCAAACGCAAAGAAGAACAAATACGTTGAACTCACTGAGTACTTTTGTACCCCATTGTTTACTATTGTACAGTTGTATGAATATCATGTACTTTACAAATTTTTATTTTAGAAACATTTCTATTCATTCGCTTATTCATTTTCCAACCTGCTTATTCCAGTTCAAGGTCATGGATGACTGGAGCCTATCCCGGCAGCTCAAGGACAAGAGAGGAACCAACCTTGTATAGGATGCCATCCCATCCATTGTGGGATGCAGACACACACACACATACACACACACACACACACACACACAAAGTCACTCTGCTGGGACAATTTAGACTCACCAATTAACCTAACATGCATGTCTTTGGGATGTGGGATAAAACTCAAATACACAAAGAAAACCCATGCGGACGTGGGGAGAACACACAAACTCCTCATGGCCAGTGGCCCTGGCCAGGAACCTATTTATTTTCTCACCAACATTGTAACAAAACGTTGAACAAAACAATGCTATAGGAGGACCCTCTGTGTTTCTCACAGTCCTGGAGGCTGGGAAGTCCAAGATCAAGATGCTGACAGGTTCAATTCCTGGTGAACTTAGAACTGAAGGCTCTCTGGCAGGGGTGCCTTGTGGCTGCAGGCTGGGTATAGAAACTCAGGCTCCCCACTAGGCCTCCACTTACAGAATCCTGACTGGGAGGGAGAGGGTCTCATCAGCGCTCCCACATGGCCTCTACTGACACCAGGAAGGGAGAAGTGCCTCCTTACACCTGGACAGTGGTGAAAGTCCCAGCTTTCTACTTGGCCTCCTCTGACAACACCTTGGCAAAGTGGGTGAGGAGTGCTTCCTTGCAACAGGGCAGGTGGAAGTCCAGGCTCTTCACATGGGCTTCACTAACACCACAGTGTGGAGGTGGCTGATTACTGATAGGCAGGGGCAAAAGTCCTAGGTCCCCAGTTGGCTTCCTCTGACATAAGCCTGATGGGTCTAGGTAGTGTCTCATTATCGCCAGGCAATGGGATAAGACAAAGCTCCTCACTCAGTGTTTGCTGACTGAGGCGGGATGGAAGCCCCTGATTTTTCTGTATTTGACTGGAGTAGTGCGGTTACTGTCAGTTATCTGCCTGGTAGGCTGCTCTTTCTTGTTCCCTTGGATAGAGAAACATGCTTTCCTTAGGATATTTTTGTCTGTGACTACTGATGTTTCCTGTTTTCCAGTTTCTCCAGCACTCATTCCTGGATATATTAGGCAGAAAGAAGACCTATGAAACTCACCACTCTGTCATTCCCCAATCCCATGGTCTGAGGCCAACCTGCTTCTCCTCTCCATCATTCAAGGGCTTTTTATGTCTGTCTGTAGCTGTACTTAGCAGGAAGAATAGGAAGAATTGTACCTACTTCATCTTGTCTTAGAACCAGAAATCTCTCACCATATTTTTTAAAATATGTTTTTGTCATATATTAAAATATTATACATCTATCCTTAGATCCTTAAATAAACATATAATCTATCCTTAGAGTTAAGTTAATTTGGTAACAAAAATAAAACAAGACTAAAACTATTAATTGTGTTAAAGCCATAAAAAATATGCAAATTTTTGCCCAAAATATGGGAAATGTGCGTGTGTGTGTGTGTATCTCCTATGTATACACATAAAAAAAGACATAAAATGAAAATTGCTGATGTATCAATACCCGGGGGCAGGGAGTATTCTCAGGTTTAACTAAGTACTCATATTCAAGTTTTTACCATAGGCCACACCTGGCTCTCAGATTCACTTAGAAGGATATTAGACAGGAGTCAAAGTATGCCAAAGTGCTGAATCAGGTCTTTTTCTTCAGTGGGAGAAGTTCTTGAAACAGTTCATAATTTATTCCAGGTGCTAGTTTCATCCTCTGCCCCCATCCCCCAAGTGACAACTCAGGTACAAGGAGCTGAATTTACACCTGTGGAAGTTGTGTCCACCGTAGCTTAGAATCCTCATGTCATCTACGAGCTAGTACCTCTTATAACAAACCCATGGGCACAGCTTCCAGAGTCCCCGTAAAGGGCATGCTCAGTTACAAGGGTCACTGCATTTGGAAATACCCAAACTATGGGTCCCCGTCATTTGTTACGGTTCATGAAATATTCTTCCCAGTAAAGATACAAAATGCCAACCAGAAGCCATTTGTGCCATAAGCAATGTTGTCTAAAAATCCAGCTGACATTCTTCCTCCATCAGGTTTCCAGAAAACAGCTAGAAAATTAGCCTAAGATTAAATACATCATGGAGAAGTAGAAAGGGTGTTATAAAGCATTTATCCACAAGATTCAAAATGAAATACAGTTAATTTTGTCCGTTTTAAGACATTATTTCAACCTTCAAATTATTTAAAAGAAGTACATCCTATATTTTGTGTGCTTATTCAAAAAAGGCATGGTAATACTTATAAAAAGACTTTAAATATTTTTATAAGTTTTAAATATTTTATAAGTAATTTTATAAATGAAATTACAAACCATTTAAGTGACCTAATTAAATCAAACACACTTTGAGTATGCACACAAGAAAAAAATTAGTTGAAGCATCCTGACTTAAGAAATCCTTGATCTTTCATAAGGTGTCTGAATACTCAATGTCAAAAACACTTATGAAGAATTAAACACTGTTGACCACAAGAGGGAAACCTAGTCCCAGTTATACTATAAATTAGAAAATCAAGGGAAAAATATGTGTCCTGAGAACTTTTGAAATAGTCACATATAAACATAGTATACAAGAAAAAACCAACCGTCATCCCTACCCAAGGATATGTTTGTGGTATGAGTGGTTTTAGTGTTTTGAGTGGACTGGTTCTTGGACTCCACATATTATTGGCTACAGAGATAGAGACTTGATTTAGAAAATCACAGTTGCCACTTTCTAAGTAAGCCCTTGACCAAAAGACTAGATTTCTTTAAACCCAGTTTTCTCAGGTAAAATGGAAATACAACTATTATCTAATAAATATAAGTAAGCTTTAGTGTCATAGTCATAGCAGTAGTATTTTCAATTGGTAAAAAGAAACTGGACCCCAAAAAAGAATTTCAGTGAAAGCAGTAACAGTCTTCTGGCATATTTCTCACCTTTCTTTCTACCTTAAAGGTTCAAAGTTCCTAAGTAATCTCAGAAACCTAAAATAGTTTATTCTCTATCCTCACTATTGGTTTTTAAAAAACATTTTGCAGCATGGACCACTGCTCATGTACAGATGCTCTCCAACTTAACAATAGGGTTATGTCCCAATAAACCCATTATAACTTGAAAATATCTTAAGCTGAAAATGCATTTAATACACCAATAAACCCATCATAAAGTTGAACAATCATAAGCCAAATTATAAGTCAGAGACCATCTGTATTAGCTTAAGTCTTGGAATGGTTTATTTTTTAGATGCCATTTAGCCACTTATATTCTCTTCTATTTTATTGTGAGAACTAATTCCCCTCTTACATTCTGTGCTTGACCCATGCTATACTTAGTGTGAACAAGAGCCACCTTCTTCTCATGACTTCTATTTTTTTGTGAAAATTTCCTTCACTCATTCACGACATTTGGATTTGAAATCTTACCTACTTAAGTACTTTAAAAAATCATTTTCTACCATCTTTCTTATCAGGAGCCTCTAGTGATTCCTTCTCCACACTTCTAACTTCTCATCTTCACACTCCTTGTCTTCCTAACTTCACTACAGTAAGTGTTTTACATGTTTAGAACTCAGCTCCTTTACTATGATTGCTAACCATGTACCTTAAATAAACCGTCTTCTAGTTTTTTGTTTCTTACTCTCAATTATACCTTTTAGAAAAGAATTAAGAGTAGAAAAAGACTGCTACATAGACATTCTTATGATCTTCAGAAATGAGCACAGATCATGCTTAATGAAAAAAGATTTCCAAATAATGCTGCATATGTCCAGAGAAAAGGTGGCAGAAATGACTGTCGTTTGGGGGCACTATTGTCTGGACATGGCCAGTTCTCAGAACTCCAGTCCCTAAATTCCCTTCTAACTAAAGGAAAAGCCTCTTAAGGGTCTTATAGAAATCCTGCCACTTTCACCTGAAAGAATAATCTTCAGTTATGTGGCACATGGCCAAGAGTAAAAGTCTTTAGTCACTTGGAAGCAGACAGACACTGTAATGCTAAATAATTGGACATAACATGGAACTTACTGAGGCCTCAAATATCAATTTTACTTTGGGAAAAAGAGCAGCAACTTTAAAAGTGATTGAAAGTAACTCAAGTTTATTCCTTAACAGAGTGATGCTTAATCTAACAAAAAACATGTTATATGCACACTCTTCTCCATTACCTTGTAAGAAAACTGGACTAGGAAACACAGCTGAAATGGCCAGTTCTGCCTCCATTTCCTAAACCGTGTTATAATTATGTCTATGTGACCAGTAACAGACAATGACCATGATTTATACTTTTTCATATGTTTGTTGTTTTGTTTTCAATGTTTGTGGTCTTTCCTCAGTATCAGCTAAGAGGCCATTAACACAGATATCTATTTATGGACATGCGAGACTGTTGTTCACCTCTTTTGCAGAATTCATAAAGAAATGATGGGGAAAACACATCAAAGATAGAGTGGATAAAGCAAATGTGCCACATATACACCATGGAATACTATGCAGCCATGAAAAAGAATGAGTTCATGTCCTTTGCAGGGACATGGATGAAGCTGGAAACCATCATTCTCAGCAAAATAACACAGGAACAGAAAACCAAACACTGAATTTTCTCACTCATAAGTGGGAGTTGAACAATGAGAACACATGGACACAGGGGCCTGTTGGGGGGGTGGGGGGCAAGGGGAGGAGAGCATTAGGACAAATACCTAGTGCTTGAGGAGCTTAAAACCTAGATGACGGGTTGATGGGAGCAGAAAACCACCACGGCACATGTATACCTATGTAACAAACCTGCATGTTCTGCACATGTATCCCAGAACTTAAAGTAGAATAAAATAAATAAGTAAATAAGGAATGATGGGACAAACAAGTTTCTGTTATTGTCTCTCTACTGACCAAAGGGTGGTCAGAGAGTATAGGATGAAGCAGATTTGTGATATCCTTGAATAGATCTGCTCTTTACTATGAATTCTATCATCTACTCCCAGCGTATGTGGGAAAGGGACCAACTTACTTGCCTGGAATTTAGTGAAATTGTTTTCTAGGGGGACCAAGAGTTTCCTCTACTTGATATGAAGTTGGGTGGTTGAAGATGATAGGATTGGCTTCTGCTTCCATCAGAATCCTAAAGGGCAGGGTATATGGACTAGTTGGTATTGGATCTTGGAAACTGTGATGCATTGGGAATGGTCACACTCCCAGAGTTTGTGGACACAAAGAATGTTTTAGTGTTCCCTACACACCAGACACGGGCCATGAAGGAATCTGAAGAGCCTACCAAACCTTGCACAAGAGAAAAGCTTTACTTGGAACATCATCCAGGCTCAGAGAACACAAATATTTCATTTCCAGTAAGACGTTTCTGGTCTTTTTCTCTTCCTCCCCTTCCCTGAACCTACCCTAGATGAGCTATGGCCTCAAAGTGCCAGTAGAACGTAAGAAGGAAGGAGAACCACACTCATTCCTGCCTTCAACAATTTACACAGGGATAGAAAGAGATTTATATTAAATCAAGTTGGGACTTTCAATTATTATATAGTACCAAACAATCTAATTGCTGAACTAAGATATACTTGTGCAATTTAAGGGAATTGTAGAATAGCATATTAATTAGAATCAAGAAAATAATTCATGAAGTATGCTATAATTCCTACCCAAGCGCAGGGGAATAGCATCTCTAATGAAATTCTCTAAAGAGGCAAGAGCAGGCACAATGAGTTTTTGTTTGATTAAAGATTCCATTTAGTGCTTATCCAACCTAGCAATTACATTTGTATGCTTCAGATGTTTTTAAAAAAATAAACAAAAGAAAGTACCTTAAATAAAGAATAGGATCAAATAGTATTTAAACAATTGAGTAAATTAAAAAATTATATGAATTAGATTGATTGAAATTGATACTTTCCTAATTCTCCTCCTTCAACACACAGACACACACACACACACACACACACACACACACGTATGCATACAAACACATCTGAATTCTATAAAATCATTCTGACCTTGATGAGATTCCATAGTTTACTCATGCAACAGAACATAATGTCTAAATGAAGTTTCTGGTCTCTGTTTTACATGGATGATTGAGTAAAATCATTCCCTATTCCTGGAAGAATAGCTAAGAAAGGATTCACAGGTGAGGACATGCGTTTTTTCAGAAGATGAGAACAAAGATGAGAAGATGAGAGCAACAGAATGTCCTATATCCTAATGCTCTGTGCTGACTTCGGAGTGGCCAATATGATAGAGATGGAAGGAACTCTGAAAACAAATTGCCAGAATTTCTAAGGAACAGGAGATGTTGAGTGAGTGAATCAAGCCATGGACTGGCTGTATGGGGGCAGCTATTAGAGACAACTACCCTTAGACTTCTTTGGTGATTGGTCAAGCTAATCTTTTCCTTCAGAGTCTCTCAATTATAAGACTTAGCTTGTGCCATTTAGAACAGACAAGAACACAGAGAATTATAGAACAATCTGACTACAGGTTCTTAAGTTATAGCAATGAAACTTGTAGTTGGCCGGCAGGAAAATATTCTGAGATGTGGATTCAAAGTTTCTAAGTGTGCACACGTACACACACACACCCCTACCTGCATGCGTTTTCTAATTTACAAAGACTACTCAAGTAAAGAGGGGTAATTTCACACCCCAGGAGGTCTGTATAAAGATAACTCTGGTCTTTAAAGCATCGGGTTTCAGGTAGAGGTGAAGAGAGAATGAATCAAACTCAAACTGCCATCCTCCCAGGTTAAAGATGAGTCCAGTCATTGTGGAGCCCTCTATTAACACAGGACATGCTAGGAAGGCCCATTAACCCACTGCCCTAGCACATTTGTTAACGTCCTAGTGCATTTGTTGATATCAACAGTTCACAGTTTTTATTCTGATAGGGATCTATTCCAGCAGACCAGCTTCTGTGACCTCTCAGGATGCGAAAAAGTAACACAAGAAAAGCTTCTTATGTAGTGAATTGAGAAGGAAATACCTAGATCAATATTCCCTCAGCACCTCTGGTAGGAAGTCCTTAGTAGGAGAAAAACACCATGAAGACCCTTAGTGCAGAAGGAAAAGGGGGTAGGGGGTGGTGGAAGGGAAGCTAAAAGAAGGGGCTGGAGGTTCTCAGAATTCAAACCACACAAACAAATGAAGTATTGAGGTCCCAGACTTGATCTGGGCCCAGTGTGAAAGCCCTAACTTATTTCTCCAGAAGAATATGTCCTCTGGTTTTAGACTTGGCACTGTGGGGAGAACCAGAGTGATCTATGGTGGATATACACACAAACATAGACACACATATTTGCATTTAGTAATTTTTGTAAAATTTCCATTTGCTTCTCTGATCCTGTCTGTATCTTTGGGAATAGATGTAAGAATATTACATCTCTCAGGCTTGCTCTGCCCCAGGTTTCTGAACGTGGAATACATTTCTCCAGGGAAACTCAGTATTATGAGATTTGGGAGGTGGAAGTTAGGCCACAGCCATCTCAGGGACAGGTTTCACAGACATGAGTTTTGGCAGCAGCCTTGTGTTCTAAAGACATTTACTCCTAGGGGCTCTAGAGGATCTGCAACATCAGCAGAGGCTTCCTGTGGGTTCCTGATCTTTTAAAATTAGGGTTCTGCAGTGACTTCTGCTCCTCCAGACCCCCTAACAGTTTTAAGGGCTAATTCCCTGTAATATATTCAGTTCTGCTTAGACTGATTACAGGGATTCCTATTTCTTGACTGAATTCTCATGGCTATAGTGGCTCGTCACCATTTGACATCACCAAGAAGTCCTCATTCAGGTGCCTTTGGAAATTCCCTCAAACACACAGGAAATTAGAGTTTGAAAGAAAACGGAGAACCATGAGCACTGTCCAAATAGGAACTTCTCTCCTATCACAGAGAAAGGGAACTGAAAGTCATTTCTCAAGTCTCCCAAATTTAGTAATCTCACAAGAAGAACCAATCAGTGTTCTAGGACTAAACAGTGTCATAAGTTGCTGAGCAACAACTTGGATTGAAGATGCTATTATAATATATGAAATGTCTTTGAATTTACCATGTTTTTCTCAAGCACCATTTAAGAACAAGGCATTATGGCAGCCAGCAAAGGGCAGACATAGAAAATTATACATGGTTTTGCCTCTAAAAGAGGAGATGACAAGCTTAAATCATAGGATCAGACTCTTAGCACAGACTGATACCATAGGCTCTCATCTGGCCCATTCTCCTGACTCTTTACCTTTCAGGAAAGGTATTCCTGAAAAATTGCAGGAGAGACCATGCTGTAGGTCTCTTTCTAGCGATCTAGGAGTTAATGCCACAGTGTGTTCAAAGCCCTTTGATGCGATCAGATAATCAGTAATGTATGGAATATTTGTGTTCATAACTTGTGAGAACGGCTGCATGGCAGGACAAGACCCCAGCACAACAGTATGGAAAATCCACCCTAAGCAGACATGTCATGACTGATGTTGAACAATGGACTCACCAGCCAGGCACGGTGGCTCATGCCTGTAATCCCAGCACTTTGGGAGGCAGAAGCAGGCAGATCACGAGGTCAGGAGATCAAAACCATCCTGGTTAACATGGTGCAACCCCGTCTCTACTGAAAATACAAAAAAAAAAAAAAAAAAATTGGCCGGGCATGGTGGCGGGTGCCTGTAGTCCTAGCTACTCGGGAGGCTGAGGCAGGAGAATGGCGTGAACCCAGGAGGCAGAGCTTTCAGTGAGCCGAGATCGTGCCACTGCACTCCAGCCTGGGCGACAGAGCAAGACTTCCGTCTCGAAAACAAAACAACAACAAAAAAAACAATGGATTCACCATCCGATGGGCTCCCTCACTGCCAGGTCACTCTTCATGGAAGTATTTGTATTCCAGTCCTTTCTGTGGAAAGAACTTAACATTCTCCTTTTCATAACACTGTATCTTCAGAAACAAGAGAGTCGAAGTCTCCTAATTTTCAGGAGTGTCTATGTTGAACATCAAAATATATTCTTTAGAGCAGATCTTTAATAATCATATGACAAGAGAAAAACTTTCATAATCTTATGACATGAGGGAAGGAATATTAAAGCCGTTCTGTGGGTTATTATCTCTAACGTTCCCAATAGAATAGGCTTTGCCAGCTGGGTGCGGTGGCTCATGCCTGTAATCCCAGCACTTTGAGAGGCCAAGGCGGGCAAATCACGAGGTCAGGAGTCTGAGACCAGCCTGACCAACATGGTGAAACCCCGTCTCTACTAAAAATACAAAAATTAGCCGGGCATGGTGGTGGGCGCCTGTAATCCCAGCTACTCAGGAGGCTGAGGCAGGAGAATCGCTTGAACCCGGGAGGCGGAGATTACAATGAGCTGAGATCACGCCACCAACTCCAGCTTGGGCGACAGAGCAAGACTCTGTCTAAAAAAAAAAAAAAAAAAAAAAAAAAAAAAAAAAAAAAAAAAATAGGCTTTGCCCATTATACTCTCTCATATTCATTGACCTGAATCCTCAAATGAGGTGTGTCCATTAGTCAACTCCAATCTCTTGTCATATATAAGATGGTAGAGATGAGAAGAAGGTAGCTCCTTTACAGCCCACTATTTCCACTAACTACTACCTGTGTTTCAAGATACAGCCTTTCATCCTTCTCCAGTGTTGAGAGTGTTGAACCTCAGAGTTTCTCCTCTTATTTTCTCTAAATGAGATACAATGCCAGCCATCCCAAGCTCTTGGCCTGAGTTGTTCATCTTGAAGTCTAGGACTCCAAGAAGCATGAAAGAGCTTCTTTAGTGAAGCTATGTCCTCAGTACTGCCAAAATTCAGACAATCTCCATGGCCTGACAATTTACCTTCTATTTGGGTAATTTATTGTCCCTTACGCAAACTCTCCAGCTGTCATGGCACAGACATATGATCTGTATTTAGCTCTCACTTTAGGTGTTTCCATTGATTCTATTCTCACTAATGTGCTTCAGGTATATCCCTGTCTAGAACTCAGATTGGGGTTAAAGAGTCTGTCCGTCATTGACCAACAGTCTTAAATACTTGATTTGTTGTCGTTGTTGTCCTGTTTGTTTAAGAACTTTACTTCTTTATCCAATGAACGGAGTATCTTGTGTCCTGGACCCTTTGCAAGAACCCTTCCCCTAGCAACAGATGCGTCATCTCAAAATATTTTTCTGATTGGCCAAAGAGTAATTGATTTGCATTTTAATGGTCAGACTCTATTACACCCCACATTCTCTTTTCTTTTATTCTTGTCTGTTCTGCCTCACTCCCGAGCTCTACTGACTCCCAACAGAGCGCCCAAGAAGAAAATGGCCATAAGTGGAGTCCCTGTGCTAGGATTTTTCATCATAGCTGTGCTGATGAGCGCTCAGGAATCATGGGCTATCAAAGGTAGGTGCTGAGGGAATGAAATCTGGGACGATAGACTACGAAGCATTGGAGAAAAGACCTATGGACATTTGGAAGATAATGTGTGGAGTGAAAGAATAGTGTGACAGGTATTATGTGGTCTCGACAGAAAGTATAACAAATTGTGGTTTGGTGGAGTTCTTCCCTCACCACAAACTGAAGTAAGTCAAATTTGGTTTAGAGGATCAAAACTGAGTTGTGTATTGATGAATAGCAAGGTCCTGCTACAAGCCAAACTGGGGGTGGGGGTGGGGGTGGGGGAGGAAGAATATTTTCTGGCAAGCATTAACAAGTTATATTTCTGGGCTTTAATTATTCTTTCTGGAAAATTAGTAAAATTAAAAACTAAAAACCACACATAGTTTTGCTAGAATTAAATGAAAAAAAAAGTTATTAGCCCTGTTCTTATCTGAATACATGATACAGTAGTTATTTTTTGGAGTGTAAATCCTGTCGGTATATATTGAGCACATATATTGTGTTGAAGATTACTAGAAGGAAAAGTCATCAAAAAGCAACAATTTACCCCAGGAAAAGGGGAGGGAAGGCATGCTGATATGAGTTGCCTCATGGGACAGTGATAGCCATTCCCTGCCTTCCCATCTCCATGGTACAGCAGATCTTATATCATGTTAACTTAGTAATATTTCCAAGAGAGTAGAAAAATGAGTAAGGAAATGGGGAATCTGATATTATTCTCTCTCATCTCCAGAGCAACATTGGTGCTGTTGTAAAGATGTACTGTAGAAAAGTATTCTTCACCCAGCATGACCCCCACAGAAGGTGTCAGGTAGACTTGAAATAAGCAAAGTAATAACCCAGCTCCCATACCCATAGTGGCAATTGTAGATTTCTATTGCCCCAAAAGAGCCATACATAGGGATACTTACCTAGAAAGACAGAGGCTCTTCCCTTGGTTTGTGAAGAGGCAGCTAGTATATTTGTGTGTGTTTGCATAGATGCAAACGGTAAATAAATTCCTAGGTTTATCAATACACAGTCAAACATTAAAGTCTCTCATCTTGGCTGGGCACGGTGGCTCACGCCTGTAATCCCAGCACTTTGGGAGGCCGAGGCAGGCGGATCACGAGGTCAAGAGATCGAGACCGTCCTGGGCAACATGGTGAAACCCCGTCTCTACTAAAAATACAAAAAATTAGCTGGGTATGGTGGCACACGCCTGTAGTCCCAGCTACTCGGGAGGCTGAGGCAGGAGGATTGCTTGAGCCCAGGAGGCGGAGGTTGCAGTGAGCTGAGATGGTGCCACTGCACTCCAGCCTGGCGATAGAGCAAGACTCCGTCTCAAACAACCAAACCAAAACAAAACAAAATATCTCACCTTATCTTTGAAGACTAAGGAAAAAAAAATCTCCCACTCATCGATACACTCCACAGAGGCAGCATACTCTCCAAGTGTAGCTTTCTCTTTTCATGTTCATTATTCCCTTGGTGTTGGTTATTCTCAATGTCAATCATAACAGAACATCTTCCATAATAACAGTCCCAATTTAAGGAGCATTAAGATAAAAGGTGGAATTGCCAAGGTCAATCCAGACGAGAACCTTCTCATAGAGGTAACCACCGTGTGGGTTTGGATGCTGGGAAGCAGGGGGACTATGACGCTACAAGGTCTCAGTCTTAATTTTTGGAGTATTTCAGTCCCCAGGTATATTTTCCATAGATTTGGCCCTTAAATAAAAAGAAGCTTCTGACTCTAAAATGTAAACAGTGCTTGTTACAGTCTTGTTGATATATTAAGAAATTACTCACCTTATCTCATTTAATCTTAAAAACAAACCCCTGACAGGATCAAAACCACAGCAGGGCTACATAATAGGAAAACTATACATAAATAGGTAGAATAATCTGCTCAGGATCACTAGGTAAGTTGCTGAATAAGAATTCAAGATGTTTTTGATCCCAGAGTTTAAAACCCAACCTTTCAAACAGCGTTTCTTTCTTCTTAGAGTACAATGTTCTGAGAAAGAGATCCTCTGGAATTCTGGCCTAAGTGTATTTAATGCCCGGGTAAAGAAAGTGAGAGAACATTTCTCTTTAGGGGCTGCTGCTGGATTTCTAAAAAGAAAATAATTTCTCAGCTAGTAACATGGAGCCAAACAACAGCTTCACAAGACTCTGGGTTCTTTAGCCCTCATCTCCTTCAATCCACCCTCTTTATAACCAGTCCTTCTTGTTTTTCCCCTCCCAGCTTTGTTCAGCAGCATGCCCTTCACCCAGACCTTGTCTTGTCACTCATCCCTACTCGCCATCATTCTTTCATTCCTCTTGGCCCAATCTCTCTCCACCACTTCCTGCCTACATGTATGTAGGTTATTCATTTCCCTCTCTTGATTCCCCCCACCCAACTCTCTTTCTCCACTTCTCGCCTTTCAGAAGAACATGTGATCATCCAGGCCGAGTTCTATCTGAATCCTGACCAATCAGGCGAGTTTATGTTTGACTTTGATGGTGATGAGATTTTCCATGTGGATATGGCAAAGAAGGAGACGGTCTGGCGGCTTGAAGAATTTGGACGATTTGCCAGCTTTGAGGCTCAAGGTGCATTGGCCAACATAGCTGTGGACAAAGCCAACCTGGAAATCATGACAAAGCGCTCCAACTATACTCCGATCACCAATGGTACCTCCCTCTCTGCTGCACTCCTGGACATGGGAATCCATAGTTTGAAAGTAGTTGCTTCAGCTCTTTGTGTTAGATTATTGTAACTGATTTTCCCTCCAAGGGCCTAACCTTGCCATTAACAAGCCCCAAATTCTCATGCCAGAGGTCTGAGAACTTTATGGGTTTGATCCTATCTTGTTGTGCTCAAGTCTTGTCTCTGTCATCCATGGTCTCCTACAAAGTCATTGCCCTAAGTTCATGCTGGGGGAGCCAGAAGGGAAGTCCTTGGATATCTTATACCTCAATATTGGCTCAATTTCTTGGGGAGGGGGTGCTGTCAGAGATTGTTATCTGAGGATGTGACATAGATTTCTCAGGGCACAATTTCAACTACTTTTTCAGCTTTAGGGTTTTTAGATACGTTTGTACCACAATTGAGCATGGGAGGGAGAGGGGTGAGCCTAAGCAGTGATGGCTGATTTCTGTCATGTCTGTCATGTGTCCCCCAGTACCTCCAGAGGTAACTGTGCTCACGAACAGCCCTGTGGAACTGAGAGAGCCCAACGTCCTCATCTGTTTCATAGACAAGTTCACCCCACCAGTGGTCAATGTCACGTGGC
Source organism: Homo sapiens (assembly GCF_000001405.40). Classification (NCBI taxonomy): domain Eukaryota; kingdom Metazoa; phylum Chordata; class Mammalia; order Primates; family Hominidae; genus Homo; species Homo sapiens. The sequence continues at coordinate 3,881,419 of NT_113891.3, forward strand.
TTCGAAATGGAAAACCTGTCACCACAGGAGTGTCAGAGACAGTCTTCCTGCCCAGGGAAGACCACCTTTTCCGCAAGTTCCACTATCTCCCCTTCCTGCCCTCAACTGAGGACGTTTACGACTGCAGGGTGGAGCACTGGGGCTTGGATGAGCCTCTTCTCAAGCACTGGGGTATGGACCAACACTCAATCTCCTTTATTTCAAGGTTTCCTCCTATGATGCTTGTGTGAAACTTGGTGTTCTAACTGTTTCATAATATCTGCTACAATTAATATAACTGTCTTCTCCTACTATCCAGCTTCCGCCTTTTTTTAATCTGTAATTCTCTCAATACATCATTCTGTCTTCCTCTTCTTTAATCTATGAATAACTTTTCTCTTTATTAAGAACCCTACATTTGATTCTGAGTGTTACTTCTTCCCACACTCATTACCATGTACTCTGCCTTATTTCCCCCCAGAGTTTGATGCTCCAAGCCCTCTCCCAGAGACTACAGAGAACGTGGTGTGTGCCCTGGGCCTGACTGTGGGTCTGGTGGGCATCATTATTGGGACCATCTTCATCATCAAGGGATTGCGCAAAAGCAATGCAGCAGAACGCAGGGGGCCTCTGTAAGGCACATGGAGGTGAGTTAGGTGTGGTCAGAGGAAGACATATATGGAGATATCTGAGGGAGGAAAACAGGGTGGGGAAAGGAAATGTAATGCATTTAAGAGACAAGGTAGGAACAGATGTGGCTCTTGATTTCTCTTTGCTAGAACGAATCAGACATTGGTATCATCTGGTATCCCAAAGCTTCAGGGTCTGTCATCCCTTTCTATAGACGGGCACCTTGATCACGGCTCCAGTCTTAGAAATCATCTCCAGTACCTAAAACCATTGTTTCACATTAGAATACTGAGTCTAGGGATCTAGAAAATACTGAGTCTAGGGATCTAGAAAAATAAGCCTCAAGATTTGGGCACATCCTAGCTTGTATTTCCTGGGGCAGGTCATCAGTTCAGAAGCATTTCCAGATCCTGGCTCCTTTCAGGTTAGGGTCAATTCATTGCATGAAATGGGAATCTCTTAGAGGCCAATGCCTGCTTTTGCTTCTTTAGTCTCAAATGTAGTATGAGAAACTCTAAAAAAAGGTAAAGCATGGTTGCTTATTATGTTCAGTTGGAGAGTAGGGTATACAGTTAGTTCATGTTGGAAAGGTTAGATGAACATTGAAAGAATTTTGCAAAGTCAAAGGATTAAGAGAGAAGAGGAAGGAATCTGAAGCAAGGAGCTCAAAACTGATCTTAAACTCCTTGGTAACTATGTGTGTCTTGCTATAGGTGATGGTGTTTCTTAGAGAGAAGATCACTGAAGAAACTTCTGCTTTAATGGCTTTACAAAGCTGGCAATATTACAATCCTTGACCTCAGTGAAAGCAGTCATCTTCAGCATTTTCCAGCCCTATAGCCACCCCAAGAGTGGTTATGCCTCCTCGATTGCTCCATACTCTAACATCTAGCTGGCTTCCCTGTCTATTGCCTTTTCCTGTATCTATTTTCCTCTATTTCCTATCATTTTATTATCACCATGCAATGCCTCTGGAATAAAACATACAGGAGTCTGTCTCTGCTATGGAATGCCCCATGGGGCATCTCTTGTGTACTTATTGTTTAAGGTTTCCTCAAACTGTGATTTTTCTGAACACAATAAACTATTTTGAAGATCTTGGGTGGAATTTTTGGTGTTTAAGCCAGTTCTTTGGGTGGCGGTGGGGGGTGGGGAGTCGGTCCTGGGGAATATATGTGATCCTTTCCCGGTAAAATATCTGAATGTTGAATTTATCTTATAAATTCTAGAATTCATCAGACATATCCCGGTTCATTTGGGCTTGGTCTCATTTTGTGCATCTGCAGGCAACCCTCTTGTTGTGGTCTAGTCCTCATCAGGAAAACCTAAAGTGGGGTTGGTTTGTTGGGAGATCTCTACTGAGCAATGATATAACTCTATCTTCAGTAGAGTGAATCTGAAACCCCAAGGTATGGATCTCAGAATGCATGGGATGGAGGGGAGCAGATGGGGTTAGAGTGGGGAGAAGGAAGACAGAAGAATCCATAAACATTGCAGGATTTACATATCAACATCGTTCATTCCAGATTTAATGAGCAAAGAGATTGGACACTGAAGACTGGCCTTACCCATTCTGTTAGACATAGTCTCAGATGCCTATTTTATTACCGAGAGAGTAGTCTGACTGATTCTTGAAACCACCTTATATTTGAAGATGTGTCTTTGAGTGGAAAAGCTGAGTGAAATTTGGGGTTGGGGAGAAAGATATGACATTAAGATGAGAGGAAGGAATATTTGAAACACGATGAACTGTTGCTCATTTGTCTATAAAACTATGACTTGATATTTATCTCTAAAATAGTTTCTAGAACCTGCCATAAACCACTAAGATAAACTATTCATGATAGTGTGGTAGACTGCAAATAAATGCTGTTGAAATGAGTTAGGCTTGGGTTTCATCTTGGCTGTATCATTTACTAGCTATGTTTTCACTGGTATCTTACTTAACTTAGCCTCACATTACTCATGAAAATACTGGTGTTAATTTTTACTACATTGAATTAATATCAGAATTAAAAGGAAAACGCAAGCAAAGTAATTAGATACATGCTTAGTGATAATAAAATATTGCAAAAAATTATACATTCTGTTGTTTTTCTCAAAATTTCTATAGAGTGATGATAAAAATCTAAGAGAAGCTAAACAAAACAAGGATAAACCAAAGCATCATGACCTTCTAAGCCTTACTAATAAATAAGAAGTTTCTCGGCTGGGCACGGTGGCTCACGCCTGTAATCCAGCACTTTGGGAGGCCGAGGTGGGCGGATCACAAGGTCAGGAAATCAAGACCATCCTGGCCAACATGGTGAAACCCCATCTCTACTAAAAATACAAAAATTAGCCAGGCGTGGTGATAGGCGCCTGTAATCCCAGCTACTCTGGAGGTTGAGGCAGGAGAATCTCTTGAATCCGGGAGGCAGAGGTTGCAGTGAGCCGAGATCGCACCACTGCGCTCCTGCCTGGCAACAGACTGAGACTCCGTCTCAAAAAAAAAAAAAAAAAAAAAAAAAAGTTTCTCTACTGTTGGTTCAGAGAATCAAAGCAGAATCTTGAGACTACTGACGGTAGAATAGGTATGAATGTCTTTCTTACATGACTACAAACTTTATTATAAAATAAATAGCTTAACACAGAGAATACACTAAAACTTAGACAAGCATGGATTAAGAAAGCAAAAAGTAAACCCATATACTACCATGTAAGAAAACCATTTTTGGCCAGGCGTGGTGGCTCACGCCTGTAATCCCAGCACTTTGGGAGGCCGAGGCGGGCGGATCACGAGGTCAGGAGATCGAGACCATCCTGGCTAACATGGTGAAACCCCGTCTCTACTAAAAAAAAAAAAAAAAATTAGCCGGGTGTGGTGGCGGGTGCCTGTAGTCCCAGCTACTCGAGAAGTTGAGGCAGGAAAATGGCGTGAACCCAAGAGGCAGAGCTTGCAGTAAGCCGAGATCGCACCACTGCACTCCAGCCTGGGCGACAGAGCGAGACTCCATCTCAAAAAAAAGAAAAAAAAAAAAAAAAAAAAAGGAAAACCATTTTAATAGACTTTTATTTTTAGAGCTGTTTTAAGCTAACAGAAAAATTGCAGAAATTGTATACAGAGCTCCCCCACCCCCAGTTTCTACAATGCTTAACATCCTGTATTAATGTGGTACACTTGTTACAATTGATGAACCAATACTAATAATTATTATTAACTAAAATTCATAGTTATACGAGGGTTCACTCTGTATTACACAGTTATATGGGTTCTGACAAATACATAATATCATATATCCACCATTACAGGATTAAACAAAATAGCTTCACTGATCTAAAAATGACCCAGGCTCCATCTACTCATCCTTCCTTCCTCCCTCTGAACCATTGGCATTCTCTGAGCTATTTACTAGTGTTTTGCCTTTTTCAGAATGTCACATACTTGTAATCATACAGCATAGAGCTTTTTCAGATGAGATTCTTTTGCTTAGCCATATGCATACAGGTTTCCTGCGTATATTGTCATAGCTTGATAGCTTATTTTTCTTTAATGTTAAATAATACTCCATTGTATAAATGTACTATGGTTTATTTACCCATTAATCTATTGAAGGACATCTTGGTTGCTTCTAATTTTTGGCAATTATGAATAAAGCTGCTATAAACATCCATGAACAGATGTTTGTGCAGACACAAGTTTTCCACTTTGGATAAATACATAGAAGGGCAGTTGCTGGATCATATGGTAAGAGTATGTTTAGCTTTGTAAGAAACAACTAGAATATCTTCCAAAATGGCTGTATCATTTTGCATTCCTACCAGCAACGAATGAGAGTCCCTGTTGTTCTATATCCTTGCCAGCATTTGGTATTCTGGGGTTTGGGATTTCAGCAAGAAAGCCATTTTAATATTTTTTTATTTTAAAATAATTATAGATTCAGGGGAAATTGCAAAGACAGTATAGAGACATTCTGCATACGCCTTCACCCAGTTTCTCCAAATGTTTATATTTTAAGTAATTATAGCACAGTAGCAAAACCAAGAAAATACCTTGATACAATGTGTATGTATAGTTTTATGCATGTCTTACCACATTTGTAGATTCATGTAACCACCACCACAATCAAGCACAGAGCTATTCCATATCACAGAGATCTTCATCATGCTTCCCTTTATAGCCAAATTCCCCCCACACAATCACCTTAACAACTTAAAACCACTAATTTCTTTGCTATTAATCTCTAGAATAGTGTCATTTTGAAAATACTAGTTAAATGGAATCATGCAGTATGTGACTGGTGTTTTTCACTTAGCATAATACCCATGAGATCCATCCAAGCTGCTGCATATATCAACAATCTTTTTTTTTTTATTGCTAAGTAGTATTCCATGGTCTAAATGCAGCACAGTTTGCTTAACTATTTGCCTATTGAAGGACATTTTGGCTGTTTCTAGTTTGGGGTCACTATAAATAAGGCTGTTTTGAACATGTGTTTAAGGTTTTTCTATGAGCATGAGTTCATGAGTTTTCATTTCTCTGGTATAAATGTCTGGGATATAATTCATGGGCATATGGAAATATATGTTTAGTTTTTCAAGAAACTGCCAAACTTAGCCAAGTATGATGGCTTATACCTGTAATCCCAGCACTTTGGGAGGCCAAGGAGGAAGGATAAATTGAGGCCAGGAATTTGAGGCCAGCCCCAGCGTCTACACTTTTTTTTTTTTTTGAGACAGAGTCTCGCTCTGTTGCCAGACTGGAGTGCCATGATGCGATCTCGGCTCACTGCAACCTCCGCCTCCCAGGTTCAAGCAATTCTTCTGCCTCAGCCTCTCGAGTAGCTGAGACTACAGGTGCACACCACCACGCCCAATTAATTTTTGTATTTTTAGTAGAGACAGGGTTTCACCATGTTGGCCAGGATGGTCTTGACCTCATGACCTCGTGATCCGCTTGCCTTGGCCTCCCAAAGTGCTGAGATTACAGGCATGAGCCACCGTGCCCGGCCAAATGTTTTGTTTTGTTTTTGTTTTTTGTTTTTTTGTCAGGTGGATGAGGTGGCATGCCCCTATAGTCACAGCTACTTGGGAGGCTGAGGTGGGAGGATTGCTTGAGCCCAGGAATTCGAGGCTGCAGTGAGCCACTGCACTTCAGCCTATCTGACAGAGCAAGATCCTGTCTCCAAAAGGAAGGAAGGGAGGGAAGAAGCAAGGAAGGAAGGAAGGAAGGAAGGAAGGAAGGAAGGAAGGAGAAAAAAGAAGGTAGGGAGGGAGGAAGGAAGGGAGGGAGGGAGGAAAAAAGAAAGAAGAAAGGAAGTTAAAAAGAAGGGAGGGAGGGAGGAAGGAAGAAAGGAAAGATGGAAGAAAGGAAGGAAGGGAGGGAGGAGAAAGAGAAAGAAAAAGAAGGAAGGAAGAAGGGAAGGAGGGAGGGAAGGGAGGAAGGGAGGGAGGGTGAAAGGAAGGAAAGAAGGAAGGAAGGAGAAAGAAAAGGAAGAGAGAAAGAGAAAGAAAAAAGAAAGAAGAAAGAAAGAAGAAAGAAAGAGAGAGAAGGAAAGGAAAGAAGGAAGGAAAGGAAAGAAAGAAAAAGAAAAAGGAAGGAAGGAAAGAAGGAAGGAAGAAAGAAAAAGAAAGAAAGAAGGAAGGAAAGAAAGAAAGAAAGAGAAAGAAAGAAACCGATAAACTATTCTCTAATTGCTTTGTGGGAGTATGGCCACTTTCATCATATTGATTTTTCCTTTTTTTTTTTTTTTTTTTTTTTTTGCGATAGAGTCTGGCTCTGTCGCCCAGGCTGGAGTGCAATGGCGTGATTTCGGCTCACTGAAACCTCTGCCTCCTGGGTTCAGGTGATTCTCCTGCCTCAGCCTCCCTAGTAGCTGGGATTACAGGTGCACACCATCACGCCTGGATAATTTTTTTGTATTTTTACTAGAGATGGGGTTTCACCATGTTGGCCAGGTTGGTCTCAAATTCCTGACCTCAGGTGATTCGCCTGCCTTGGCCTCCGGAAGTGCTAGGATTACAGATGTGAGCCACCGCGCCCAGACAATATTGATTCTTCCTTTTCCATGAACATGATATTTTTTTCCATTTATTTGTGTCATCTCTGAGTTCTTTGAGCAGTGGTTTGTAGTTTTCCTTGTAGAGATCTTTCTCCTCCCTAGTTAGCTGTATTCCTAGGTATTTCGTGTGTGTGTGGCAATCGTGAATGGGATTACGTTCCTGATTTGGCTCTCAGCTTGACTGTTGTGGTGTATAGGAATGTTAGTAATTTTTCCACATTAATTTTGAATGCCAAGACTTCGCTGAAGTTGTTAATTAGCTTAAAGAGCTTTTGGGCTGAGACTATGGGGTTTTCTTGATATAGGATCATGCCATCTGCAAATAGGCATAGTTCAATTTCCTCTCTTCCTGTTTGGATGCCTTTAATTCTTTTTCTTGCGTGTTGCCCTGGCCAAGACTTCCAATACTATGTTGGATAGGAGTAGTGAGAGAGGGTATCCTTGTCTTGCGCTGGTTTTCAAGGGGAATGCTTCTAGCTTTTTCCCATTTAGTATGGTATTAGCTGTGGGGTTGTCACAGAAGGCTCTTATTATTTTAAGTTATGTTCACTTACTACTCAGTTTATTAAGAGTTTTTAAATGAAGGGATATTGAATTTTATCAAAAACCATTCCTGCATCTATTGAGCTAATCATGTGGCTTCTGTCTTTAGTACTGCTTATGTAATGAATCAAATTTATTGATTTGCATATGTTGAACTAACCTTGCATCACCAAGATAAAGCATACTTGATCATTGTAGATTAGCTTTTTAATGTACTGCTGGATTCAGTTTGCCAGTATTTTGTGGAGGATTTTTGCATAAATCTTCATCAATAATATTTGCCTGAAGTTTTCTTTTGTGTGTGTGTCTGCCAGGTTTTGGTGCTGATCCTGATGATGCTGGCCTCATAGAATGAGTTAGAGAGGTATCCCTCTTCCTCAATTTTTTGGACTAATTATAACAGGAATGGTACCAGCTCTTCTTTGTACATCAGGCAGAATTCAGCTGTGAATTATTCTAGTCCTAGGGGTTTTTTTTGTTTGGTAGTCTACTTATTACTGATTTAATTTCTGAGATCATTATCAGTCTGTTCAGGGATTGAATTTCTTCCTGGTTCTGTCTTGGGAGGGTGTACGTGTCCAGAAATTTATCAATTTCTTCTAGTTTTCCTAGTTTATGTGCATAGAGGTGTTTTTAATATTCTCTGATGGTTATTTGTGTTTCTGTGGGGTCAGTGGTAATATCCCCATTGTAATTTCTGAGTGTGATTATTTGAATCTTCTCTCTTTTCTTCTTTATTAGTCTAACTAGAGGTCTTTTTTTTTTATTAATTTTTTTTTAGGAAACCAATTCCTGGACTCATTGATCTTTTGAGTGTTGTTTTTTTTTCTGTCTCAATCTCCTTTAGTTCAGCTCTGATTTTGGTTATTTCTTGTCTTCTGCTAGCCTTGATATTGGTTTGTACCTGGTTGACCAGTTCTTTTAGTTGTGATGTTAGGTTGTTAAATTGAGGTCTTTCTTTTTCATGTGGGCATTTGATGCATAAATTTCCCACTTAACACTGCCTTAGCTGTGTCCCAGAGATTCTGGTATGTTGTATCGTTGTTCTCATCAGTTTTAAAGAACTTCTCAATTTCTTCCTTAATTTCATTATTTACACAAAAGTCATTCAGGAGCAGGCGGTTCAACTTCCATGTAATTGTAGGGTTTTGAATGAATTTCTTAGTCTTAATTTCTAATTTGATTGCACTGTTGTCTGAAAGATTGTTTTTTATGATTTCAGTTCTTGTGCATTTGCTGAGGAGTATTTGACTTCCGATTATGTGATCAATTTTAGAGTACATGCCATGTGGTGATGAGAAGAATGTGTATACTGTTGTTTTGGTGTGGATAATTCTATAGATGTCTATCAGGTCCATTTGATTCAGTGCTGAGTTCAAGTCCTGAATATCTTTGTTAATTTTTTGTCTCGATGATCTGTCTAATATTATCAGTGAGTTGTTAACATCTCCAAGTATTATTGTGTTGGAGTCTAAGTCTCTTTGAAGGTCCCTAAGAACTTGCTTTATGAATCTGGGTGTTCCTGTGTTGGGTGCTGATCTGGTTTGGCTGTGTTCCCATTCAAATCTCACCTTGAATTGTAGCTCCCACAATTCTCACATGCCACGGGAGGCACCTGGTGGGAGGTAATTGAATCATGGGTGCGGGTCTTTCCCATGCTATTCTCATCATAGTGAATAAGTCTCATGAGATCTGATAGTTTTATAAAGAGGAGTTTCCCTGCACAAGTTCTCTTGTCTTGTCTGCCACCATGTGAGATGTGATTTTCACCTTCCATCATGATTGTGAGGCATCCCTAGCCATGTGGAACTGTCAGTCAATTAAATTTCTTTCTTTTGTAAATTGCCCAGTCTCAGGTACATCTTTGTCAGCAGCATAACAGACTAATAGAGGAGAGTGGAGCACTGCTGAAAAGATATCTGAAAATGTGGAAGTGACTTTGGAACTGGGTAACAGGCAGAGGTTGAAACAGTTTGGAGGGCTCAGAAGAAGATAGGAAAATGTGGGAAATTTTGGAACTTCCTAGAGACTTGTTGAATGCCTTTGCCCAAAATGCTGATGGTGATGTGGACAATAATGTCCAGGCTAAGGTAGTCTCAGATGGAAATGAGGAACTTGTTGGGAACTGGAGCAAAGGTGACTCATTATGCTTTAGCAAAGAGACTGGTGGCATTTTGTCCCTGTCCTAGAGACTTGTGGAACTTTGAACTTGAGAGAGATGATTTAGGGTATCTGGCAGAAGATATTTCTAAGCAGCAAAGCATTCAAGAGGTTACTTGCGTGCTGTTAAAGCCATTCAGTTTTATAAGGGAAGCAGAGCATAAATGTTTGGAAAATTTGCAGCCTGACAATGCAATAGAAAAGAAAATCCAATTTTCTGAGGATAAATTCAAGCTGGCTGCAGAAATTTCATGGGTAACGAGGAGCTGAATGTTAATTATTAAGACAATGGGGAAAATGTCTCCAAGGCATGTCAGAGGTGTTTTTTTTTTTTTTCCAGAGTCTCGCTCTGTCGCCCAGGCTGGAGTGCAGTGGTATGATCTCAGCTCACTGCAAGCTCTGCCTGCCAGGTTCATGCCATTCTCCTGCCTCAGCCTTCCAAGTAGCTGGGACTACAGGCATCCGCCACCACACCTGGCTAATTTTTTGTATTTTTAGTAGAGACGGGGTTTCACCATGTTAGCCAGGATAGTCTCGATCTCCTGACCTCATGATCCACCCACCTCGGCCTCCCAAAGTGCTGGGATTACAGGTGTGAGCCACCATGCCTGGCCATGTCAGAGGTCTTGATGGCAGCCCTGCCCATCACAGGCCTGGAGGCCTAGGAGGAAAGAATGGTTTCTTGGGCTGGGCCCAGTGTCCCCGTGCTGTATGCGGTCTTTGGACTTGGTGCCCTGTGTCTCAGCCGCTCCAGCTGTGACTAAAAGGGGCCAACATAGAGCTCAGGCCACGACTTCAGAGGATGCAAGCCCCAAGCCTTGGCAGCTTCCATGTGGTGTTGAGCCTACGTGTACACAGAAGTCAAGAGTTGAGGTTTGGGAACCTCCACCTAGATTTCAGAGGATGTATGGAAATGCCTGGATGTCCAGGCAGAAGTTTGCTGCCTGGGCAGGGCACTCATGTGGAACCTCTGCTAGGGCAGTGCAGAAAGGAAATGTGGAGTGGGCACCCTCACACAGAGTTCTCAATGGGGCAGTGCCTAGTGGAGTTTTGAAAAGAGGAACACCATCCTCCAGACTCCAGAGTGATGGATCCACTGACAGCTTGCATCATGCACTGGAAAAGCTGCAGACACTCAATGCCAGCCCATGAAAGCAGCTTGGAGGGAGGCTATATCCTGCAAAGCCACAGGGGCGGAGCTGCTCAAGACCAGGGGAACCCACCTCTTGTATCAGTGTGACCTGGATGTGAGATATGGAATCAAAGGAGGTCATTTTTTGGAGTTTAAGATTTAAGTGCTCTGCTGGATTTCAGAGTTGCATGGAGCCTTTAAGTCCCTTCATTTTGGCCAGTTTCTTCCATTTGGAATGGGTACATTTATTCAATGCCTGTACCCTCATTGTGTCTAAGAAGTAACTAGCTTGCTTTTGATTTTACAGGCTCATAGGCAGAAGGGACTTGCCTTGTCTCAGATGAGAATTTGGACTGTGGATTTTGAGTTAATGTAGAAATAAGACTTTGGGGTACTCTTGAGAAGGCATGATTGGTTTGAAATATGAGGGCATGAGATTTGGGAGGGGCCGGTGGTGGAATGATATGGTTTGGCCCTGTCCCCACCCAAATCTCACCTTGAATTGTAGGTCCCATAATACCCACATGTTGTGGGAGGGACCTGGTGGGAGGTAATTTAATCATGGGGTAGGTCTTTCCCATACTATTCTTGTGATAGTGAATAAGTCTCATGAGATTTGATGGTTTTATGAAGGGGAGTTTCCCTGCACAAGTCCTCTTCTCTTGTCTGCTGCCATGTGAGATGTGCTTTTCACCTTCCACCATGATTGTGAGGCCTCCCCAGCCATGTGGAACTGCGAGTCCATTAAACCTCCTTCTTTTGTAAATTGCCCAATCTCAAGTATGCCTTTATTAGCAGCATGATAATGGACTAATATAAATGAATATATATTTAAGAAATGGATAAATTCCTGGACACATACACCCTCTCAAGACTGAACCAGGAAGAAACTGAATTCCTAAACAGACCAATAATGAGTTCTGAAATTGAGTCAGTAATAAAAAGCCTACCAACCAAAAAAAGCCTGGGACCAGATGGATTCACAGCTGAATTCTACCAGATGGATAAAGAAGACCTGGTCCTATTCCTATTAAAATTATTCCAAAAAAATTGAGGAGAAGGGATTACTCCCCAATTCATTCTGAGGCCAGCATCATCCTGATACCAAAATCGGGCAGAAACAACAAAAAAAGAAAATTTCAGGCCAATATTCTTGATGAACATAGATGCAAATATCCTTAACAAAATACTAACAAACCAAATCAAGCAGCACATCAAAAGCTAATGTACCACGATCAAGTAGATTTTACCCCTGAGATGCAAGGTTAGTTCAACATATACAAATCAACAAATGTGATCCATCACATAAAGCAGAATGAAAGGCAACAACCACCTGATCATCTCAATAGATGTGGAAAAGGCTTTTGATAAAATTCAACAGCACTTCATGTTAAAAATGCTCAGTTCACGCCTGTAATCCCAGCACTTTGGGAGGCTGAGGTGGGCAGATCACAAGGTCAGGAGATTGAGACCATCCTGGCCAACATGGTGAAACCTTGTCTCTACTAAAAATGAAAACTTAGCTGGGCATGGTGGCATGCGCCTGTAGTCGCAGCTACTCAGGAGGCTGAAGCAGGAGAATCGCTTGAACCCAGAAGGCGGAGGTTGCAGTGAGCCAAGATCCCACCACTGCACTCCAGCCTGACAACAGAGAAAGACTCCATCTTAAAAAAAAAAAAAAACCTCAGTAAACTAGGCATTGGAGGAACATACTTCAAAATAATAAGAGCCATCAATGACAAACCCACAGCCAACAACATAGTGAATGGGCAAAAGCTGGAAGCATCGCTCTTGAAAATCAGCAGGAGACAAGGATGCCCTCTCTCACCACTGTTTTTTTTTTTTTTTGGAGACAGAGTCTTGCTCTGTTGCCAGGCTGGAGTAGTGCAGTGGCGCGATCTCAGCTCACTGCAATCTCGCTTCCCAGGTTGAAGCAATTCTCCTGCCTCAGCCTCCCAAGTAGCTGGGACTACAGGCACATGCCACCACGCCTGGCCTTTTTTTTTTTTTTTTTTTTTTTTTTTAGTAGAGACCAGGTTTCATCATGTTAGCCAGGATGGTGTTGATATCCTCACCTCGTGATCCACCCACCTCAGCCTCCTAAAGCACTGGGATTACAGGTGTAAGCCACTGTGCCCGGCCCTCCCTCACCATTCTTATTCAAGATAGTATTGGAAGTCCTGACCAGAACATCAGGCCAGAGAAAGAAATAAAGGGCATTCAAAGAGGAAGAGTGGAAGTCAAACTATCCCTGTTTGCAGATGATATGATCCTGTGTCTAGAAAACCCTAAATCTCCAAATCTTGGCCCAAAAGTTCCTTTAGCTGATAAACAACTTCAGCAAAGTTTCAGGATAAAAAAAATCAACATATAAAAATCAGCAGCATTCCTATACACAAAGAACACTCAAGCTGAGACCCATATCAAGAACATAATCCCACTCACAATTTCCACACACACACATATTACCTAAGAATACAGCTAACTATGGAGATGAAAGATCTCTACAAGAAGAACTACAAAACACTGCTCAGAGAAATCAGAGATGACACAAACAAATGGAAAAAATTATCATGCTCATGGATAGGAAGACTCAATATCATTAAAATGGCCATACTGCCCAAAGTAATTTATAGATTCAATGCTATTCCCATTAAACTACCATTGACAGTCTTCACAGAACTAGAACAAACTACTTTAAAATTCATATGGAAGCAAAACAGAGCCTAAATAGCTAAGGCAATCCTAAGCAAAAGAATAAAGTAAGAGGTACTATGTTGCTCAACTTCAAACTATACTATGAGGCCACAGTAACCAAAACAGCATGGTACTGGTACAAAAGCAGACACACAGACAAATGGAACAGAATAGAGAGTCCAGAAATAATGCTGTACAACTCCAACCATCTGATCTTTGACAAAGATGACAAAAACAAGCAATGAGGAAAGGACTCCTCATTCAATAAACAGTGCTGTACTAACTGGCTAGCCATACGCAGAAGACTGAAGCTGGACTCCTACCTTACACCATATACAAAAATCAACTTAAAATGAATTAATGACTTAAATGTAAAACCAAAAATCATAAAAACCCTGGAAAGTAACCTAGAATATACCATTCTGAACATAGGACTTGGCAAAGATTTCATGGCAAAGACACCAAAAGCAATCACAACAAAAACAAAAATTGACAAATGGGACCTAATTTAACTTAAGAGCTTCTGTGCAGTAAAAGAAACTATCGACAGAGTAAATAGAAAACCTAGAGAATGGAGAAAATGTTAAGTCCTAATTCGGGAAAAGGAGTCAGGCTGGTGGGACCAGAAGAAAGCAAAGAGGTAAAACAAATAAGCTGTAAGTCTGTCTTTCCTCATGGTCCAGAACACACAGCCTTCCTGTGCAAATAACTCACAGTCTTCCCGTGCCCAACTATCATCAGACATCTATAAGCTAGCTCACTGCAACCCTGGCATTGTTGCTACTGCACATAGCACTCTGCAGCCTAAGAACCATCCTATAAAATCTCCTGCAAGCCCTTGTTTCCGTGCAGTCAGCTTCTCTTCTGCTGGCCTGCCTGCCTGTTGCCTCCTTGCAACATATTTTCCTACTTTCTCTAATAAATCTGCTTTTTTTTCTACCTACAACTGTCTTGGTAAATTCTTTTACCCTGGCGCCACTGGCCCAGATAGTTATTGCTCACCTGCAACAGAAAATATTTGCAAACTATGCATCTGACAAAGGTCTAATATCCAGAATCTATAAGGAACTTAAACAAATTTACAAGAAAAAAACCAAACCACCTCATTAAAATATGGGCATGAACAGACATGAACAGACACTTTTCAAAAGAAGACATACATGCAGCCAACAAACATAGGAAAAAATTCGCAACAGCACTAATTATTAGAGATATGCAAGTCAAAATCACAATAAGATACCATCTCATACCAGTGTGAATGGCTACTATTAAAAAGTCAAAAAATAACAGATGCTGGTGAGGTTGCAGGGAAAGAGAATGCTTATACACTGCTAATAGAAATGTAAATTAGTTCAGCCATTGTGGAAAGCAGTGGGGTGCAAAGAACTAAAAAGAAAATTACCATTTGATTCAGCAATCCCATTACTGTGTATATACCTAAAGGAATATAAACCATTCTACCATAAAGACACATGCACACATATGTTCACTGCAGCACTGTTCACAATAGCAAAGACATTGAATCAACCTAGATGCCCATCAACAGTGGACTGGTTAAAGGAAACGTGGTACATATACACCATGGAATACTATGCAGCCATAAAAAGAATGAGATTGTGTCCAGAATTGGTTCCTTCCGGTGGGTTCTTGGTCTCGCTGACTTCAAAAATGAAGCCATGAACCCTTGTGGTGAGTGTTACAGTTCTTAAAGATGGTGTGTCCGGAGTTTGTTCCTTCAGATGTTCAAATGTATCCCAAGTTTCTTCCTTCTGGTGGGTTCGTGGTCTTGCTGATTTCAGGAGTGAAGCCGCAGACCTTTGCTGTGAGTGTTACAGCTCTTAAAGGTGGTGCATCTGGAGTTGTTCATTCCTCCCAGTGGGTTTGTGGTCTCGCTGACATCAGGAGTGAAGCTGCAGACTTTCACAGTGAGTGTTACAGCTCTTAAAGGTGGTGCGTCCTGAGTTGTTCGTTCCCCCTGGTGGGTTTGTTGTCTTGCTGGCTTCAGGAGTGAAGCTGCAGACCTTAGCAGTGAGTGTTACAGCTCATAAAGGTAGTGCGGACCCAAAGAGTGAGCAGCAGCAAGATTTATTGCAAAGAGTGAAAGGACAAAGCTTCCACAGTGTGGAAGGGGACCTGAGTGGGTTGCAGCTGCTGGCTGGGTTGGCCAGCTTTTATTCCCTTATTTGGCCCTGTCCACATCCTGCTGATTGGTCCATTTTACAGAGTGCTGATTGGCACGTTTACAAACTTTTAGCTAGACACAGAGCACTGATTGGGGCATTTCTACAGAGTGCTGATTGGTGCATTTACAAACCTTTAGCTAGATGCAGAGTGCTGATTGGTGTGTTTTCACAGAGTGCTGATTGGTGCTTTTACAATCCTTTAGCTAGACAGAAAAGTTCTCCAAGTCCCTGCCCAACCCAGAAGCCCAGCCAGCGTCACCTCTCAAGATCATGTCCTTTGCAGGAACATGGATGGAGCTGGAGGCCATTATCTTATGCAAACTAACATAGGGACAAAAAACCAAATACCACATGTTCTCACTTATAAGTGGGAACTAAACATTGAGTACACATGGATACAAAGAAGAGAACAGTAGATATGGGGACCTACTTGAGGGTGAAGGATAGGAGGAGGGAAAGGATCAGGAAAAATACCTGTGAGATACTATGCTTATTACCTTGGTGATGAAATTATCTGTACATCAAACACCTGACATGCAGTTTACCTATAGAGCAAACCTGTACATGTATCCCTAAAACTAAAATAAAAGTTTAAAATAAAAAAGAAAGAAATTAGTTCAATACTTTTTTCTCAGTGAAATGCTTATGCAAACAAATATCATACACTTTTATTTCAGAGATTTCGGGATCATAAAGGGAGTGTACCAAGGACAGTTTGTGACTAGCCTCCTCACATTATCCCTCACATTATCATTTCTCATCTCTTCTCCCCTAAACTTTCATGCCAACAGCAGACTAGGTAAGTTTCCCTTTCCTGCATCTCTAATGATTCAGGGCGATTAAGGTCTCCTTCTCCAGCCCCCTGCACCACCATTCCCACCCCCATCTCATCTCATCTCTGCCCAGAAGGCTGGAAGGACAAGCTGAAGCTCCCTCCTGTGTTCCCTCCCACAGCAGACACACAGACAAATCCCCACTCTACACTCACCTACCTGAGCCCTCCTAATTCCTTCTGGCTCACAATCCTACACCCTCCCACAGGGTGCTTACGTGTGCATACACACACACTCCCTGTTCTCAGGGACCCTACTCCCCTCCCCCACCCGCCTTGCTCACCTCGCCTGTGCATGGAGAAGCTCTCAAAAACCCCGTAGTTGTGTCTGCAGTAGGTGTCCAACAGACCCCGCAAGCAGCCCAAGAGGTTCTTCTGGCTGTTTGCATTCCTGGACTCTTCTCCGCTCCAGCTCCGCCACCGCCCGGAACTTTCCGACGTCCCTATGGAAGCGCGCATACTCCTTCCGGTGTGGATGAGTCTCTGCACAAACCGCATCCGCTCTGTCCCATTGCAGAAATAGCACTCGTGTTTAATCTGCTCCAAGAAATGTGCCGCAGGGACATGAAGAACCGGTTTCTTGGGCGGCATCCTAGGAAAAGAGTGATGGCTATGCCCACAATCAGCAGGGCGAGGGGCGGAACACCTTGACTGGCCCCCACCAGCCACCCCCGACCACCTAGGGGTTCCTCTTCCATCTGCCTGAGGCGGAGGGAGGCTGCGAGGGGCGTGGAATACCATTTGGGATCCGCTACCCATTTCCGAGCTGAGCTGGACGCCTCTTTGCAAGGCTCTGGATCAGGATCACCTTCCTCATCACTGTCTCCTGCGCTTCCTCCTCCTGGGAGCCTCCATCCAAAAGACACTTCTGCTCCCTCCTATCATGCCACACTCTACTCATTCCTTAAACAAGACCCACTGCCTCCATTCTGTAAATGCTTCCTTAGTGCTTACCTTGTGTCTCATCTGTGCTGTCTCCTGGGAATCCAAACGGGAAAAATAGACCTCATCCCTCCGCTGGAGGAGCTTAAAGAGAAGTGAAATTGATGGCAAAAAACCAAACACGCAACACCTTATACAGGAACGAAAAATGTTAAGAGAAGTGTGGAGTTCTAGAAGAAAGAATAGGATGATCTAAATTACATTAGGGTGCCAGAGAAGGACTCTGAGAGTGACAGCTCAAATGTGACCTTACAGGTTTAGTGGGTGTGAGCCAGGGGGCAGAGTGGAGCCCGTGTGTGTCTCTGGACAAAAAGGGAGGCACATTTCAGGTAAGCATAATATCATGTACAAAAGCTTGAAAGAATTGATGAACTTCTTCAAGAAACCAGAAAAAAGTTCACTAAAGCACAGCATGAAGGAAAGGAGGGGAAAAGATTAAACTGGAGAAATCACAAGAAGGGAACAATTAAAATCATTGTCATGTTAGGATTTCGATTTATACTAAATGTAATGGGAAACAGTTGAAGAGTCCATGACCCCAACACAGGTTCACAAACTTTTTTTTTTGGACTTTCTAAATCCAGAAAACTCACGAATTCACTTGCTGCTGTTTTTAATTTGTTGCCGAAACTCATTTGGCAAATCTGATCTGAAGAGGTAAGGACTCAAAAGTGTCACAGAGCTCTTACTGGTGACATGTGCATCTGTAGTTTCAATATATATAAACATACAAACATACGTATGCATGTGTAAATATACACAGATTTCAAATACTGTGCATGTATATATTTTTGATGTTTTTGTATTTATGTTTAAATGAACTATGAAAAATCAAAAATAAAGAAAAATCCTTGTGTTTAATAAAATGAGATGAATAGAAAGCATTTTTAAAATAATAATTTTTTTTTTTAAGTTCTGGGTACATGTGCAGGATGTACAGGTTTGTTACATAGGTAAACATGTGCCATGGTGGTTTGCTGCAGCTATCAACCCATTACCTAGGTATTAAGCCCAGCACGCATTAGCTCTTTTCCCTAATGTTCTCCCCAACTCTGCCCTCCCCCAGCAGACCCCAGTAAGTGTTGTTCTCCTCCCTGTGTCCATGTGTTCTCATTGTTTAGCTCCCATTTATATGTGAGAACATGCGGTGTTTGGTTTCCTGTTTCTGTGTTAATTTGCTGAGGATAATGGCTTCCAGCTTCATCCATGTCTCTGCAAAGGACATGATCTCATTCCTCTTTATGGCTGCATAGTATTCCGTGGTGTATATGTACCACAGTGAATAGAAAGCATCTTACATTATCAGTAGTATAAAATGTAGAATTACTGCAGAAATCTGAGGCATTTTACTGAAAAATATTTGGGATAGTCGTCACCATTTATGACTTATAATTACCAGTTGTTGAAAGTTAATAGAGGTAATAATTATCAAGAACACATCAA